>NC_000016.10:55471591-55774621 GCF_000001405.40 Homo sapiens
ATGAAATAACACAGAGGTGACTCATTTTAGGGGATGACTAGTCAAGCAAGGCTTCACTGAGGAGGCAGCACTGGAGCTGAGACCTTAAAGATGAGAAGCTTTGCAGTTTCTTATCTTTAAGATGGGAGGTTTCTCGGCTAAGAGGTTTCTCAGCTAAAGTCTTTCACTGTTTCAGTCAAGACTTTCAGGTTGCAAGTGACAGAAACTCAACCCAGGCAGCTTTAAGCAAAAAACAAAACAAAACTCAAAGTTGAGAGGAGGAGATTTATTGGCTCACAAACTAAAAAGTGAAGGATACTTCTGGCTACAGGCAGGGCTGGGTCCAGGGTTTCCACTGATTTTTTGGCTCTGTTCCCATTGGTGAAGCTTCAACCTCGGGAAGCCTCTATCTAACCTTAAAGGTAGCTCCACGCTTAGGTCAGACCAACTTCATTTACAGGTGAAAGTGTAGGTGCATCCCAAATAGAGGCATAACTCCTAGAGGTTGCAAGTTCAATTCCAGGCAGCCACCATGAAGCAAATATTGCAATAAAGCAAGTGACACACAGTTTTTGGTTTCCCAATACATATAAAAGTTATGGGCAGGGCATAGTGGCTCACACTTGTAATCCCAGCAATTTGGAAAGCTGAGGGGGGAACATTGCTTAAGCCCAGGAATTTGAGACCAGCCTGGGCAACATAGTGAGACCCTGTCTCCACAAAAAAAATCAAAAAAATTAGCTGGGCATGGTAGTGCATACCTGTGGTCCCAGCTACTCGGGAGGCGGATGTGGGAGTATCACTTGAGCCCAGGAGGTAGAAGCTGCAGTGAGCCATGATTGTATCACTGCACTCCAGCCTTGGTGACACAGTAAGACCCTGATTATAAAAAAACCAGTTATGTTTACATTACATTATAGTCTATTAAGTGTGTAATAGCATTATGTTTAAAAAAAAGTACATACTCTAATTTAAAAACACTTGATTGGTAAAAAAAAAAAAAAAAAAAAAAAAAAAAAAAAAAAAAAAAGAGCACCATCATCTGAGCCTTCAGTGAGTCATAGTCTTTTTGCTGGCAAAGAGTGTTGCCTCATTGTTAATGGCTGCTAACTGATCAGGGTGGTGGCTGCTGAAGGCTGGGGTGGCTGTGGCAATTGCCTAAAATAAGACAACAATAAAGTTTGCTGCATTGATTGACCGTTCTTTTCACAAAAGATTTCTCTGCAGCATGCAATGCTGTTTGATAGCATTTTATCTACACTAGAACTTCTTTTAAAATTCAAGTAAATCCTCCCAAACCCTGCCACCACTCCTTTATCAACTAAGTTTATGGAATATTCTAAATCCTTTGTTGTCATTTCAACAATGTTCACAGCATCTTCACCAAGAGTAGGTTTTTGTCTCGAGAAACCACTTTCTTTGCTCATCCATAAGCAGCTCCTTATCCATTCAAGTTTGATCATGAGATTATAGCAATTCAGTCACATCTTTAGGCTCCACTTCTAATTCTAATTCTCTTGTTATTTCTGTCACATCTGCAGTTACTTCCTCCACTGAAGTCTTGAACCTCTGAAAGTCATCCATGAGAGTTGCAAATGACTTCTTCCAAACTCCTGCTAATGTTGATATTTTGACCTCCTCCGATGAAATCATGAATGTTTTTAAGGGCATCTGAAACGGTTAATCCTTTTCACAAGATTTTCAATTTACTTTGCCCAGATCCATCAGAGGAATCACTATGTATGACAGCTATAGCCTTATGAAATAAATTTCTTAAATAATAAGACTTGAAAGTCAGAATTACTCCTCGATCCATGGGCTGCAGAATGGATGTTGTGTTAGCAGGCATGAAAACATGAATCTCATACATCTCAATCAGAGCTCTTGGGTGGCCAGGTGCCTTCTCAATAAGCAGTAGTAGTTTGAAAGAAATTTTCGTAAGGGCCCAATATTTTTGAATTAGCGGGCAAGCATTGGCTTCAACTTAAAGCCACTAGCTGCATTAACCCCTGACAAGAGAGTCAGCCTGTCCTTTGAATCAGGCATTGACTTCTCATCTCTAGATATAAAAGTCCTAGATGGGATCTTCTTTCAGTAGAAGGCTGTTTCATCTACACTGAAAATCTGTTGTTTAGTGTAGCCACCTTCATCAATGGTCCTAGCTAGACCTTCTGGATAACTTGCCGCAGCTTCTCCATCAGCACTTACTGCTTACCTTGCACTTTTATCTTATGGAGACGGCTTCTCTTCTTAAACCTCATGAACCAACCTCTGCTAGCTTAAACTTTTCTTCTGCAGCTTCCTCACCTCTCTCAGCCTTCATAGAGTTGAAGAGAGTTAGAGCCTTGCTCTGGACTAAGCTTTATCTTAAGGGAATGTTATGGCTGTTTTGTTCTTCTCTCCAGACCACTCAAACTTTGTCAGTATCAACAATAAGGCTGTTTCACCTTCTTATAATTTGTGTGTTTACTGGGATAGCACTTTGAATTTTCTTTAAGAGCTTTCCTTTGCATTCACAACTTGGCTACCTGGTGCAAGAGGCCTAGTTTTTGGTCTCTCTGGGCTTTTGACATGCCTTTCTCACTAAGCTTAGACATTTCTAGCTTTTGACGTAAAGTGAGAAATGTGCAACCATCCCTTTCACCTGAACACTTAGAGGCCATTGTAGAGTTATTAACTGGCCTCATTTTGATATTGTTGATTGTAGGGTCTAGGGAGGCCCACAGAAAGGGAGAGAAATGAGGAATGGCCAGTCAGTTGGTAAAGCAGTCAGAACACACACATTTACAAGGGTGATTTAGTTCACCCTTGTATATGGGCACAGTTTGTTTTCACTCACGTCCATCTGAAGAGACCACCAAACAGGCTTTCTGTGAGCAACAAGGCTGTTTATTTCACCTGGGTGCAGGCGGGTTGAGTCCAAAAGGAGAGTCAGCGAAGGGAGATAGGGGTGGGGCCGTTTTATAGGATTTGGGTAGGTAAAGGAAAATTACAGTCAAAGGGGAGTTGTTCTCTGGCGGGCAGGGGTGGGGGGTCACAAGGTGCTCAGCAGGGGAGCTTTTGAGCCAGGATGAGCCAGGAGAAGGAATTCCACAAGGTAATGTCATCAGTTAAGGCAGGGACTGGCCATTTTCACTTCTTTTGTGGTGGAATGTCATCAGTTAAGGCAGGAACAGGCCATCTGGATGTATACGTGCAGGTCACAGGGGATATGATGGCTTAGCTTGGGCTTGGAGGCCTGACATTTGTGGCACTTCAAAACAATTAACTAGTAAGATCAGAGATCACTGATCACAGATCACTATAACAGATATAATAACAATGAAAAATTTGGAAATATGGCAAGAATTACCAAAATGTGACACGGAGACAGGAAGTGAGCACATGCTAATGGAAAAATGACATCAGTAAGCTTGCTTGACGCAGGGTAGTCACAAACCTTCAATTTGCAAAATTGCTATCTCTGCACAGCACAGTAGGGCAAAGTGTGAATAAAATGAGGTAACCTGTACCTCCAGCTAAAGTCCCAGAATTAACTTTCCTTGGCTCCAGTGGATTCACAAGCCGGTATCTGAATCATCACCTCACCAAGATGCCTGGATCTGCCTTTTAGCCCAGCTTGGGTCACATTGCCACTGTGGAGCCAGGAGGTGGGTCACATCTGCTGAATTCAGACCTAGAGTTGGGGAGAAGTAGCTTCCCAATGGGAAACTAAGGGGCAGCTACTAAAAGTAGGAGGACAGGGTCTTGGGAAGGCTTACATGGCACACGGCCACTACCTCCCTCAATGCTCTGTCCCCTGCTTAGTGTCCCGCACTGTAATTTCTGCCTCTTCATCAATAAAACACCACCTTAATGCCACTGTACCCCAGCACCAAAAACAGTGTTCATCAAAAACTTCCCGAATAAATGACAGAATTCATGTCATATCGCGACGTCTTCTAATCACAGCCTGCGTAGTTTTCTGGGGCTGCTGTAAAAAAGCACTACAGACTGGGTGGCTTACAACAGAAATTTATTCTCTCAGAGCTCTGAGACTAGAAGTCCAAAACCAACATGTCAGCAGGGCCACGCTCCCTCTGAAGCCTCTGGGGGAAGAATTCCTTCTTGTCTCTTCTAGCTTCTGGGTTGCAGGCAACTCCTTGGGTTGCAGGCATTGCTCCAATTTCTGCCTCCATGGTCACATGGAGTTCTTCTTGCTGTGTGTCTCTGTGTCCAAAGTTTTGTCTTCTTATCATGACAACAGGCTTTGGATTAGAGCCCACTCATCTTAACTTGATTGTATCTGCAAAGACCCTATTTCCATGTGAGGGCACAGTCACAGGCATTGGGACTTGAACATATCTTTTTGGCAACACAATTATATCCACTAAACAGCATTTTTGCATCTATATTAAGAATGACTAAAAGATGCTGCAGTAACAAACATATCCCAAAAGCTCCATGGTTCGTTGCCTAAGAGTTTGTTTTTCACTTACGAAGTCTGTAGTGGGTCTGGTTGCTTTCATTTTACGACTTTGCTAGATCAACACAGGGCTCCCAGGGTTACCGTGGCAGGGGAAGAGAGATATACAGGAGTGCACAGGGGCCCTGGAGCATATTGCATGTGCTCACCAACAAGCCCATTATCATCAGATACTGCCTGTTCTCTCCTCGTCCCCTGGGCCATTCTAGGCCCCAAGTGAGGGTTCTTGGATCTCACACAAGAAGGAATTTGAGGCAAGTCCATAAAGTGAAAGCAAGTTTATTAAGAAAGTAAGGGAATAAAAGAATGGCTATTTCATCGGCAGATCAGCCCCAAAAGCTGCTGGTTGCCCATTTTTATGGTTATTTCTTGATTATATGCTAAACAAGGGGTAAATTATTCATGCTTCTGCCTTTTAGGCCGTATAGGATAACTTCCTGACGTTGCCATGGCATATGTAAACAGTCGTGGCGCTGGTGGGAGTGTGGCAGTAAGGCTGACCAGAGGTTTTTCTCATCATCATCTTGGTTTTGGTGGGTCTTGGCCAGCTTCTTTACTGCAACCTGTTTTATCAGCAAGGTCTTTATGACCTGTATCTTGTGCCAGCCTCCTATCTCATTTCGTGATTAGGATTGCCTTAATTTACTGGTAATGCAGGCCAGCAGGTCTTAGTCTAACCCCTATTCAAGATGGAGTTGCTCTGGTTCCAATGCCTCTGACATAGTCATTGCTGGGCACAGAAGCCTCTCTCTCACTGAGTGCTGCTTCTGCAGCCATTGCCATCTCTGAATGGGCACCAAGCCCCACACTGGAAACCGATACCCTTGGAATGCCAAAACCACAGAGGCTGTGAAGAGGTACAGTCAAAGCTGCCCTCTGCCAGAGGAGCTCCAAAGCATGTTATGCAGACTCCAGAGACTTTCTGAAAAGGTTAAAACTCAAATTGGGCAAGTGTAAATGAACAACACCTAGTGAAGGGAGTCACATACAAGGCAATACAATAGAGAGTGGTGAGGACTGTGGCAAACCAAAGTATGTGCCTCATCTAAAGGGAGCAGTCACTACTCAACTTCAGCAAATTATTGCCATATGGAAACTGGCATCCAGTATTGCCAGATTTTTGGGAAATTTTTTTAAAAAAAGAAAACCAGAAAGTCAGATTTTTACATGAAGTTTCCCAAATTTCAAAATGCTGTTCAGGCTGGATTTAGCCCACAGGCCACGAGTTTGCAGCCCCTGCTTTAGTGAGATAACTTTTTCCATTTTCACTCTCAGCTCTCAGCTCTCCAACTTGGCTCTCTGGCTATCCACAGGACGTGGACATGAGCCCAGTGGGGCTGGGCCAGGAGGCAATCCCCCTTCCCAACTGACCTCAGTCTCGCCCTCTCCAAAACAGCCAAGGTTTGTCACTGGGTCAGGCTGAAGGGCCTGGCTCCCTCCTGCGGGGCAAGGTCCCTCCCAAGAGGGTCCTTTAAAACTGACTCTGGAAAGTCAGAGCACACACCCACCAGACAAGCCTGAACTTGTCTGAAGCCCACTGAGACCCAAGCCGCAGAGACTTTTCTAGCTGTGATGATCAAGACATAATCGTGACCTCCAATGCCCCCCACAAGTATATTGCTCCTGATTCTTTCAGCCCCTGACCTTACTTCTCAAACTGTTCCCTGCTGACCCCCAGTCCTATCTGCCCCCTTCCTAGGCTGGTCCTTACTGACCCCTCCAGCTCCATCCCCTCACCCTGTGCCCCACCTTTTTCAGATAGAAAAAACTTTCTTCTCCAGTGCCTCTTGCTGTTTTTCATCTCTGGGCCATTGTCAATGTTCCCTAAAACATTCCCCATATTCCCCACCCAGCACTCCACCTCTTTAGCTCTTCAGGTCTCAGCTCAGAAGTCACTTCTTCCAGGAAGCCTTCCTTGATTGTCTTTACTAGTTTAGGGGCTGAAGTCAGGCGTTCCCAACAGCCTGCTGGAGTTCCCCATCACAGCTTATCTCTCAACTGTCTTTCCTGAGAGAGGGAGAAGACATTCCTCAGAGACGGTTGTCACAGGGAGAACTTCAAAATTGGGATTCGACCTGAGAGGCCACATGGATTCTTGGCTTGGCGCAGGAAAGGATTCAAGAGTGAGTGGGGAATTCGTGGAACTGAGGGCTCCTCCCCTTTTTAGACCATATAGGGTAAACCTCCCCACATTGCCATGGCATTTATAAACTGCCATGGCACTGGTGGGTGCTTCCTTTAACATGCTAATGCATTATAATTAGCGTAAAATGAGCAGTGAGGATGACCAGAGGTCGCTTTCTTTGCCATCTTGGTTTTGGCTGGCTTCTTCACTGCATACTGTTTTATCAGTGGGGTCTTTGTGACCTCTATCTTATTAAACCAGTCTTGCCCAATTTCTATCTCATCCTGTGACCGAGAATGCGGACCCTCCTGGGAGTGCAGCCCAGCAGGTCTCAGCCTCATTTTACCCAGCCCCCTGTTCAAGATGGAGTCGCTCTGGTTCCAACGTCTCTAACGCGGGGCCCCTGACTGCTCTATTTCCCAAGGTGTATCTAGCATCTCGCACTATACGAGGCCAAGTTAAGGCTTACACATTTGCAGAAGGAAAGAGGTAAGGAAGCAACCTGGGACCTTCCACTGTCTCTGTTTCCATCTCTCTCTTTCCATCTCTGTTCATCCCAGAATCTCTCTGTCCCTATCCCTAAATATCGAAAATTTCTGTCTCTGACCATCTATCATTGTGGCTGATCATCTGTTTCTGACCATTCCTTCCCGTTCCTGACCCCAGGGAGTGCAGGGTGTCCTAGCCAAGCCGGCGTCCCTCCTAGTAGTACCGCTGCTCTCTAACCTCAGGACGTCAAGGGCCTAGAGCGACAGATGTTTCCCAGCAGGGGGTTCTGAGGCTGTGCGCCCAGATCGCGAGAGAGGCAAGTGGGGTGACGAGGTCGTGCACTGAGGGTGGACGTAGAGGCCAGGAGTAGCAGGCGGCCGGGGAAAAGAGGTGGAGAAAGGAAAAAAGAGGAGAAAAGTGGAGGAGGGCGAGTAGGGGGGTGGGGCAGAGAGGGGCGGGCCCGAGTGCGCCCCCCGCCCCCAGCCCCGCTCTGCCAGCTCCCTCCCAGCCCAGCCGGCTACATCTGGCGGCTGCCCTCCCTTGTTTCCGCTGCATCCAGACTTCCTCAGGCGGTGGCTGGAGGCTGCGCATCTGGGGCTTTAAACATACAAAGGGATTGCCAGGACCTGCGGCGGCGGCGGCGGCGGCGGGGGCTGGGGCGCGGGGGCCGGACCATGAGCCGCTGAGCCGGGCAAACCCCAGGCCACCGAGCCAGCGGACCCTCGGAGCGCAGCCCTGCGCCGCGGAGCAGGCTCCAACCAGGCGGCGAGGCGGCCACACGCACCGAGCCAGCGACCCCCGGGCGACGCGCGGGGCCAGGGAGCGCTACGATGGAGGCGCTAATGGCCCGGGGCGCGCTCACGGGTCCCCTGAGGGCGCTCTGTCTCCTGGGCTGCCTGCTGAGCCACGCCGCCGCCGCGCCGTCGCCCATCATCAAGTTCCCCGGCGATGTCGCCCCCAAAACGGACAAAGAGTTGGCAGTGGTGAGTTGCTGCGCTGGCCTCAAGGAACCACGTTTAGACAAACTTCGGAGGCAAAGGATGGGGGTGTCTCTCCCCCTGCCCTCGGCGGTGGGCACACAGCGTGGGGGAGGGGCTTCGGTAAACAGCTTGGGGGGTCTTTGGCAAGCTATTGGAGTGATCTCTTGCAAACGGTGGGGGATCTTTTGTAAGCAAAGAAAACCTTTGATAAACAATTTGGCAACCTTCAGCATACAGCAGTGGGGCGAAAAACAAGCCAGAGAGTGGGAGAGGGGTGACCTGGCAAACTACTGGAAAGGGACTCTTATGTAAATAGCGGGGACATCCTCTAGTATCTGGGACATTTGGCGGGGGGGGGGGGCGGTCTTTGTAAACAACTTTTGGACACATCTGGGCAGTTGCTAAGGGCTCTTGCCAAGCGTCTAGGTAAGCCTTTGGCAAACAGCTACAGGGGTCGTTTTTGCTAATGTAGGACTTTGGGAACGGTGCTCTGGCACACAATTTGGGTAAACTTATGCGCGCATAAGGATGGGAGGGAGCTTGGTCAAAGCGGGGCTTGGCAAATTTCTAGGAACCTTCGGCACAGATCCGGAGAGGGACCTTTAAACAAACAGCTCGAGGGGGCCATTTGGGAAGTGATTGGGGCAGGAGGGAAGCAGAGAGCGCATCTTTTTTCTCCTGGCTTAATGGACAAATTGGTCAAGGGCTGGGCCTCGGAAAGTTTCCTCGAACTTCTCCAAAGGGTCGGAGAAAAGAAGGAGAGAGCTGGCCCGGCAGGAGGGAGGAGGAGTGGGGCAGGCGCTGGAGGGCCCGGCGCGTGGGGCGGGGGCGGACTGCGCTCCGCTCGGGTCGGAGAGCGGCCAGAGAGCCCTCCTTCCTGGCTGGGCTCCCAAACCGCGGTTCAGATGTTGTCTTGTGAGCGTGCGCGCGCCTGGCTGGAGGGGCACTGAGCCTGGCCGCAGTGTTGCGTAAGTAGGGCCTGAGGAGAGAGGCAGGCCAGGGACCCATCAAGATGTCCTTTCCAGTCCAGGGGATATCTGCTCCCTTGTTGCTTCAGCCACCCTGCCCTCCAGCCTCCCCCTCAACCTGTCCGGGAGAAGACGCCCATGCCCTCTGGTCACCCTAGGAACTCCTTCAGGAGGTGACAACTACCCTCTCCCAACTCTCACCCTTCCAAACAGCTAGGTCTCAGCCCCCTCTGGATAGATGGGTTGGGAAACCTCCATACATTTTTAGAGGGCTACTTTTTTCAAGGATCTGGAGCTGGCTGGCATAATGATGTGGCTGTTGGGTGGGGGTGAGAGTGGAGCTTTGGGACAATGACAAAGCTACTTGGTTTCCTACACCTTTTCCAGCCAATGGGTCACAGGATGAACCCCTAAATTGGGGTTCAGCCTGGGGGCCACATGGGTTCTTGGCTTGCACAGGAAGGAATTCAAGAGCGAGCCAACAGAGTAAAGTGAAAACAAATTTATTAAGAAGGTAAAGGAATAAAAGGGTGATTATTCCATAGACAGAGCAGGGAATGGGCTGCTGGACTGAGTATACATATGGTTATTTCTTGATTATATGCTAAACAAGGGGTGGATTATTTAAGAGTTTTCCAGAAAAAGGGTGGGGAGTTCCTGGAACCGAGGGTTTCTCTCCCTTTTAGACCATATAGGGTAACTTCTCAATGTTGCTATGGCATTTATAAACTGTCACAGCGCTGGTGGGAGTGTCTAATGTATTTAACATGCTAATACATTATAATTAGCATATAATGAGCAGTGAGGACGACTAGAGGTCACTTTCATTGCAGTCTTGGTTTGGGTGGGCTTTCTCCAGCTTCTTTACTGCATCCTGTTTTATCATAGGGGTCTTTGTGACCCGAACTGTATATGGTGAAATCAGTCCTACCAACCTCCTGTCTCATTCTGTGACTAAGAATGCATGCCTGCCCTCCTGGGAATGAAGCACAGCAGGTCTCAGCCTCATCTTACCCAGCCCCCCACTCAAGATGGAGGTGCCTGGTTTGAACACCTCTGACAAATGGAAGTCTGTGTTGTCCAGAGGCAATGCAGTGGGGGCTTAAGAAGATAACTCTGGACTTAGACCGCTTGGCTTCAAATCAAAGAGTGCATGAACCAACCAGCTGGCCTAGTGATGATGTTAGGCAAGTGACTTCTCAGTTTCTTCATCTGCAAACTGGGAAATTTCCTATCTCAGGGTTAAAAGAGAGGTAATCTTAGGTGCTTACCTAGCACATGGTAAGTACTCAATAAGCACTAGCCATTATTCTATTATATTATTATTATTGTTATGTCCTCCATTTCCCCTTTCCTAACTACTTCCAACAAGGCTAGGACCGTTGTCAGAAGATCTCCTGGCTCCTTTCAACATTCTAACACAGTACTTATCACATACTTCATTTTGTTTTATTTGGGATCTATCAGCCTCCCTGCTAGGATTTGAACCTTAGAGACAGAATTGTCTATCTTTTTCACCTGTTTTTCCTCAGCAGTAGCACTGGGCTTGGTACATGGTAGGTATTAAAAAGTATTTGTTGAATAAATAAATGAGTCGGTTGCTCCCTGAACCTCTGCAGGGACCTGCTCAGTTTGGGCCTCAGTTTGGGCAGGGCCAGTTGTATGACTCATGAAGGACAGGACTACTTTCTTTTTGCAAATGGCTGATTCAGGATTTAAACCCAGGTCTGTCTACTGCCAGAGCCCATGCACATAGTCCTTGAATCTCTTTAGAAGAAAACAGGAGGAAAAAAGTCCCCAAGTCACCAGCCGCAAGGTAGATAAATGAGTTGATAGAGGTAAAGGAAGGATGCTGGAGTATAATGATTCCATATCACAGCCTCTGGAGCCAGATTGCTTTGTCCCAAATCCAGATCTACCATTTGTGAACTGTGTGATCGTAAGCAAGTTTCTTAACCTCTCTGTGCTTCAGTTTCCTCCTCTGTATAATAGGGTTAGTATATCTACATTACAGAGTTTTGAGCATTAAATGAGTTAACATATTCTGACTTTAGTGCCTGGACATATAGTCAGCACCCAGCACCAACAAGTGGTAGCCATGCTCTCTATAGCTGTATGTCCTGTCGCTCAACTAATGGGTGACCGTGCTGGTTTGGGAACCCAGTACTCCACCCAGTGCTCTGGGACCCCTGGCTTATTTCCTGTCTGGACTATGGCACTGGGTTGGGGGGCTGATTGCTACAGCCTGCTTTGGTCAGTACTGTGCCATCCTAATGTGGCTAATTGCCTTGGGGGTGTGCATTTCTTTCAGCAATACCTGAACACCTTCTATGGCTGCCCCAAGGAGAGCTGCAACCTGTTTGTGCTGAAGGACACACTAAAGAAGATGCAGAAGTTCTTTGGACTGCCCCAGACAGGTGATCTTGACCAGAATACCATCGAGACCATGCGGAAGCCACGCTGCGGCAACCCAGATGTGGCCAACTACAACTTCTTCCCTCGCAAGCCCAAGTGGGACAAGAACCAGATCACATACAGGTGCCGGGGCAGGGCTTGGGGAGGCAGGGCCATGGGGCTGAGGGACACGAGTCTCCTTGACCCATGCATTCTCTCCACTCAGGGGATCCATGAGGTGTCTTTTGTGAAGGCTTGACATCTTAGGGAGTTTCAATACACAGTTCTTAGAAAATGAAGTCAGACAGACTTGAGTTTCATACTTGCTGGCCATGAGACATTGGGTTACTTTTCAGTGCTGTGAATGTTGGCTTTCCAATCTACAAAATGGGGCTTAAAAAATGCCCTTATATGGTATGTTGGGGAACTAAGCTAGGCTGAACTAATACAAACGGCTTCTATGATTTTTGACACAGAGCAAGAGTGTAGTAATGCTAGTCATTGTTATTGTTTTTAGATGAGGTCATTGGGATGGGCAGAAGGAACGTGATGATTGGTAGCTAATTGGGTTTAGCAGCCCAATTGGGTTATAACTGGTTGCTAATTGGGCCAAGAGCTGTGCTCTGTATGGGTGGTGCTGGGTTCCAATGGTGGGATCTTTGCCCTGTGCCCCATAATGCACTACTTATGGCCCTCCCCCACCAGCCAGAAGTGACAGATGGAACTCCTGAGCTGGGGCCTAAAAATGTTGGCTGGCCTGGGACTCCCTGGGTCTTCAAGGCATTCTGGGAGGGTTGTCCTTGGCAGTGAGCCCTGCCCAGCCTACACACACATACACGCAGGCACATGCTCACATATACATACACATACCTGTGCACCCTTCCCGTGCTTGTGCATATACTTGTATGTTCACATACACACACACACTCAAACTTTTTCATACATCTGTGCACACACACATACTTGCATATACATACACTTATGCACATGCATACACACTCACATGCAGTTCTACCACCTCCAGGATCATTGGCTACACACCTGATCTGGACCCAGAGACAGTGGATGATGCCTTTGCTCGTGCCTTCCAAGTCTGGAGCGATGTGACCCCACTGCGGTTTTCTCGAATCCATGATGGAGAGGCAGACATCATGATCAACTTTGGCCGCTGGGGTAGGCAGAAGATGGGGCAGAAGAGGGGCCAGCAGGGATCAGTGTTGAGACGAGGGGGTGAGATGGACATTAGAGGGGCGTGGGGATCCTAAGGGCGGCTTAGATAGGACAGTAGATGGTGTGGGCCCTGGGGGTGGTTTAGATGGGGGCAGCACAACACGGAGTGGACACTGGAGAGCCACGTTGACATGGGGGCAGATGGTGTGTTGTGGTATAACCTGGAGGCCGTCTAAACCCGAAGCAAGTGGTCTACTGTGCTGTCCAATATGGCAGCCATTAGGCAGAATATACATGGCTGTTTAAATTTAAATTAGTTAAAAATTTTAAATTAGTTTCCTGGTCACACTGGGCACATTTTAAGTGCTCAAAAGACACAGGAGGCTAGTGACTATTGATTTTGGACAGCACAGACAAAGAATATTCCTCTTAATCACAGAAAGCTCTGTTGGATGATGCTGGTAGACACTGAGGAACTGTAGATATATGAGAGTGGTTTGGAAACAGTGGAGCAGTGTAGACACTAGAGGAAGGGTCGTAGAACCTGGGGCCAGGTGGCCATGTGAGTTTATGGTGTGAACACTGCCAGTAGCACAGACATAAAGGTATGTGGTATAGACACTGAGTGGTAAGTGATGAAGGTAAAGAGCAGGGGAAACAATGTAGACAAGTGGGTGGGTGGTACAGGCCTTGGTGACAAGGTGGGCATGAGGATTCATGTTGCAGATATTGGTGATAGTGTGACATGAAGGCAGGATTGTGGTTAAGAGGGCAGTATTGACAGGATGGAGGATGGCATAGACACTGGGGATGATGAAGATGGGGTGAGGACACTAGTGTGGTAATGTGGGTATGTGGTACATATAGTGTCATGGTGGTAGAGTAGACAATGGAGGTAGAGGGTATGGATACTGGGAGTCATGTAAACCTGGGAGAGCAGTGTAGACCATAGGATGGTAACAACCAGGTCAGCAGATCTCTACTGAGCTCCTGTTGACAGTCCTGGATAACCCCACTGGGACAAGGGAAGGGGACAGATGCTGGGTGGGCTGACAGGCTCCACATGTAGATGGGGTGTGGAGGGGTTTCAGGGTCTAGGTGGCACAGCTAGACGCTAAGACCCAGTGTGTGTTTCAGAGCATGGCGATGGATACCCCTTTGACGGTAAGGACGGACTCCTGGCTCATGCCTTCGCCCCAGGCACTGGTGTTGGGGGAGACTCCCATTTTGATGACGATGAGCTATGGACCTTGGGAGAAGGCCAAGGTGAGAAAGGGGCCCTCTGCATGCCCCAGACCTTCTCTCCTGTCCTCTCTCCACTCCATTTGCTTGGACCAGAGAGGTGGGAGGGGAGGAAAGTCACACATCTGGGTGAGTCAGAATCTTGGTCTCCAAAGAAGGCCTGGAGAAGTCCAACCTCCCCCTTCCATGTCACTCTTTAGTGGTCCGTGTGAAGTATGGGAACGCCGATGGGGAGTACTGCAAGTTCCCCTTCTTGTTCAATGGCAAGGAGTACAACAGCTGCACTGATACCGGCCGCAGCGATGGCTTCCTCTGGTGCTCCACCACCTACAACTTTGAGAAGGATGGCAAGTACGGCTTCTGTCCCCATGAAGGTGAGCATCCACTCTAGTCCCCAAGACTTTCCACCCCAAGCCTCCAGCTTCCCGGGCTCCCCAGTGTGCTCTTCCCTCCACACTCTCCAGGACTGGCTGCCACTGCCAGTTAATGAGCATCCCTCCAACGTCCTTCACTCAGTTCCCCCCCATCCTGATCTGAGCCATTGCTGTTTCTCTCCCACCAGTACCATGATGAACGTAGTACTCTAATTAAATCAAGTTGATTTTTTTTAAGTTTCACCATTAGCAATCATTTAGGAAGTCACAGATTTGATTTGCTAATTATTTATTTCTAATATATATTGGAGTGAACTTAGAACTATTACAATGCCCAGTGGTTCTCTCTAGAACCAGTCTTTACACTTCAGTCAAGATTGATACTTCAAGGGCATGAGGAAAGGCTTGCTGGTAGCTGGAAACCTAGCAGTGTGATAGGGAGGCAGGACTCAGACCAGGGCTGGACTCAACCTGGTTTGCGTACTCCAACTGAGGAATTTCAGCTATTGCTCCTGCCTTGGTCCTGATGCTGCCTCTGCTAATGCGTGTGTGTGTGTGTGTGTGTGTGCCTGTGTGTGTGTGTGTGTGTGTGTGTGTGTGTGTGTGTGTGTGTCTGGGCACGGGGGCTATACTATCTGCCTCTCTTGGGCACTGTCTTTTTCTGCCTCCTGTCTAGCTTGTGTCTGCATCTCTGTGTCTTGATAAAGACTTTAGGCTTGACTCAGTATTTGTGTTTGTGTGCTTGTCAGTGCCTGAGATGCAACATTTCAGAGATTTTGAAGCCACATGGGGGAAATCTTTTAAAATGGGGTACAGATATTGACATACACACTCAATCCTTTTTAAAAATATCCTTGACACACTTAATAGTCATAAATCACAAAAAGACAATGTAACTTCATACTCTATGAAGTCATCATATTTGATAATTCTGCAGATTGAAAGCCCAGAAAACCTGGCGAAAATGGAAAAAAGTCTAAAAATTTTTAACACTATCTTCTTTCCCATGTCACAAAGACTCTATAGTCTACATAGACTAAAGACTGTCTTTTTGTCTGTAATTTTATGTCTGTGAATCTCCCTAACCCCACTGTAACTGAAAACTAAGCACCAACCATCTTGACAGAATGAAAGAAACAAAGAGCTAGTTAATTCCCTTCCTGTTTATGCTTTTACTACCAGAGCTAAACTTTATATTAAGTAAGAGTTTAAGCCATTCACCATTAATAAGTCAGACATTTTGAAATAAAAATATTTTTTGTATCTTGCGTTTCCCGGTAGGGATTACATGTGGCGTTAACCCTTCCCTGTGTCACCCCTCTGATAGGAACAGAAAGCTTTGGTGATAGTTAGATGTGGAAACAGCTGTATTTCATAAATTTGGGAAGGGTTATTCCCTGCATTGGACATTAGCCATTTACTTTGTGCTTAGCCAGATGCAAGTACGCACAACACGCACGTGTCTGGGTCTCGAGGCAGAGATTGTTGTTACTCAGCCCCTGCTGATGGCTGAGTCAGTGTCTGATTCTTGCCATCCTTGTCAGGGGAATTTGGGAGGAGACAGGGGCTTCCTGGGTGGTAGAAATGAGAGGTCAGAGGCAGGGGGCTGGCATTGGTCGAAGTTAACGCTTTGCCTTTCTCAACTCTGAGGCCACTAAGGTATCTGGACTCAGTCTTGCCTTTTCTCTAGGTGCCATTGTTTCTGGCATTGCAGGACAAGGTCTTTTGGTAGAGAGGGGAGTGGTGAGGATACAGGGCCTCGAGTTCTGTGGTGGGAGGCCAGGGACTGGGCTCCATTCCGGCCATGGTGGAGTTAACGGGGGCTGGTGAGGTCACCTCTGGCGCCGTTGTGCACAGATGGTCCTTGTTATGGACTTGTGGTTTTGCTGGTTGGCAATTCCAGAGACACCATTTTTTAGCTTTGGGTGGATGAGGGGAGGATGGGGAGAATCCAAGACAGACAGGCCAGGCTCTGAACCCCACTCCCTCCCCCAACTCTCCATTTATGGCCCCTGTCTTGAAGATGTCAAAGTAGGAGCCCAGAGTGTTTAGTAAAAGGGACCTGAAGGCACCACCTCCCTCTCCCTCCCTCCTCCTCTTCATTCTTTCTCTCCTTCCTACAGAGACTGCAACAAGGCCATCCAGGAAGGGGCCTGGGGTTGACAGGAGGTAAAGCAAGCTTTCTGTGTATGCGTGTGCACGCACACACACATATATGAGAGTGACAGACTAAGCAAGAGAGATTGAGATTAGTGTGTTTTGTAGTTTTTAGTTACAACCTTCATTCACTTCTTTCATTTCTGTGACCATGAGCAGTTTGAGAACCATCTTTGTCCTAGCCTTGATTTCTCCACCTATCAAATGGAGAGAGATTCTCGTGGTCCTGCCTGCCATGACTGATATATTCATGTCATACATCATTATTACATGAAATTTGCATGGTACAGGTGTGGACCAGGCAGAATGGACAGTGCCCTTGGGGCTGAGGCAGGGTTCTAGAAGCCCTTGCTGTGTGCCAGGTGTCAATCATTTTGTTGTTGGGTGGTCCACAAGGTCCCACGGGAGGGATTGGGATAACCAGGGAAGCAGGGGTTCTCTCTGGGAGCTCAGAGAAGCAGCTCCTTACCAACCAGTAGAGATGTTTTCTTAATATTTTAACAATGCATCAACTTCACTGGTGTGAACCGGCAGGTGGGCAGCCAGCCAGCCCTGTGCCCATGGAAGCATGTCTCATTCACATCCTTCCCTCTCTCCCCCACCCTTAGCCCTGTTCACCATGGGCGGCAACGCTGAAGGACAGCCCTGCAAGTTTCCATTCCGCTTCCAGGGCACATCCTATGACAGCTGCACCACTGAGGGCCGCACGGATGGCTACCGCTGGTGCGGCACCACTGAGGACTACGACCGCGACAAGAAGTATGGCTTCTGCCCTGAGACCGGTGGGTGCCACTCCCTCTCCCTCCCTCAGGGCCCAGCACCTGCTGTCTGACAAAAAAAAAACCCATAAGACTCCGAGTGCCCACCTCCTTTCCCCAAGACAGGGGTGCTAAGACATCTGTGCGAATGACATCCACACCAAGATGTCCGTGTAGCTAGTCAGGATACTTGTCACCTGGTATGGCCTGGGCACTGAAATCAGAACAGACATTGGGCATCAACAGTTGAATTGGTGACACTTAAATGTCAGGCCTGCTCAGGATCCTCTGACCGACCTGCATCCCTTTTCTCTCAGGCTCTCTGGCAGAGACTTCTCTCTCCTCCTCTCTGACCCTGCAATCTCTCTTCCCTGCCTTTCCTGGTCTGTATCTCCACCTTTTAGTCTGTTTTTTATTAAGAGCTCCGTGCTTTCCTCCCTGTCTCCTTCCTGCCCTCCTCTCTATCCCTCCCTCCTTTCCTTCTTCCCTTCCTCCAACAGGAATTTACTGAGCGCCTGCTTTGTGCAGCATACACAGAGGTTGGTCTCTGCAAAGCCCTGCCCAAGGGGGCTCACAGCTGAGGGGCATGTGCTGGTGCCATCAGCTTCATCCAACTCCCTTTGCCCCTAGCCCATCTGCCCCCTTCCATGGGAGGCTCATTAGAACTCTGGAATCTGGCTTCCTGGGTTTGAATTGCAGCTCTGATACTTCCTAGCAGTGTTGGCTTAGGGAAATTTCATCATCTCTCTGATCTATTTCCCATCCATGAAACGCGGTGCTATTCAGTCCCTCCTGCACAAGGCTGTTGTCAGGGGTGGGTGAGATGAGTCTAAAGATACAGTGCCTGGGACTGAGTCTAACTTAGGTGTGGTTCATTAAGGTCAGCGTCATGTCATTGCTTCCTGGTGGTAGCCTCAGACTCTTTGCTGCGCCTTGACCCGTATCCCTAACCCCACAGCCATGTCCACTGTTGGTGGGAACTCAGAAGGTGCCCCCTGTGTCTTCCCCTTCACTTTCCTGGGCAACAAATATGAGAGCTGCACCAGCGCCGGCCGCAGTGACGGAAAGATGTGGTGTGCGACCACAGCCAACTACGATGATGACCGCAAGTGGGGCTTCTGCCCTGACCAAGGTACGAGGCCCTGGTCATTGGACAGAGACCCTGGACATTGCCCTTGCCCCTAAACTTGCTCCAAAAACCTTCCTGAGACCTCACCCACTTCAAGCATAGACACTGCCCCCCAGACACCCACCTACCCAGACCCGCCCACCTGGGCTGAGACAATGCCCATCTCTGGTGGAGCCAAGGTCCCTGCTTAGATCCTGCCCATCCAGGTGGAGGCACAGCCTCCAAAATCAGACCCTGGTAGACCAGATGCTGCTACTCACCTCCTGGGTAAGAACTGGCCTTCCTGAGGGGTCACTGCTCTTGTCTTCCCCTTCAGCCACCCTCCAGGCGGGCTTGTGACTACCAAAATTGGCTGAATTCTGAGCACAGATTACCAGAGAGACAATTCTCCTAAGAGACATTCCCACTGCACAAAGAGGTGCCTTCAAGGAGCTGGTAGGCAGTAGAAGAAAGGAAAAAAGGAAGAGCCTCATGCTTGATCTGACACCATGGTCCACGCAGCCCTGGGGGAGCCCCCAGAGCCCTCTCTCCCCCATCAGTCAGCACCATCTGTTACCAGGGTGTAAATGGTGGGTCCTCGTCAGTCCTGGGTGCTGAGGATGGAGCTGACTGGGACAGCTCTCTGCCCCCTAGGACTCACAAGCTCAGGGGAGAGAGTGACCAGGAGACAGCTTGTGACCTTACTATGTGCTCAGTGCAGTGAGCAGGGTGCTTGGGGCCCTGTGCCCAATCTAGGCTACAGAGCCCAGGGTTGCAGGGTTGCTTAAAGCTCCCTGATGGCCCATAATGGCCAGGTCAGTGGGCAGGTCCAGGGCCTGTCAGAATTAGGCAAGCCTGTCTTTATGTTGCTTTCATTCTTTTTAATCATCATGAGATGGAACTTGGCAGATGTCAGTGGACAGAGGCTGGCCAAAGGAGGTTTTCTTATCCCCTGCTAAATTCCTTGCTAGGACACAGTCTGATTTTACCAGCTTAAAGGTGGGATTCTCCACCTTCCTGAGTGGTTCAAGTATCCAGAGCTCAGTGGCTCACCCAGGGTGAATATTATAGTCTCCTGGGGCTGCCATGACAAAGTGCCACAAACTGATGGCTTGAAACAAACCCCATGTATTCTTTCATGCTTCTGGAGGCTGGAAGTCTAAAATCACGGCGTCAGTAAGGCCATGTTCCCTCTGAAGGATGCGTCACTCCAGTCTATGCCTCTGTCATGACATGGATGGCCTTCTTCCCCCTCTGCTTGCCTCTCCTCCTTTTTTTTTTTTTTGAGACGGAGTCTTGCTCTTGCCCAGCTGGAGTGCAGTGGCATGATCTCGGCTCACTGCAACCTCTGCCTCCTGGGTTCAAGTGATTCTCCTGCCTATTTCCAAATAAGTTCACATTCACAGGTCCCTAGGGTTAAGACTTGGGCAAATCTTTTCTGGGGGGACGCATTTAACCACAACAGGGTGTGACACAGGTTTTGCTCGCTGGCTGTGGCTCAGCCTGTGCAACCACGCTAAGTGTGAAAGGTTTTTACTGCTTTCACCTGGGCAGAAATGGTGGCAACATGGGGCCAGCCTATCCCCACTCTTCTTACCTCTTCAGAGAGGCTGAGGAGCTGGGTTTGTAGAGCTCATCTTTTATAGAGAGACATAAAAAGCCAGGAAGCAGGATTTTAAAATGAATGGGGTTTTAAGTAGAAAATTCGCAGATACTACTTGTTCTGTTCCTTTATAGCACACCTGTCCTGATACTGACTTGGAAAGAGACAAGAAGACTTTGGCTGACCCCACTTGGAAACAATAGGCACTAATCCCAAAATTGTGTATTGATCCCAGAATTCTCAGGAAAAGAAAAAAAAAATCAATACATGCCGCTTCCAGGGTTCTCAGCCTTACTGTGGGGCTGTCCTCAAAAGTCTGCATCACTGGGTCAGGTCTTGACTTCTCTCTCATCTCTCTTCCTGTCTTTCAACCCTCTCTCCTCCCTGCAACCCTCAGGGTACAGCCTGTTCCTCGTGGCAGCCCACGAGTTTGGCCACGCCATGGGGCTGGAGCACTCCCAAGACCCTGGGGCCCTGATGGCACCCATTTACACCTACACCAAGAACTTCCGTCTGTCCCAGGATGACATCAAGGGCATTCAGGAGCTCTATGGTAAACCTCCGGGCGGGGGTTGGGGGTGGAGGGTGAGGAGGGGGGAGGTCATGTAGCCTGGGATGGAGGCCCAGGGGGTGGGACCAGCAAGATCTCATCCAGCCAGGAGTGCTGGAGACGAGGGCAGGAAATGGGAGTGTTGACCTGGTCTTGGGAAGGCAGAGCAGCTCTCCAAGGGGATACTTGGATAACTCTTCCCTATCCGAACAATGCTAATATCCATGTCACTCTTAGCGCTCCATTTCTGGGTTTCTCCCATTTTCTAGGTGAGTAAGGTCACCTGGTGCAAGGTTACACAGGTTTGAGCAACCCAGTGGAGTTTAGAATCCAGGAGAATAGCCAAGTACAGGACAGAATTTTCCATCATGTGGAATGACCTTAACAATACGGGGGTGGAAGTTTCTAGTTTTCATAATAAGCTTTGATTTTTAGTATGTAGTAGAAACAGAACAACCAGTGCCTTAAGCCAATTATTTATTTATTTATTTATTTATTTATTTATTTATTTATTTATTTATTGTTGGTTCTTACAGTGAGGCTAGAGTTTAAAAAGTCAGTTCATTTTTAAAAAATATTTAATGGTCCAGGTGATATCTGAGCCAGGCCAAAATAGTGAAAGTGGTGCTTGAGTGATGAAGTTTGGGGACTGCTAGACTCAGGAAAAAGCCCAAGGTCTGCCGTGAGGGGTGCTGGGTTCAAATGTGGCCTCTGCCCTTCACTAGCTGCAAGATATTGTGTAAGTCTTTATACCTCTTTGGACTCAGTTTCCTCATCTCTAAAATAATTGCTTATCATGAAAAGTGCCATACTGTCAGTTCTGGACACACCAGCGGCCCCCTGACCGCCCTGACTCTTGTGGGCATAAGAATCTGAGCTTTGGGTTTGAATCCTTGGGCAAGTCACTCAACTTTTCTGGGCCTCAGTTTCCTCACCTGTGAAATGGTGCAATCATGATACCCCACTCCCAGGGCTATAGAGAGGACTGATTTGGGTGATGTCAGTAAAAAGCATATATAAAGTACAAAGGGCCCCAGGACTCCCCAAGTCCAGGCATCTTCTTGTTACCTTACGGAGCTTACACTAAGGCCAGAAGGCGATTTCTTCTGACTCTTAGATGGTTGGGTGGGCACCCCTGGGGGCTCACCCTAGTGGGGAGAACCTCTGGAGCTGCAGAGAGTCTAAGGTCAGGTGTTCTCCCCAGGGGCCTCTCCTGACATTGACCTTGGCACCGGCCCCACCCCCACGCTGGGCCCTGTCACTCCTGAGATCTGCAAACAGGACATTGTATTTGATGGCATCGCTCAGATCCGTGGTGAGATCTTCTTCTTCAAGGACCGGTGAGTGCAGGAGCTTGCTTCTTGTCCTCCTTGTCTCCTGTCCTCTGCTCTTATACCATTATTCTTTTCCCTCACTCTTCGCTGAAGACTCCGCCAAATGCTTCCCAGAATGACCTGAATTAGGCAGTTTCTGCTGTGTATCAAACAACCTCCAGGTTTCAGTGGATTTGCACCCAAGCATTTTGTTTGCTCTCTCATAGTCTGTGGGTCTACTAGTTATCTTGACTTTCAGCTACAGTTTGGGTTCAGGTGTGCTCTGCCTGTTGTTCTCATGGGATTAGCAGCTACTCATGGCAGATGACAGGGTGCAAGAGGCCAAACTGAACTACACAAGCTCATTTAAAGCCTCCACTCACATCTTGTCTGAGAATATTCCACTGCCTGAAATAAGTCACATGGCCAATCCCAAGACCTACCCTAGAGGGTAGTACTGCAAAGTCACATGGAAATGCATATGAATGCATAATCCTAAAATCAAAATGGAGGGAAGAATTGGGAACCATAATTCAGTCTACCACAGGCCTTCTAGAATGGCGTTGCCCTCAAATGGCCAAATTACTCTGTGTATGGGTGGTGAGTGACTGCAGAGTAGAAAGAGGTGGTATTCTTCATGCTATAGATAAAGATCACCACTCAGTTGACTAAAGACTGAGGTTTACCCTAATGCCCTAGTTCCCTGGAGAATGGCAGGCAGTATCTAGGACCTCATTAAAGGGTCTGTCCTTCCATTCTTCTATCATCCATCCATCTACCCATCCATCCATCCATACCTATATCTTTCCATCCATCATCCATCCAGCCAGCCAGCCATCTATTATCCATTATTTATGATCCAGCCATCCATTATTCATTATTCATCCATTTATTCATTCATAGAGTATAGTAGTTGAGAAAATGGACTCTGAAGCCAGATTCTCTGGGTTAGAATTCTGTAACTGCTACTTACTGGTTATGTAATCATAGACAAGTTAATTAAGTATCTTCTTTGTACCTTGGTTTCCTCATTTATAAAATGGGGCTAATATTCCAACCTATCTCCTAGGGCTGTTGTAAGGATTAGATGAACTTAGTGCTGAGAACAAAAACAATGCCTGACACAGAGTAAGTGTATTCATATTAGCTATTGTTATTGACAAATAATTGTTTGGCATCTACTGTGCCAAATACTTTGCTAGGCTTTAGTAGCTGGAGGAGGAAGAATGATGTTCTCGGGACAGTGGGGTGGGGGGCTGCTAGATCAGTGTTCTCAAAGACAGGCGCATGGGCCTCCTATAACAGAACCATCTAGAGTGTGGGTATTAAAAGGTGGGTTTTCTGCCCCAGCTTCAGACCCTCCTGACTGGAACTCTGGGGCTAGGCCCCAGGAATCTGCGTTTTAGCAAATTCTCCCAGTGATTCTGATGCACATTAAAGTTTGTGCATCACAAGTCCAGTTTGAGAAATAGGCATGGAGAACTGACATGGCAAGATGAAAGAAAAGTGATCGCAGAGGTGTTAGGTGCTTTTGTGAGCACGTCCCAGTCAAGGAAGGCTTCACAGATGCAGCAGCATTTGAGCAGAGCCTTCAAAGGAGAAGCAAGAATCTGATGGGGGTGACAAGTTAGGAGGTTCTTTGAGACAGAGGGACCTGCAGAGCCAAGCCATAGTGATGTGAAAGTTTCTGGATTAGCCAGTGAGAATCTGGTGAGGCTAGAAGATGTTCCATAAACTTTCAGGAAGAGTTTCCTCTACTCTAGGCACTGGGCCAAATTCTGGGGTGCAGATGCCTTGCCCTTCACAGGGTCTGCTGGCCAATGGGGAAATGGCAAGAATGCAATGAGAGATGAGACTTAGAATGTAGTGAGAAATCAGGTCCCGTCAGGCCTCGAATGCCCAAATCAGGATATATAACAGCAGATGTCAGCACTGCTCTGCAGTTCCCATTGTAAGGATCTGGCAATGTGCTTCATCTGGAGCTCCTCCCACTAAGAAAGCCCTGACCACACATGCAGATCTCAGATGTGTGGGGCCTAGGAAAGGATGCAGAGCCCAGACCCAGGCTGGAGCCATCCCTGGCCTACCACATCACAGTTTTCTTTCAAAAGGAACGTGATGAGTGTTTAATGGGTTTATTTGATTAACCAGTAAATATTAAACTTCAACCATGAGCAAAAATTGCTGCTAGGCACTGGTGAGGGTGGGGGTCATGAAGGACAGTATTGCAGGGTGATTAAACTCAGACTTTGGAGTCAGATCTGGATATGAATCTTGGTAATAACTAATTTATTTAGTCATTGATGTAGTGATAACTAAGTAATTTGAATCCTAACCTCTCTGAGCTTCATTTGCTAAATAAAAATTGTGACACCTTCCTACGCTAGGATGTTTTTCTGCAAATAACAGAGACCATCCCTCTGCAAACTCAATCCAGCCTAAACAGTAGAGAGAAATTGCTTTCATTTGGTACAAAGTCCAGGGGTAGAGCTGCCTGCAGGGGCAGAGAGAGGGTCAGTGACTTGATGTCTTTGTCCACTGCTAGCCTCTGCACTTACTTCATCCTAAGGCCGGTTCTACCTCATGGTCACAAGAAGGTTACCAGTGGCAGTTGGGGCTCTAATCCCTGCCCTCTCCCAGGAAGCGAGAGAGAAAGAGACACGCACAGATACACACACACAGACCCCCAGATGTGAAATACAAGTCTGTGTGTTCCGTCTTTACACCACTGTAAGTCATATGGCAACTGCTGAATCAGTAACAGTGCTAGGGAATGCTAAACTCTGATTGGCTTAGACCAGTAGTTCTCAAACCTTGGCATGCGTTAGAATCATCTGGAAGGCTTGTTAAAACACAGATTCTGGGCCCCAAGCCCAGAGATTCTTATCTGTAGATCTCTGTAAGGACCCAATCATTTGCATTTCTAATGAGTTCTCAGGTGACGCAGATGCTGCTGGTCAGGAGACTGCACTTTGAGAACCAGTGGCTTATACCAATCAGTATCTACCCCTAGAATGGGGGTAGGGGACACAGGGTCAGAGGAGGTGAAGGCTGGATCATAAATGTGGAGTTTTGTGAAGAAGGATGGTGGGGAAATAGATAATTAATGCTAGGTAGACCATCCAGAGTGCATGCTGTCTTAAAAGATTGTGGGGATTAAATTACAAGGCACATAAATAAAGCACATGGCATTTAGTAGGACCCTCAATAAATGATAACTCTTACTCTTGACAAAGTACACAAATTCATTTCATTTTAATTCAGGAAATACTTGAGTGTCATCAGCTCCTGCCCCAATTGGCCTCTAATCAAATAGGAGAGTTAAGACAAACAGACACTACTGTTCCAGGCACTCAGAGTTGATGATTTTGAGAGGCTTAGAGAGGGAAAACACAATATGGATGGAGGTAGTCAGGGAAGGCTTCCTGGAGGAGGTAGAGGGAGAGAACAGGGTAGGAGGATGTTTCTCAGCTCCAGCAGATTGCAGACAGGAACTCTGCCCGTTCTCCAGTCCTTCTCCAACCTTCCTTTGATCCTGCCTCCCACTCCCATCATGGAATCATCTCTGGGATGTTTCTGGGTGGGTTTGGGGGTGTGTGTGGTTCGAGCTGCAGGGTGACTGAAGATGTGGTTTCCTGTGCCCCCTTGCCTCCTGCCAGGTTCATTTGGCGGACTGTGACGCCACGTGACAAGCCCATGGGGCCCCTGCTGGTGGCCACATTCTGGCCTGAGCTCCCGGAAAAGATTGATGCGGTATACGAGGCCCCACAGGAGGAGAAGGCTGTGTTCTTTGCAGGTGTGTGGGAAGCACCCTTCCTTGGCCCTCAGCTCCACAGGGCTCTGCACCAGGGCTCCTGGGTGTCCCAGGCTCACTCCCCCTCTCAAACCACAGTTCCTATGCACCCGTGGGTGCTCCCTTTCCTTTATGGATTCATTCTTTCAACATTATTTCCTGAAGTGCGCAGCTCCTCTGGGAGATTGGTTCCGACACCCAACATCAGATAGCATTAACCCTCAGTGTACACATTTCATTTTCTTAATTCTTTTCAATCCGTCTCATTTCTTTTCTAGAAGAAAAAAAGTCTCAGTTTAGTGCTGGTGTGTCCCTAACGCCTTTGTAGTGATACAGTCTTTGGCAGGTAACAGTTTTAGTTCGAATGTTTTAAAGAATATTTGTTTTCATTTTTACTTTTAGACATAAATTGGTTTTAACAGAGGCAGTTAGTTATAATAGTGTGGAGTTTCAAATCAGGACAGAAACGGATTATTCAGTAACTGATATTTTGACAGTCAAAAAACATTTTTTAATAAATTTATTTTTAAAGATTTCAAAATGAATTCACTGAAAGCAGAATGTTAAGTAAATAATAGTACAGGGAGCCCCTAGAAGTGGTAGAAATCATCAAGGTGAGGTCTGTATGGCTAAGGTTTACTCATTTAACATTTATTGGAGCATTTCCATGCGCTGGGCTTTGCCATACCCTGGGGATACAAGCTCTGCCTTCGCGATGCTCACAAACCACTCAGGGAGACAGACAGCTGGGCTCTTATGAGGGGTAAAGAAGGATTTAGGAGGTCCCTGTCCTGGTCTGAGGTGGGATCCTAGAGAAGATAAAGGCTCAGCCAAGACTATTGTCTCCACCACCTGGCTCCCACCTCCCCCAATCCACCGTAATCATGGGTCCCGGAGAGGACAACTGCTGGCTCCTAGGGCACCTTTTTGCAAATTAGCAAAAGGTGCCTCTTTATGACAGCAAGGCCCTTAGAGTGCACGACTTGGTGAGCAGAGTGTGAGCTGGATTTATCCCCCAACTCATGTCCTTGACCAGGCACCTTCTGTAATTGACTTCTAAAGCCCTCTGTGTGAGCCCTGATTCTGGGCACTGCAACCAGGAGTGAGCAGGAAGTTGCACTCTGTTGGGAATGGCTGCAGTGGGGCCCGTGGACAGACAGATGATGGGAGGAACAGGCTGGCCTAGGGCATGTCAGCACCAGCCAACACACCCTTTGCTTCCACCCCAGGGAATGAATACTGGATCTACTCAGCCAGCACCCTGGAGCGAGGGTACCCCAAGCCACTGACCAGCCTGGGACTGCCCCCTGATGTCCAGCGAGTGGATGCCGCCTTTAACTGGAGCAAAAACAAGAAGACATACATCTTTGCTGGAGACAAATTCTGGAGGTAAGGGAGGGCGGTGGGTAGGACAGCAGCACAGTTGGCTGCGAGAGACAGAGAAGCCGCCCTGAGGCTTCAAGCCTCCTGGGCTGAGTTCAGAGGTTGGTGGGCTCTGGATGCCCTCTCTCTGGTATCTAACCTCTTTGGTCTCTGGCACCTCTGAGATGTTGCCAAAGGTGAACCATTCTTGTACACATTGCTGATATAATTCTGGTGGAATATCCTTTCTCTTTGCAGAATTCTTTTGATTGGCCCATGTCTGGTCTGGACCCTCACATTTTGAAATGACTCACTGAAGAAGGGGGTAATAAAAATAAAGATAATAACTGCTCCTATTGACACTATGTGTCAGAGACTGTCCCAAGGGTTCTATGGGATAGGAATTATTATTCCTCCCATTTTACAGATGAGGAAACCTGGGTTCAGAAAGGTTAGGTAACCGTGGCTGGGCACAGTGGCTCACGCCTGTAATCCCAGCACTTTGGGAGGCCAAGATGGGTGGATCACTTGAGCTCAGGAGTTCCAGATCAGCCTGGCCACATGGTGAAACCCCATCTCTACTAAAAATGCAAAAAAATTAGCTGGACATGGTGGTGCATGCCTGCAATCCCAGCTACTAGGGAGACTGAGGCAGGGGAATCACTTAAACCTGGAAGACAGAAGTTGCAGTGAGCTGAGATCATGCCACTGCACTCCAGCCTGGGCAACAGAGTGAGACTCCAACTCAAAAAAAAAAAAAAGAAAAAAGAAAGGTTAAGTAACCAGCTTGGAGTCACATAGCCAGGTAGGGACAGGTTGGGATTTGAACCCTGGCATTCTGTCTCCTGGGAAAACATGTTAGTCTTCACTCTTCACTACTATTCTATACCCGAGATGGTGGAATGGGGGTTCCAAGAGATGGGGGAACATGAAGGCAGTGGACAAAATATGAAGAAGACTTAGAGATGGGTGCACCAGTCATCCATAGAAGCCAGCATCCAAATCAGACCCCATGGAAGGAGCAGGTGCCCTGTGTCATGCTCACAGCAGGCCCGTGGCTGTGGGTGCAGGTTGGCAGGGGAACAATTTGGAAGCAGATGGTTCTGTGCTCCAGGTTATCTACAGGAAAGGGTCCAGTTCTGAGGGGCTATAGTCATGACCAGGGAACCTAATATCCAGGAGTGGCTGGTGAGAGGTAGCCCAAACCTCAGGAGTTTGACTGTAATTCTTCACACTTTCTAGAAAAGGAAACGGAGGTCCAAAGAAATTAAATAACTTGTTCAAGCTATAGAGATATGTGTATTTGCACAAAGCCAGGATTATAGCTACTTCTCTTGTATTCTAACTGAGTACCCCCTCCACTATACCTGCCAGTCCATTTGATTAGTGAGGAAAGAGTGGTCGGGGCACAAAGACTTGTGGTGTGTCTTTCCATCCCCTCCCTCCTGGTATCCCCACATTCCTTCCATGGCTGCCACTGCATCTGGGCCCTACCCAAGAATTTTAGAGGGCACTTCCTGAGGCCTTTGTCTGCCATCCCCAAAACAATCCCGCTTACTTCCTAAGGCCTCTGTCTTCTCCCCCTTCCCTCCTCCCCACTACTCTGCCCCCCAGCTGCCCTGCATTCAGAAACTCTTTATATCCCAGGCCTGCCCATGTCAGGGTGGAATTCCAGACATATTGCTAAGACACTTAGCAACCTAAGCTGATTGATATCTCAAGCCTCAAGAAAGAAAACAGTCAGGCAGGAAACCACAGAGCAGGCTTTCCACCCACCAGCTCCAGACACTAGCCCCAGACAGTGTGCACGCACACGCACACACACACACGCGTACTGCGAATGGCATCTCAGCATTGTAGGAGCCCTGAATCTCCAAGTCTTAGAATTGTGGCTGGTGAGCCGCACAGACTCACAGAAACGTGAATCTTAGAATCCTAAAGCCCTGAAGTTTTCAAATTATGGTGTTGGAAGAACTTTTTAAATCACTTTTCCATGCACTGTATCTATGTAAACATGCAAAAACAGACCTGTTCCTAGCATATAGGAACATGATTGTGTGCGCATGTGCGCATACACACACACACACACACACACACACACACACACACACACACACAGGCATGGAGGTTGTGGCAGTGCCTTGCTGGATTTCCAGGCAGAGTTATTTGCCTCCCAGTCCTTTTCCACACAAGCCCACCTCCCAAAGCCAGAGCCAGGACAGACAGCGTGCTCTACAGAGGAACCACCCTGAGACTTCCTGAAAAGGGACAGAGCTGAAGGGCCTATCAGAAGCTCTGGGCTGGCTTCCAAAGGAGACAGATCTCTATTCCAAGAGAAGTGGTGAATGAGCTTGTGACACTGGCCCTGCCGTGGAGTCTGCAGAGGCCCCAGAGGCATCTTTGCTGGAGAAGGAGAGAGAGCCCCAGAGTGACAGAGGCTGAGCAGCTGTCTTCAGCATGCCAAGAAGAGCTCAGGCCCTGCTTGTAGAAGCTTTCACTAAGCCACAAATATATGTTCCACATCTGCTGTGTGCCAGGCACTTAGCTAGCTGCTGGAGAGACGGGGGTCAAAAAATCATCACACCCTGCCCTCATGTAGTTTATAGTAGAATGAGGGAAAATTATGTAAACACATTTGAATCAGATAATGATGGCTCTCAGTATGGGGCCTCTACCATAGCCCAGCCTGAGGCTATGCAGGTCACCTATATTTCTCAGTTGAGGTAGATACTGTTAGCTCCTTTTCCCAAGTGTGGAAACTGAGGCTAAAGTGGCTCAAGGAAAAGCTGGGACACAAATATCTGTGTTCTTAACACCTGCTATACATGGCAACTTCTACAGCTGCAGAGAAGTACCACATCTTCTGACACCACAGTGCTTGTATTCTTTCTGGATGAAAAGAACTTGGAAGCAAACTAATTCTCTTATCTGAGACTCAGTTTCCTCATCTGTAAAATGGGCTTGACTTCTGCCATCCCCACCTTCTGTGGGTAGAATGAGAAAGAAATGAGGGCCAGTTCAAGTGTGGGACACACATCTCCAAACTATCCTAACGCTAGGGAATGTAGTTTGAGGGCTCAGTGGAGGTGCCTTGGATGGGAGTGTTGGGATTTTGAGCTAGGGAACTTGGTTTTGGTGACCCAGGGCATGAGGAAGCATGCCAGGTTTTGTAAGAATGAGTTTTATGCTGCACCTGGGATTAAGGAAGGCGTTAGTTCTTCGGGGTGATGGCTGAGGGAGAAGTCCCTTTGAGGGAGAAGTCTCCTCTAGAAGGGAGCATATAGGGAAAGCTGCTGTTGGGGTCCAGGGTGGAGGTGGTCAAGGCTGGCTGCAGAAAGGAAGGGAGCCCCCTAGGAGGCACTGTGGAGCAAAAGGTGGCTGCTACCAGGATGGGATGCGAACACAGATTCATCTAGAAACAGCTCCACTTGGGCAAGACTTGTTTACTAGGATATCCATAGCTCCCATAGTGGGAGCTCAGTAAATATTTATGGAATAATGAAGTGGAGAGGCAAAGGAATCAACATGACAGCAGCATTTAAAAAGTTCTCCAAAAATCTTAAAAGACAGAAGGATTGCTAGCCAGGGAGAAGAACATACTAACCGATGCCCAAAGTATTTACCTGAATTAAAGGCGGGGCCCAGGATTGCTGCCGCCGGAACTGAGGTGGCATGTGGCCCACCCTGTGACTAACAGGCCTTGGACTTACACGTACCTTCCACCTTGCATTGTAACCTCACTGCCCCAGCCATGGTCATCTCCCAGGGCAGGGACTGTCATCTCCCTGTGGCAGATGAAGAAGCAGCAATTTTTCCAAGCCATGAAGTGAAAGAATGATGGGGCAGATTCCCATCCCTGGGCTTCTAGTTTAGCACTCCTCGGATTACAGCAGGGATTTGTTTGTAAGGGAGCTAACATTTCTTAAGTACCTACTAAATATTTATGAGACATGGGGATAGAGGCTCTGCATGTGCTGTTTTATTTAATGCATGCATTAAATTAAATACACTAAATTAGACACAACCCCATTTTACAGCTGGTAAAACTGTAGCTGTATGGAAAGTGGTTAACACACTGTTTGGCATGTAGTAAGTGCTTTATAAATGTTAGCAGTAATCATGAGATTGTTTTTATGGGGTCATCCAAAGTCATATAATTAAAAGTGGTAGATCTGAGGCTCAGACTCAGGTCTGATTCCATGCCCTTCCTTCCACTGCAGCTGGCTGCTTCCCTGAAGGGCTAGGTCCAGTTTCCGAGGCCTATCCAGGAGCCATCAGCTGGGTGCTCCCATCCAGGCCAGGGGGGAAGTGTCCTTTAGAGAGGCCCTGCTGGTTCACTGTGTCTGTTTCTTTACAGATACAATGAGGTGAAGAAGAAAATGGATCCTGGCTTCCCCAAGCTCATCGCAGATGCCTGGAATGCCATCCCCGATAACCTGGATGCCGTCGTGGACCTGCAGGGCGGCGGTGAGCCACCCAGGACTGTCTCCGCTTTCTAGGACTCCCCGCCCCTAGCCAGGGCCCAGCTCCTTGCAAATACACACTTCTTTATTGTGCAGGGCAGGCAGGCAGGCGGCGCCCAGGAAAACAAATCAACTCCTTCATCCTAGTGCTGGGAAGGTTTCCAGATCCCTGACCTCTGCTCCTTGGCCTGGCTCCAGGCAGTAAGACCCAGAAAGACTTCTCACAGCTGCAGGGCCTGGAGCCAGGGCAGGGGAGGGCGGAAGGCCTGGGCCAGGGGAGAAGGAACATGGGCTCTGTGCCGTGGATTCATTCTGGGGTTTGATCCAGGCCCATTTGCGTTTTGCAGGAGGCCTGTGACCACCTCCCATTAGCAGAAGGATGGCTCCATTTGAGACAAGGCAAACTTTGTCATGCTCTGTTGCTCATGTGGCAAAGATCCTCCACTCAACCAGTTTGCCCCTGGCCCCCTGCTGATTAAAACACAACCAGTAGCAGCGAGGGATAGAATTTGGAGTTTGAAAATCATACTCTTGAGGAGGCATCTGTGAGCTTTCTAGGGTCCTGGAAATGGGTCCAGTTTGGCTTTTTTTAGAGGAGATTTCAACTAAATTCCACAGATTTTTTTTTTTTTGAGCACCTACTGTATGCTAAGCACAGGCCCTGACCTCCAGTAGCTGAAGGTCTTACATGTCCAAGAAAATGCAGTGTACAATCAGATGCTAGATTAGGAGTTATCTTCAAGAATAAACATCTATTGAGCACCTACTACATGCTAGCATATTAATAGTAAATGAGATTATGTATGTCAGGAGTCACAAACTCCAACAGCTCCATGTGTCAGGCAGGTAGCACAAATGAGTAAAGCAGGCAGGGGCAGACAGTGGGGAACTGTGGAGTCTGTGCGGAATCAGAGCACATGCCTCATTTACAGGAGACACTTTCTTCTCACCTTCAGATAATTATTGGCGGGCAAGATTAGGGGCCTAGGCAGCTGCCATGGTTCACACCTGTCATCCCAGCACTCTGGGAGGCCAAGGCAGGAGAACTGCTTGAGCGCAGGAGTTTGAGACCAGCCTGGGCAACATAGTGAGACTCTATCTCTACAAAAAAATTTTAAAAAACATTAGCTACACATGACGGCGCATACCTGTAGTCCCAGCTACTGGGGAGGGTGAGCAGAGAGGATCGCTTGAGCCCAGGAGTTTAAGGCTGCAGTGAGCCGTGTTCATGCCGCTGCATTCCAGACTGGGTGACAGAGTGAGACCTGGTCTCAAAAAAAAAGAATGGGGCCTGGTGTTGTTAGATATTCTATATTAGATATTCTAGTTTTTTTAAAGGAAGCCAGAAATCTGTACTTCTGTGTGACTTTTTGGATGTTTACATGTTGGCAAGTTATTCAGATTTAAAGACAAAACAAAACAAACTTGTGAGAGTCAAATAAAACCCATCTGTGGGCCTGACAGGACTGGATATATCCTGTTTTGCCACCTCTGGTACATGGAATGTGCTTAGTTTGATGCTTGTGTTAAGTGGAGTTATTGTTTTTAATAATAGCATATGTTATCTGACTTAATGCTCACTGCAAGCCCTAGAAGGTTGATAATCTTTATCCTCATCTTAGAGATGAGCAAACAGGGAATAAAAGAGCTTATTTCACAGCCATTTCCCTTCTTCCACTCCCAGAGGGGGCTCTTCTGGGCTTTTGTTGTGTTTTGGTTTTGTTTTTGTTTTCTTTTCTTCAATCAGCTCAGATTGAAACAATTGAATTTTTTTTTTTTTTTTTTTGAGACAGAGTCTCCCTCTGTCGCCCAGGCTGGAGTGCAGTGGCGCGATCTTGGCTCACTGCAAGCTCCGCCTACTGGGTTCACACCATTCTCCTGCCTCAGCCTCCCGAGTAGCTGGGACTACAGGCGCCTACCACCACGCCCGGCTAATTTTTTGTATTTTTAGTAGAGACGAGGTTTCACCATGTTAGCCAGGATGGTCTTGATCTCCTGACTTCGTGATCTGCCCGTCTCGGCCTCCCAAAGTGCTGGGATTACAGGCGTGAGCCACCGCGCCCCGCCACAGTTGAGTTTTTTTTTTGGCGGGGGGACAAGGTCTTGCTCTATCACCCAGGCTAGAGGCACAATCATAGCTCACTGCAGCCTCGAACTCCTGGGCTTAAGCGACCCTCCCACGTCAGCCTCCTAAGTAGCTTGGACTACAGGAATGTACCACTATACCCAGCTAATTTAAATATGTTTTTCGTAGAAATGGGGGTCTCTCTATGCTGCCCAAGCTGGTCTCGAACTCCTGGGCTCAAGCAATCCTCCTGCCTCAGCCTTTCAAAGCTCTCTTCTCGTTTAAAAGCTTCTTCCCTATGCCAGGCAGAAATTCAAAGTTCCCAGGAACCTTCTGTGTGCCAGAATGTCAGGATAAGGGGGTCACGGTCTCTTCTTTCTCTATCCCAGGTCACAGCTACTTCTTCAAGGGTGCCTATTACCTGAAGCTGGAGAACCAAAGTCTGAAGAGCGTGAAGTTTGGAAGCATCAAATCCGACTGGCTAGGCTGCTGAGCTGGCCCTGGCTCCCACAGGCCCTTCCTCTCCACTGCCTTCGATACACCGGGCCTGGAGAACTAGAGAAGGACCCGGAGGGGCCTGGCAGCCGTGCCTTCAGCTCTACAGCTAATCAGCATTCTCACTCCTACCTGGTAATTTAAGATTCCAGAGAGTGGCTCCTCCCGGTGCCCAAGAATAGATGCTGACTGTACTCCTCCCAGGCGCCCCTTCCCCCTCCAATCCCACCAACCCTCAGAGCCACCCCTAAAGAGATACTTTGATATTTTCAACGCAGCCCTGCTTTGGGCTGCCCTGGTGCTGCCACACTTCAGGCTCTTCTCCTTTCACAACCTTCTGTGGCTCACAGAACCCTTGGAGCCAATGGAGACTGTCTCAAGAGGGCACTGGTGGCCCGACAGCCTGGCACAGGGCAGTGGGACAGGGCATGGCCAGGTGGCCACTCCAGACCCCTGGCTTTTCACTGCTGGCTGCCTTAGAACCTTTCTTACATTAGCAGTTTGCTTTGTATGCACTTTGTTTTTTTCTTTGGGTCTTGTTTTTTTTTTCCACTTAGAAATTGCATTTCCTGACAGAAGGACTCAGGTTGTCTGAAGTCACTGCACAGTGCATCTCAGCCCACATAGTGATGGTTCCCCTGTTCACTCTACTTAGCATGTCCCTACCGAGTCTCTTCTCCACTGGATGGAGGAAAACCAAGCCGTGGCTTCCCGCTCAGCCCTCCCTGCCCCTCCCTTCAACCATTCCCCATGGGAAATGTCAACAAGTATGAATAAAGACACCTACTGAGTGGCCGTGTTTGCCATCTGTTTTAGCAGAGCCTAGACAAGGGCCACAGACCCAGCCAGAAGCGGAAACTTAAAAAGTCCGAATCTCTGCTCCCTGCAGGGCACAGGTGATGGTGTCTGCTGGAAAGGTCAGAGCTTCCAAAGTAAACAGCAAGAGAACCTCAGGGAGAGTAAGCTCTAGTCCCTCTGTCCTGTAGAAAGAGCCCTGAAGAATCAGCAATTTTGTTGCTTTATTGTGGCATCTGTTCGAGGTTTGCTTCCTCTTTAAGTCTGTTTCTTCATTAGCAATCATATCAGTTTTAATGCTACTACTAACAATGAACAGTAACAATAATATCCCCCTCAATTAATAGAGTGCTTTCTATGTGCAAGGCACTTTTCACGTGTCACCTATTTTAACCTTTCCAACCACATAAATAAAAAAGGCCATTATTAGTTGAATCTTATTGATGAAGAGACTGATGGCTCAAGAGAAGTGATTTTTCCAGGGTCCCATAGCTATTAGGGACCTACAAGGCCAAAGGATAGCCTAGCAGAGGAGCTTTAGCTCTCAAACCAGAATCTCACCACCCTCCGCCACCCTCAAAAACACCCCCACCACCTTCAAAACCGCTCCTGCTACCCTCCACCACCCCCAAAACCACGCTGGGTAAACACAGCTAAGGGAGAAATACTGTGCTTGCTTCTAAACACAGCTGGTATTAATGGATAAGCTCCTTACTCCTTCCTACCAGTCTACCCACTCCTAATCTCCTACATAGAAATTCTGGAGCTACTGCTGAACAGAAATTGAAGGCCTGGGGTTTTTCTGAGGCCCTTTCTGGCTCCGATAGTCTGATTGATAGTATATATATTGCTTCTGGCCTCTTATGATGGGGCTGGTGAGGAAGGTGCGTAAGGAGTGAACTCTACAGGTGACCTCCTCAGTGAGCCTGATGTCATTGTTTCTATCTCTTTTTTCTGTTTTTGAGATGGAGTCTCACTCTGTCACCCAGGCTGGAGTGCAATGGCGCAATCTCGGCTCACTGTAACCTCTGCCTCCCAGGTTTAAGTGATTCTCCTGCCTCAGCCTCCCAAGTAGCTGGGATTACAGGTGCACGCCACCATACCCAGCTAATTTGTTTTGTATTTTGGTAGAGACAGGTATCACCGTGTTGCCCAGGCTGGTCTCGAACTCCTGAGATCAGGCAATCCACCCATCTCGGCCTCCCAAAGTGCTAGGATTATTGGTGTGAGCCACCACTCTCGGCCCCATCTTTTCTATCTTTTATCCTCCCATGGCCTGTCCCCTTGACTCAGATTCTTTTTGTTTCTTCTTCTTCTTTTTTTTTCTTTTTTGAGACAGTGTCTTTCTCTGTCACCCAGGCTGGAGTGCAATGGCATGATCATAGCTCACTGCAGACTTGATCTTCTGGGCTCAAGCAATCCTCCCACTTCAGCCTCCTGAGTAGCTGGGACTGCAGGCATGCAACAGCACAGCCAGCTAATTTTTAATTTTTTTTAGAGATGGTGGAGTCTCTCTTTGTTGCCCAGGCTGGTCTCGAACTCCTGGGCTCAAGGGATCCACCCTCCTCAGCCCCCAAAGTGCTAGGATTACAGGCGTGAGCCACTGCACCTGGCCTGGCTTAGGTTGTTGACAGTTGGAAAGACATCTTTCTGTGCAGGTATCTGGCTAAAGAGTCTCAAGGGTCTGCCAGTCCCAACTTGAAGACCCCCTAGACTGGGGAATCTTCTATCATGGCTGTAATGCACTGTTATTAATGTTCCCTGTTACACTGAGAGAAAAGTCAGTGGCTCCACAACATAATAATGCTTAAAACATGCCATTTCTTCAGTGTTTCTCTATGAACACTACACATGCATTATTTTATTTAATCCTTGCTACAATTCTATGGAGTTAGAATGAATCTCCCATTCCTAGACAAGGAAGCAAACTCAGGTTAAGTGACTGACTCAAGGCCACACATCTATGTGGTAGGGCTGGAAGATTCTGACATTCAGAGGGTAACTTTGGAGAACCCCAGGGCTCAGACTCAGATTTTCATCCTGGCCTTCCTACCTGCTGTGAGAAGAGTTGATCAGTTGGGATGAGTTGATTATCATCTCCTTCCTTTAACTCTCAGCCACTCAGGGTTGATCAACTGTCCTCAGATAATGGGACAAACCCCTGCCCTCCCACCCCCACGAGCACCCACATAGGTCCAAACAGGCTTGAACTTCCTCAGTGTGAAAGGGAGCCACAGCCCAATACATTTCCCTTTTCTGGGTCAGGTTCCTCATCTAGCGTGGAGGGCAACTGTAATTTTTGCCTTTTCTGGTAATAGTAGCTCAGTTTTCCTCTGGAGAACCATCTCTCCCCTGTCAGTCCATTATGTTTTGAGTGAAACAAATTCCACTCCTAGTGCCATCATGGGTGTATTAATATTAGCTCACTTAATGGAACAGCCCAGGGGAAGTGGTTGCTCAATGGCATTACTGGATCCAGGTTAGGATTATCTGAGAATACATTTATCTGCATTTTACGGAAGGCAACCGAGGTTCATAGAGATAGTGATTTGGCCAGCGTCACAGGCCCAGTAAAAGGGATTGAAAATCCAGGTCCGTCCGACCCTAAAGCAGGGAACTCTGCCTAGTGTCTCGCTGTGGAATGTTAGGGATCCTGGGGTACCCTTCAGGGTCTTGGCTCGGAAGGAAAACATTCCCCTCCGAGGGGATGGACTATATTACCAAGGGGGTGGAGCCAGATGCCTGAGGGGGTGTGGCCAGAGCCTGGGGCGTGTCACAGCCGAAGGGGCAGGGCGGCAGCAGCAGGCGTCTAAGTAACTTCAGCGCCTGCGCAGAGGCTCCCCAGCGTCGCCCTAGGCTGGGACTCTAGTAGGTCTTCGGCTCAGTTTTGGCTGCAGCGCCCGCGTAGATCGCTTCGGCCGGGTTCTACGCCCGGCTCAACTATGAGCCGGTGCGCCCAGGCGGCGGAAGTGGCGGCCACAGTGCCAGGTGCCGGCGTCGGGAACGTGGGGCTGCGGCCGCCCATGGTGCCCCGTCAGGCGTCCTTCTTCCCGCCGCCGGTGCCGAACCCCTTCGTGCAGCAGACGCAGATCGGCTCCGCGAGGCGGGTCCAGGTGAGGGGCGTGGGTCTGAGGGGAGAGGTGGTCTGAGGGGGGCCTAGGTCAGAGGGGGGTCCAGGTAAGGGGTGTGGGTCTGAGAGAGGAGGGCGGCCGAGGGGGGCGTGGGTCTGAGGGAGTGAGGTGGTCCGAGGCGGGCGAGAGTCTGAGGAGGGAGGTGGCCTGAAGGGGGCATGGGTCTGAGGAGGGAGGTGGCCCGAGGGGAGCCAGGGTCTGGGGCGGGTCCAGGTGACTGGTGTAGGTCTGACGGGGGAGGGCGGTCGAGGGGCGCGTGGGTCTGAGGGGCGTTGTGGGTCTGGGAAGCAAAGGCATCAGAGGAAGAAAGAGCAGTGGATCTGAGAGGAGAGGACTTCTGAGGGGCCGTGAGCCTGAAAGGGGCGGAGATGTGTGTCTGAGAATTGAGGACATTTAGAGGATGGTCTGAGCGGGCACGGGAGGAGAGAAGATGCTGGGAAGATGCGGGCCTGAGAGGAGAATCCAAAACAGGAAGAGACTGAGCTGGCTGGTGGCGCAGGCTACATTCCATGCCCCAGAAGGTTGAAGGAATCTGTGAATCTGTGACAGAAGCTTCAACTTGAGTTTATGAGAGTGTAGTGGGAGGCAGATCTACTACGGGAGAGTAGATTTGAAGAAGTCTTTTTTTTTTTTTTTTTGCCTTAGGAAGGAGAGGAGTCAGTATGGGATGGATAAGAGTGAGGCAGAAGGCAGAGAGCCTAGGTCTGTGGTTAGAACAACAGGTAAGGCTGGAAAGATTTAGCTGAGCAGGAGCATGATGGAGGGTGGGAAGTCAGAATCAAAGAAAAGGGACAACTGAGTCAGCTTAGGATGTTCAAGAAGTTTTGGTCCAGAATCAGTCTTCACCTAAAAACGTTTCCTAAGTTGAAGCATGAGAAGTAGTAGCCCAGGCTGTTTTCCATTGTTAAAAATGGCTATACTGTTATGCACAAAGGAAGTTTCCTTTCCTTTCCTTTTTCTTGTAAAGGGTTCCTTTTACCATTGGCAGTTGCACTCTTTGGACTTCCTCTTTGTTGAAGTTAGTGATCAGAGAACAAGATAGACCCTGCTAACCACATTTGTCCGTGTGTTCTGCGGGGGTTGGGGGGGTGGGGGAACAATTTTGAAGTTTTCATGTCCATCTCACACATTACTTTGGATTTGAAGCAGTATAATATTTGCAATCAGCTTGTATGCACTAAGACCATTGTCCTCTACAGTGGGGGAAGGTTAAGTGCAGAGCTAAACAACACAGGTGGTGGCTTGAGTAATGGTAGATGGGTGTCTGGTTGAAGAGGGGTGTGAGAGAGGAAGAAGATAAAGAATGTAGTAATACTGCTTTGTGAGGAAATTAAACGTTTAAAAATGTGATCCTCATGTCTTTAAATTAATAGATATTCTTTTTGTGTCTTCACATTCTGAAACATTTGTAAATACATAGACCATTGTTCAAGATTAAATTTAGTCTGATTTAATTAAATCATACTTAAATGAAAATATGCCCATCTATTTGACTTCATATTTTGGAAAGAAACAGCATGGAATGTTGACAAATATTTATATTGCACCTATAATAAATTATTAAGTTTTTCCATCACCTGGTTTGTTACTGTTTAAAGATCTCTTCCAAATAACTCTCTGAGAGTTATAGTATAATGGAATGATAGCTAGTCAGTTATAGGAACTGGTCATTTATTAGTTGTATGACTTTGGCCAAGTCACTTAACCTCTCTGAACTATACTTTTCTCGTCTATTACATTGGAATATTAATAACTCAAAGGAGGGCTACAATTAAGTGAAATAATCTGTTATTGTTTGTTGATCTTAATATTGATAATATTGATAGTTATCCTATATATTTTCTACAAAGTATATACTGTACTTAAAATTTACTACTTGGATTAAATGGGATTTAACAAAGTCTGGATATTAAAAATACTTTTTAAATTTATATAGATCAGAGATACAAGAGGTTTCAGTGGCTTGAATCATCTGGGTAAAGGGAAGATTTGAATAGGCATGGTAGAAAAACAATGTCCATATTATCCAGTTTAAAAGGTGGACACACTTTCATTTAAGTATGACTTAGTATGATTAATTTAGACTAAGTTTAATCTTAAATGATGATCAATGTCTTGCTTAAGGACTGTTGTCCTCACATTTCACTAAGATAGTTAAACAAACAAGTACAAAAATATATAATCTCATGTTTTAGTAAGTGTAATGAAGGAAAACCAGAGAATAACACTGAGAGAAGGCCACCCAATGGAGATGACATATTACCAAATGGAAATATGATGAATTCTCTTAATTTGTCAATGAGTTAACTCAAAATTGATTTACTGTTAGACACTATTATTTGTTGCAAACCTTGAAGATGGCACAGAAAAAAAAGTTGCCTAATATTTTGCAACTTGTTCAATTAAAATCCATATGGGTTGCTCAGTGTAGACATGAGTGACTCTTATGCTAATATACTTTAAACTCATTCCAACTCTTTCTTCAGGGTCTATGCTATATGGTCCTTTCTTTCAGTCAAGATTATTGCTTGTTTTTTAATAATGATACCTCTTTGAAGAGAATCTCAGCCAGTGACCTACCAGAGTGACTTGGGAATTTGAGTCGTCTCATCTTCTCCACAGTACTCTTCCCCAGTATACCACCATACTTCATTGCACCACCATTCAAATAAATATAACATTAGCTAAAAATAGTGTGCTTACCATGTACACAGAGCTTCAAGAAAAATCTCCTGGATCCAAGATCCCTTCTATATTATAGTTCTGAAACTCCTACTCATCTTACCTAATACGTATTCTGTTTTATAGGAAATAAGACTGATAGCATAAGTTTCATTATATTTGTAAGTCAGTTTTCAAGTGAATAATAATAATTTAACAGGACTAGTTTTAGTCTCAGGAATGGTGGAGTAGCTCAATGTAGACAATGTAGACAAACAATTATAAACCCTAGTCAAAATATGAAAAACTACACGAAGGCACTATAGAGCAACACAAATCAGACAGAAACTGGAGGGATTTGTTTCTTGAAATAATACTTCTATACTGTGTAACATTACCCCAGCCCCTTTTTTTCCCTGAAGGTTATCACTTGACACCACATGAAGGGATTGCTAGAAAGCCTCAGCCTTATTGATTGACATGATATATCAGAGCACAAAGTTCAAGACTATCAAAGTGACTAAAAATCGAAGGTGGAAGTCCCAGAAAGGAGGAAACTAGAAATGAGGGAGCCCCTAAATTGGCATATAAATGATCTCAAAACCTTGGCCGATTCCTGAGCTGTGTATTTACAAAGGAGCCTTCAAGGACTCTGGAGGAAAGTAACAGCTGGAAGGAAGAAGAAACTGAGCAGACATTTCAACTGATAGACACCACAGGGAAGGCACAGTTAGAATCCCACCAATTAAGGGGGCCTTGGCAAACATCTCAGGCTTTACACTGAAACCTCACAAAGGTGATACCATAGGAGAAAAGCTAGTCCTATACCCTAGGACTAAGGCTTCAGTCTAAGACTAAGGGCTAGCTTCAAACAAATTTTCCCTAAAAAAGTATAAAACTAAGCCTTCACAAAGTGAATGCAATCAGCCAGAATTTTACCTACCTGCCAGGACAGAAATCAACATTCTTTAGAAAAGGATAACAGAATCCAGAATATCTGTAATATATCACCCAAAATGGCCAAAATACTATAAAAACTGTACTAGACATTCAAAGAAATAGGAAAATGTGACCTGTGATCAAAAGAAAAATCAGGCAATAAAAACAGACCCTAAGATGATCAAATGTAGGACTTCGCAGAAAAATACTTGAAAGGAGCTATTATAAAAATGCTCAAGGACTTAAAAGTAAAGAATGGCATAATGAATGAATAGTTGGAAGGAGCTTAGCAGAGAAATAGAAAATGTAAAAGAGAACCAAATGGGCATTCAAAACTGAAAACTGTTATATCTGAAATGAAAAATTCACTGGATGGGCTCAACAACACATTGAAGATGGTAGAAGAAGGTGTTAGTGAACTTGAAGATAGGTCACTAGAAATTATTCAGTCTAAAAAGCAGAATGAAAAAAACTGAGATGAGACATCAGCAAAACTGATGAAGTAAAGGCCTCTGAAAATTATCTTCTCTATAAAAGCAATGAAAACAAAAAAAAAAAATCAGAATCAACTTTGTCTTAGCTCTGAAAATTAACCAAAGGCTTTCAACAATCCAAGGAGCATTTATTTAAGAGTGCTGACTCTTAGTTAGAATAGTAGGCTTCGTTACAGTTTAATTTTATTCTAATTCCTCATCCTCAGCTCTGTAGTAGCCTTAAAAACCAACGGCCTACAGTCATAATGAAAACCAGCAACCTGTCAGCCACTAGAGGGGGAAAAATAGTGTTGGAGCATTTTCAAAGCCCCATTCCCAAGGAATTGTCATTACTGGTCAGTCTGGTGGCTGCCTGGAATGCCTCATTGGGAAGACTGTCTTTATTTGATTTGTCTTGGTGCTTACACAGTGCAAATAGCCTTCTCTCAAGGGCGTTTGTCAAAAACAATCAGAGGAAAGCGAGTGCAGTGGTGCACACCTATAGTCCCAGCTATTCAGGAGGCTCATGTGAGAGGATTGCTTGAGACCAGAAGTTTAAGGCCAGCCCGGGCAACATAGGGAGACTGCTTCTTAAAAAATAAAAATAAAAAAATCAGAGGCAATTGCTTAACATCACAGCTGCCTGAGACAGGGAGTAACAGTTGGAGCAAACAGTAGGCTAGCCAAAAACCTTAAAAGAAAAGCTAAGGGATGAGATGATCATAGGGGACTTTAAAAGCTTTGACATATTCCTAGGAATCTAGAAGGCTGTCCACATGAGTAAGGCTTTGTTAATTCTCAAGGCTATGCACATGTCCTGAAAATATCTAAAAATACCCTAAGCTGTCACCTCTGACTAACCTTGAGGGACTGTACAAGCAGAAAGTGAAGGCTAAGGCAGAGTTGTCATCTGTCACCTGACTGTTTATGATGTACCCCAACATGTACACAGAGACCCTTTGCAAGGATCAGGAAACTTGCTGGTTTCAGGTGCTTAAGAAAATCTCTAATTATTAGCTGATTACTAAGCTAACTGGTCAGAGACTTTAACTTTAGTAGCCACAATGACAAAGAATAAAAGCTTTACAAATTAGTTTATAAAAGACACTAAACAAACAAATAACAACAACAAACAGCAACCACAACAAACCCTGGAAGGGGATGAGAATAATTTCCAGAGTTGCTATATTATTTAAGATGTTTAGTTTTCATTTAAAAATTGCAAGGTGTGTAAAGAAAAACAAAGTATAGCTTATAAATAGTTTAAAAAGCAGTCAATACAAACTTTCCCTGAGAAAGCCCAGACTTTAGTCTTACTATACAAAGACTTTAAATCAGATATTTAAAATATGGTCCAATAACTAAAGGAAACCATGTTTAAAGAGCTAAAAGAAAGTATGGAGCAGGGTATCACCAAATGGAGAATATCAATAAAGATGCAATGCATTGTGTGTGTGTGTGTGTGTGTGTGTGTGTGTGTGTGTGTGTATTCACTAGAGGGGCTCAACAGCAGACTATCAAACAAAAAAAGAATCAGCAAACTTGAAAACAGGTCAACTGAGATTATCTAGTTTGAGGAACATAAAAAAAGATGAAGAAAAATGAACAGAACCTCAGAGACCTGTGGACGCTATCAGCTTTACCAACAGTTTCGTAATGGGAGTCCCAGGAAAGGAGAAAGATGCAGAAAGAATATTAGAAGAAATAATGCCCAAAAACTTGCTGATTTTGATTAAAAACACTAATCTGCCTTCCCAAGGAGCTCAAGGAACTCTTAAGAATAAACTCAAAGATACCTATATATAGTTACATTATGTACAAAGAATCCTCAACAAGATTAATGACTGATTGCTCATCAAGAGCCACAGAGACCACAAGGGAGTAGCAGGATGACATATTCAAAGCGCTGAAAGAAGACTGTCAACAAAGAATTGTATAGCTAGAAAACTATCCTTAAAATGAAGTATAAATGAGCAAAAACTGAGAGAATTTGTCATTAGCACACATGCCCTAAGATAAATAATAAAGGGAGTCTCTCAGGCTGAAATGAAAGGATACTAGACAGTAACTCAAATTCACATGAAGAAATAATCAGCAGTGGTAAAGGTAACTACATGGGTAGACATAAAGGACAGTACAAATGTAATTTTTTTGTTTGTAAATCTTTTTTTCTCTTATCCAACTTTAAAAACATCTACATAAAGCAATAATTATAAATCTGTGTTGATGCACATACAATGTATAAAGACATAATTTGTATAATAATAATAGCAAATAGGAGAAAGGAGGGAATGGATCACAGTTTTTGTATACTATTGAAATTAAGTTGGTTGATCCGAACCAGAAAATTATTATAAGTTAAGATGCCAACACTTAGGACAATCACAAAGCAAATACATTTTTAAATATAGCAAAAGAAAGAATGAGGGAATTAAAATGATACACTAGAAAATATTTAACACAGGAGAAGGCAACAATGTAGACATAGAGAAATTTAAAAAGACGTAAGACATACAGAAAACAAATAGCAAAATGTCATATATAAATCCTACCTTATTAGTAATTACATTAAATATAAACTGATAAAACAATTAAAATTAAGATTCACAGAATTGATAAAAATACCTAACTCTGTGCTTCCTAAGAGAGACACACTTTATTTATTCATTTATTTACTTAAAGGCAGGGTCTCACTCTGTCGCCCAGGCTGGAGTGCAGTGGTGTAATCACAGCTCACTCTAGCCTTGACCTCCTGGGCTCAAGTGTTCCTTCTATCTCAGCCTCCTGAGTGGCTGCAGCAATAGGCATGCACCACCACACCCAACAAATTTTTGTATTTTTTATAGAGATGGGATCTCCCTATATTGCCCAGACTGGTCTCAAACTCCTGGGCTCAAGCAGTCTTTCCACCTTGGCTTCCCAAAGTGCTGGGATTATAGGTGTGAGCCACCATGCCTGGTCAAGAGACATACTTTTGATTCAAATACACAAATAGGTTGGAAGTAAAAAGATGGAAAATGATATACCATGCAAACAGTAGCCAGGAGAGAGCTGGAATTGCTGTATTACTATCAGATAAAATAGACTTCAAGACAGAAATTGTTGCTAAAGAAAGACATTTATAATGATAAGAGGGTTGATTCATTAAGATGTAATAATTATAACCATATATGCATCTAGCAGCAGAGTCCAGAAATACACAAAGGAAAAAGTGACAGAATCGAAGGGTGAAAGATTTTCAACAATGCTAGAGACTTCAATTACTCAATAATGATAGAAGGTAGAACAATGAGACAGTATCATAAGGAAATTGAAGACTTGAAGAACACTATAAACAGACTAGATCTAACAGATATGTATGTAGAACACTCAACAACAGCAGAAAACACATTATTCTAGTGCCCATGGAACATTTGCCAAGGTAGGTCTGTATGTTAGACAGTAAAACAATTCTCAATAAATATAAAGTGGTTAAAATAATACAAAGTATGTTCTCTGACCACAGTGGATTGAAAGTAGAAATCAATAACAGAAAAAATTTGAGAAATTCACAAATATGTCAAAATTAAATTACTTCTAAATAACCAGTGATTCCAAAGTAATAATAAAACAATAGAGAAAAATAACAACTCCAGAAGTTGGTACTCTGAAAAAAACTGACAAATATTTGTCTGCACTGACCAAGAAAAAAATGAAAGAAGACTCAAATTAAGAGAGGACAATACTACTGACTTTTCCAAAATAAAAAGGATTATAAGGAATTATATGAACAAATGCATGCTAACAAATTAAATAACTTAGTTGAAGTGGACCAATTTCTAGAAAGACACAAAATACCAAAACTGATTCAAGAATAAATAAAAAATCAAATAGACCTATAATATATAAAAAGATTAACTAGTTATTAAAAACATCCCACAGAGAAAAGTTGAGGACCAGATGACTTCACTGGTGAACGCTACCAAAGGGTTAATGAAGAATTAATGCCAATCCTTCACAAGCTCTTCCAAAAAATAAAAGAAGATGGAGCACTCCCCAACTCATTCTGTGAGGCCAGGCCTACTCTGATACCAAAACCAAAAAAGGACATCACAATAAAAGAAAACTACAGACCAATATCCATTGTGAATATATATGCAAAAATCCTCAATAAAATGCTAGCAAACTGAATCCAGCAACTAATAAAAGGAATTATACCATGGCAAAGTCATATTTAGCCCAAAAATGTAATGTTCGTTCAACATAGAAAAATTAACATGAGCACCATATTTAATGAATAAAGGGCACAAGAAAATAGACACAGAAAAACGATTTGACTCACTTTCATGATAAAAACCACTCAATAAACTAAGAATGGAAAGGAATTTCCTCAGCCTTATAAAGGGCATCTGTGAAAAATAGCTAACATACTTAATAGTGAAACACCAAAAAGTTTTCTTCTAAGATAAGGAATAAGACAAAGATATCTACTCTCATCACTTCTATTCAACATTGTACTGGAGGTTCTAGCAAGGGCGCTTAGGCCAGAAAAAGAAAAGACATCTATATTGGAAAGGAAGAAGTAAAACCATCAAGATGGCATGATTTTTTAAACATAGAAAATCCTGAGGAATGCACAAAAACACTTGGAGCTAATAAATCAGTTCAGCAAGGTGGCAGGATACAAGATCAATATACAAAAATCATGGCATATTTTTTCACAAGCAACAATCTAAAAATGAAATTTAAAAACAGTTCGATTTAATTTAGCATCAAAAAGAGTGAAATACTTTAGCAACAGAAGAATTCTACATTGAAAACTACAAAATATCATTGAAAGAAATTAGAGACGACTTAAATAAATGGGAAGACATCCTGTGTTCATAAATTTGGAAAACTTAAATAGTTAAGATAATGACACTTCCCAAACTGATCTACAGATTAGTATAACCCTTATCAAAATATCAGCTGGCTTCTTTATTTTTTTGCAGAAATTGATGAGCTAATTTTAAAATTCATACAGAAATGCAAGGGACTACAAACAACCAAAAGAATCTTGAAAAATAAAAACAAAATTGGAGAACTCACATTTCTCATTTTCAAAACGTACTGTGAAGCTACAGTAATCAAGACTGTGTTGTACCAGTAACAAGACAGACATATAGATCAATGAAATAGAATTGACAATACAGAAGTAAATTCATACGTCTGTGGCCACTGATTTTCCACAGGATTGCCAAGACAATAAAATGGGGAGAGAGTAGTTTTTGCAACAAATGGTCTGGGACAATTGGATTGACATGTGCAGGAGAAGGAAGTTAGGTCCTTACCTGACAGCATATACAAAAATTAACTCAAAGCAGATCAAAATACTAAATGTAAGAGTTAAAATCATAAAATGCTTAGAAGAGAACATAAGTGTAGATCTTCATGACCTTGAATTAGGCAGTGGTTTTCTAGACATACAACGAAAGTACTAGCCACCAAAGACAGAATGGGTAAAGAGGACTTCATCAAAATAAAACACTTTTTGATTCAAAGTACACTACCATGAAATTGAAAAGATAACTTACCAAATGGGAGAAAATATTTGCAAATTATACATTTGATAAGAGTAGAGTGTTCAAAACATATAAATAACTCTTAGAACTCACCAATAAAAAGATAACCCAACTATCCACCCATAATCCTGTATCTAATGAAAATATTATTCAGAAATGAAGGGAAAATGAAGACATTTTCAGATAAGAATGGAGGGAATTTGTTGTCAGACCTGCATTCAAGAAATGGTAAAGAGGCCGGGCACGGTGGCTCACACCTGTAGTCCCGGCACTTTGGGAGGCCGAGGTGGGCGGATCACGGGGTCAGGACATTGAGACCATCTTGGCTAACATGGTGAAACCCCGTCTCTACTAAAAAAAAAAAAAATACAAAAAATTAGCCGGGCGTGGTGGCGGGCGCCTGTAGTCCCAGCTACTTGGGAGGCTGGGGCAGGAGAATGAAGTGAACCTGGGAGGCGGAGATTGCAGTGAGCTGAGATCCCGTCACTGCACTCCAGCCTGGGAGACAGAGCGAGACTCCATCACAAAAAAAAAAAGAAAGAAAGAAGAGAAATGGTAAAGAACATTTTTTGGGTTGTAGGAAAATAACACCAGATTGAGACTTGGATATACAGGAAGGAATGAAGAGCACTGGAAATGGTAAATATGGAAAGAATGATATAAAACTTTTTTCTTTATATTAATTTCATCAAAGAGCTAGAAAATGTAACCATTTAATACAAAAATTATTATTTTCTTGGGTTTACATATATGTAGGGGTAAAACATAACAATACTGAAAGAGTGGTGGATGGGATGGAATTGTACTTTTCTTACACTTTCTGTGAAGTGGTACAGTATTAACTCTGAGTACATTGTCTTATGCTAAGCACACATTGTAATCTTCAGACCAACTGCTGACTAAAAGTACAAGAAGGTATAGCAAAGGAGCCATAAAAGAAATTTAAATGGATCACTAAAGAAAAATTTCATGAACTCAAGGAAGAAAACAGAAAAGGAGAAACAGAAACAAAACTGATGGGATATATAGAAAAGAAATAGCAAAACAATAGATTTATACCCAAATACATCAATAATTACATTTAGTATACATTAATTAACATTCTAACTTAAAGGCAAAGATTTTCAGACTAGACAAAAGAATAAGACCCAGCTATACATTAATCCACAATACATGCACTATAAATGTAAATACAAAGATAAGAAGGGAGAAAAGATAATGTGGAAATAATGTAAGTGTAAGAAGCTGATATGACTGTATTAATATCAGATAAAGTAGACTTCAAGACATGTCATGATATCAGATATAAAGAGGAACATTTCTTTAAACGGTCAGTGGGAAAACTTAGCAGCACTTAATGTTTATGTACGTAATATCAGAACTTTGAAAACATGAAGCTAAAATTGAGAAAACTAAACAAAGAAATAAATAAAACATAATTGAGGATGGTAACACACCTTTCTTGGTAATTGACAGAACAATCAAACCAAAGATTAATAATATAGAAAATTTGAACATTGGTAACCACTTTTACTGAATTGACATTTATGGAACACTACCTCCAAAAATACCAGCATATAATTTCAAGTACACATTTAATGCTTACCGACATAGACCAAATGCTGGGTCATAAAAAACCTCAATAAATACCAAAAGTTTGAAATATTACAGAGAATATTCTCTGAACACAATAAATTATATTAGAAATCAATAACAAATATATCTGATAAAAATCTACATATTTAGAAATCAAGCTATATACTTTAAAATAGTCCTTGGGTCAAAAATATATTACAAGTGAAATTACAAAATGTTTTAAACTAAATGTAAACAAAATGCAACGTATCAAAATTGTAGGATGCAGTTAAAGCAGTGTTTGCAACTAAACCAATACATTTAAATACCTAGAAAAGAAGAAAGATTTAAAATTAATGATTTAAGTTTTTACCTTCAGTAGCTGGAAGAAGAACAAATTAAACACAAAGTAAGTCAAAGAAAGGAAATAATAAAGATAAGAGCAATAATCAGTGAAATAGAAAACAAACCACATAGAAAATTAAAATCAAACATTTGTTTAATACATTAATAGAATACATTAATGGAATTGATAAATCCTTACCAAGACTGATAAGAAAACAAGAAAGAAAATGCAAATTACCAGTATCAAGAATGAAACAGCATATATCATTATAGGCTAAATGGCTAATAAGGGAACATTATTAACAACTTTATGCCAGTAAATTTGAAGCATACATGAAATGGACAAAAATCCAGTGTATCAAAAATAGACACAAGAACTAGAAAATATGAATAGCCCTTTATCTATGAAGGAATTTGAATTTATTTTGTATCCACACATATACATTTAAAGAAAACGTTTCGCCAAGATTATTTTACTAGTAAATTTTGTCAAACTTTTAAGAATACAATAAAATCACTCACACAAGCTCTTTCAGAAAGTAGAGAAGTGTGGAACAGTACCTAACTAGTTTTATGGGGCTAACATTACCTTGATACCAAATCTGAAAAAGACATTATAAGAAAAGAAAATTATAGATCAATATTCCTCATGATCATAGCTAAAAGAACTCTTAACAAAACATTAAAAGGTCAAATATGGCATTGTATAGAAAGGATGATACTGTGTATATCACTTCTAAATTTATCTTATATCAGGAATATAAGGTTGATTTAACATATAAAATTCCAATTTCAATGTAATTCACCATATAAGCAGAACATATGATAAAATGCATGTGATCATCTCAATAGATGCAGAAATTTCATTAACTCACCTGACAAAATTCAATACCCACTAGTGATAAAAAAAGTTTCTTAGTAAAATAGGGATAAAGAGAAACTCTCTCCATCAGATACAGGGCATCTACAAAACACCCACAATTAATATCATAGTGGTAAAATATTGAATCTGTTTCCTCAAAGGTTTGGAATAAGACAAATATCTTGTTCACCACTTCTGTTCAACATTACGCTAGGGATCCTAGCCAGTGCAATAAGATAAGAAAAAGAAATAAAAGACATATTGATTAGAATGGAAAAAGTATAACTGTCCTATTCACAAATGATATAGACTGTATATGAAGAACTTCCTAAGGAATCAACAGAACAACTAACTACTAGAACTAATAAGTGAACTTGGCCAGGTCATAGGATAAAAGATCAAAACTTAAAGTCAATCTTACATTTATATACTATAGGAGCAAACAATTGCAAAATGAAATCAAGTAATCTAATTTATAACAGCAATAAAATGACATTAAATACTTAGGAAAAACCATATAAGATCACTACACTGAAAACTACAAAATATTGCTGTGAGAAATTAATGAAGACTTACATAGAGAGATATACCATGTTTATGAATTGGAAGAATCAATATTATTAGGATGACAATTTCCTCCAAATTGATCTGTAGATTCATTTTGAAATCTCAGTAAAAATCCTAACAGGTTTTTGTGTATGTGTAGAAACTGACAATTCTAAAACTTATATGGAAATGCAGAGTATCTAAAATAGCCTTCAGAAAAATGAAGAAGAAGAATATATGGGCAGACACACACTACTTGATTTCAAGACTTACTTCATACCTGTAGTAAGTAAGGTGGTGGAGTATTGACAGAAGTATAGATCAACAGATCAATGCAACAGAAAGAAAATCCATACATTAATATTCAATTGATTTTTTGCAAAGTTACCAAGAAAATTCATTGAGAAATGTCAAGTCTTTTGGTGCTGCAACAACTGGATAAATTTATGGTTAAAAATGAACCTTGATCCATACTGCATACCACACAAAAAAAGTCATTTAAGATTGATCATAGATTGAAATGTAAAAGTGAAAATCATACAGCTTCTAGAAGAAAAAAATATAGAATATCTTCAAGACCTTGAGGTAAAGATTTTTTCAGAAGGACACAGAAAAGAATTAAACATAAAATAAAAATTAATAAATTAAACTTCATCATAATTAAAATTACTTTAATCAAAAGATACCATTAAGAAAATGAGAAAGCCACAGAATGAGAGAAAATATTTTCAATGCATATATTGACAAAGGGCTTGTATACATTTATATAAGGAACTCTTGCAAATTGATAAGAAAAAGACTAACAAACCAGTAAAAATGGGCCAAAAAGACTTGAACAGACACTAATATTAGAAGTTAAAGGAATGACCAATAAGTATATGAAAAATGTGTTCAACATTATTGTTCATCAAGGAAATGTGGATCAAAGCCACATGAGATATCCTTTTATACCCACTTTAATGGCTAACATTAAATATTAAAAAATTGACCATACCATATGTTGGTGAGGATGTGGAGTAACAGGAACTCTCATACCTTGCTGGGGATGTAAACTGGTGAAGCCACTCTGGAAAACAGTTTTATAGTATTATACAAAGTTAAACATGCCCTATGACCCAATAATTTTATTTTTAGTGAAATGAAAATGTATGGTCACACAGAGATTTGAACATTGATGTTCATATGAGGTATAATAGCTGAAAACTTATAATAGGCCAAATGCCCATGAACAAGTAAATAGATAGATCATGATATATTCATACAATTGAATAGTACTCTCCAATTAAAAAGAGTAAATACTGATATATATGAAAATATGGTTGACTCTCAAAAATATGAAGTGATCAAGCCAGATATAAAAGGGTAAATAAATGCTAGTGATTTTATTTATATGAACATCTAGAGCAGGTAAAACTACAGTGAAAGAAAGCCTATCAGTGGTTGCTTAGGTTTGGGGAGGGTGTAGTAATTGCAAAGGGCAAAAGAAAACTTTTTGAGATGATGTAAATATCTTGATTGTGGTGGTCACTGCATAGGGGTATGCATTTGAAAAACTCATAATCTATAAACTTAAAATAGGTGTTTTTTCTTTTATGTACATTGTACCTTAATAAAGTTTTTTTTAAGTCTACCAAACCAAATGCAAGGATGTACAGCAGCTGAAATTCTCCCACATTTCCACTGATACTTTTAAATGACACAACTTTGGAAAACTGGTGGTTTATTATAAAGTTAAATAACATCTATGAGCCAGCATTTCCACTGCTAGGTATTTACTTAAGAGAAATTAAAACATTCACATAAAGGCTTGTACAAGAATGTTCATAGTGGCTTTATTCATAATAGCCCACAATTGGAAACAACCCAAATGTTCATCAGTAGGAGAATCAATAAACATATTGTCATATGGTCACATAGTGAAATAATACTCTGCAATTAAAAAGAATGAATTACTGGTGTATGAAAAAACATAGTGGAATAAAAAGTATTAAGTGGAAGAATGCATGATGTATGATTCCATTTATATGACATTTAAGAACAGATAAAGTTAAATTATGGCAATAGAAATCTAGCATTCGTTGCCTAAGAACATAGGGTTTGACTAGAAGAGACACAAGATGACTTTCTGGGAGTGGTAAATATGTTTTGTGTCTTAATTGCAGTGGTGGTTACATGAGTATATATTTATCAAAGCTCATTGAATTGTATACTTTAGATCTGTACATTTCCTTGTGTTACTGTTTAATATTCTAAAGATCAGATAATTAGAATATATTGGCATTTTTTCTAAATTATTTGATGGTGCTCAGAATCAGATAAGGGCCAGCAGAGACAGCAAAAGAAGCCTACTATCTGAGTAATATAATCAGCTTATAGAAAAAAAGGCAATGTGTCATACATAAGCACAGTCTATTTTACTCAAAAGGCAGTACAGTAAAAGAATTAAGAGCACAAACTTTATAACCAAACTAAGTTCAAATCCTGGTTCTACCACTTGTGATCTTAAGCAATTTAACTCCCTCTGTGTTACTCCTTTCTGGTATGTAAAACTTGAAACTTAAGGTTGTAAGAACTAAATAAGTTACTACACGCCAAGTGCTTAGAATGGCTGGTGTATTACATAGTAAGCATCCATGTATTATTTGCTATTCTTTTTAATTTACTTTTCATTTCTTCTTCTTATTTATTTTTACTTTCTCATCTATCTCCTTATTGTTATTAGTTATAAAGTTCTGGCAGGTATATAAAACAATGTATTTACTTCGTCACACTCTGATGCCTTCACTTTTCTACCTAAAGCTCTCAAAAAGCAATTTCCCCTTCTTACCTTGCTAGCTCCTGCTTACTGCAAGATTGTTCAGGCTACAACTCCTCCAGGAAGCTTTCCCTGGCTGCTAAATCATATACACCTTTTCTTTGTTCCCCCAGCATTCTCTATTCACTTTCATTGGTATGCAGATCATTTGTCTTACGGTTTTCTTCAGTGTTTCTCTTGCTACACAGTAGGCTTTGTGAAGTCAGATATAATTTGTTATTTTTCTTTGTGCTTAAATCCTTGTCTGGTACAGGCTAGTAGTCAATTCATCCTTGACTGAATGCATGAACACCATAAAACTTTCCTATTACATGTTTCTGTTTGATAGCCATGAATTAAAATAATGTCCATTCATTTATTTTTACCAACTTTGACTTTCAGATTGTCCTTCTTGGGATTATCTTGCTTCCAATTCGTGTCTTATTGGTTGCGTTAATTTTATTACTTGCATGGCCATTTGCTGCAATTTCAACAGTATGCTGTCCTGAAAAGCTGACCCACCCAATAACTGGTTGGAGGAGGTAAGAAATAATTTTGTCCAAAATATTAGGACATAATATTAAATTAAGATATACTAAATCAATATAAGAAGAGTTCATCATAGTTTAGTCAGTGATCTAACTGCTGTTAGATAAAACTATTTTATCTGCCTACTCAATAATAAATTTTACAGTTTTATCTGCCTACTCAATAATAAATAATTTATTTTTATTTCTCATATGAAATACGTAGAAATTACTGCCCAAATGCCAACTACATTATGATAATCTTCTAAAAGTTATAATTGCCTAATGTTAAAATATTTTGTTTTCTGAGTTATTGCCAAATGCGATACATCCCTAGTTCGGAAAGATACCCAACTACTATACTTGAAACCACTGAAGCTACAAAATACCTTGCTCTCAGTTTTCACATTTGCTTTTCTCCCTCTACAGCTTTCTGCAGTGGCATAAGTGGATTAGTTATACTATTTTTATTAATTACTTTAGTAGTAATTTCTATTAAAACAATTATTAATAACAATTATTAACCAGTACAGTCTGGTTATTTTAAACATTAGCATGAGGCAGAATGGAACTGCTTTTCAGGCATTATCTAATTAAGATGGTAATAGAGGAGAAACTGATCATGAGTTGACAAAGCTACTGGTAAAAGTTTATTCTTATTGAACAGAACCAAATTGTTGTGATCTGTATGCCTTAAAAGTGCAGCCTCTTATGTGGACTCCATGGATTCCATGTGAATTCCAAATCTGTAGATGGGTTTCAGGGCATTGTCAAACCTTTTGAAATTGTTGCCAAATTTTTATATATAAGGATATTTTTGTATTTAAATCTCAAATGTGAGTGCATCCTCCAAAAATTTTGAGAAAGACTGTTCTAGAAACTTTTAAAGAAATACATAGTTTGCTGTTCAGTTCATGTTCCAGTGAACAAATTTCACTATCAAAGTGGAAATGAATTCAATGCTGGCAATGCCCCAGAGAAATCTCAGTTCTTGCAAATCATACTCCTTTGTTTTAAACTCAAGGTTGTGTAGTATAAAACAATGCTTCAAGGAACGTTTTTATGACTCACCAATTCTTTTCAGATTACCTCTTTGATTTTTATTGTCGGTGGCTTATGAAAACCTAGGATGATAGAAGGAATAGTCTAAATAATCCAGACAATAGATATAATAAATGTTAGAAAAGAAAGTTTTACTTTTGTCAATTAAACTAGTATCTCTTTCTCCTCTCAAACAGGTAACGTTGAAGTTATTATGTGGGACCAGACTTAGAGCCATTCTTTAAACATGTTAAATAAGAGTGTTTAATGGCTCAGAATATGGGATAAATATAGTTATCAGAAGCTATATCACTATGGATAAAAAATAAGAGGTGTGGAAATTTGATAAAGGAATACACTTCATATCATTACATGAGTAGAAATCTCATCTCTAAACTAAAGAAGAAAGGGAGGTACAGTTTCTGTGCCCTCTGGGAAAGTATTGTGGTTTTCTTTACCTCCTTCTTGTGAAATAAAAGTCACAGAAACTTCTTTGGAACTAGTTGCTAATAGCTCCTCAGTATATTATTACAAAAATGTGGAGAAAATTAGATGAGAATCCTATTTTTAAAAGCTGAGGCAGGCGGATCACTTGAGGTCAGGAGTTCAAGACCAGCCTGGCCAACATGATGAAACCCCATCTCTACTAAAAATACAAAAATTAGGCCTGGTGGTGGGCGCCTGTAATCCCAGCTACTCGAGAGACTGAGGCAGGAGAATCGCTTGTACCTGGGAGGCAGAGGTTGCAGTGAGCCAAGATTGCACCACCGCACTCCAGCCTGGGCACCAGAGCAAAACTCCATCTCAAAAAAAAAAAAAAAAAAGCTCTCATTAGATACCTCCTGGATGATGTACATATTTTATTTTTCATAAAAAGCTATATGCTTATTCACATACTGAGATATCCCTCCTGTGTTTGCACTTCTAGGAATACATTTTTGTTTCCCTACTCAATTGGATCTTACTTGTCTTGTGTGTCTGGCATAGTTCCTGACACAGTTTGATAAATTAACTAATCTATAATGGCAGAATCTTTTTTAAAGGTTTTTTAAAAAAGTAGTTTCTGGAATTGCTTAAGTACATCTCTGTTCCAGGGAAGTGAGATGTTGAACTCACTTCTGATGATTGTTGATGATATCTAAAAACTGTAACAATACGGATTACAAGACTTTTAAAAAAATTCCTAAAATAATTCTGAGAACAGTTTCAGTGTGAGAGCTCCAAAAGTGTTTTAGGAGATAGTAGCATCTTCATTACACAAATGTGGATTCCCAAGATAACCACTTTGAAGGACAATACTGATTTGGATATCTCAGTAGGGGATGTGTGTTGAGAATTCATGTTTAACACTTTATAGTCTCAGAATGATGGAGCTGTTTCTTAGCCACACATACCCTTGGGTGAATTAACTTCTCTGTGCCTCAGTTTTCTCATCTATAAAATGGGAGTAATAATTTCAAAATACCTACTTCAAAAGATTAGGCTGAGGATTAAAGAGATTAATCTATATATAAAGCATTTAGAATAGTGCCTAGCACCTGGCAGAAACAGCTCCATGTAAGTGTTAGCTGTTATTCTCCTCAGCTCATATTTTCATATGAAATACTCTGACATGTTTTGGTTTTCTTATTGTATTATAGAGTAAAACCCTGCTGCTAGCTTTAATTAACAGAGCTAATTACATCTTTTCTATATTTTCAAAGGAAAATTACTCAAACAGCTTTGAAATTTCTGGGTCGTGCTATGTTCTTTTCAATGGGATTTATAGTTGCTGTAAAAGGAAAGATTGCAAGTCCTTTGGAAGCACCAGTTTTTGTTGCTGCCCCTCATTCAACATTCTTTGATGGAATTGCCTGTGTTGTAGCTGGGTTACCTTCTATGGTATCTCGAAATGAGAATGCACAAGTCCCTCTGATTGGCAGTAAGTACTTGTAAGGTAACGTAGATAAAATATTTTCATGCTCATGCTTTAAATTAAAATAATCATATATAGTTCATTGATAACCTTTTTAAAAAGTTTAAAATAAACATTTCAAACATATTTACTTTATTGTAATAAGTTACTACATGGAAATAGTATATTTATGAAAAAAGATTAGAGACTTCCCTTTTATAGCTTCATAACTCTTTAAAACTTTTTATCACTATGTCATTGTCTTTCTGTTCTTATATATAGCCAGAAAGACTAGTTTTCAGATACTATCCATGCCTGATTTGAGAGAATTTAATCCATGTTTGATTTGAGAGAATCTATGAAAACACAGGTATATGCTGTTTGATGAATTTATCTTCAGGATATTAGGCTGCTAAATGCAGTAAGTGATTTCTCCTTACTCTGTTTTCTTCATTATTGCCCCCCAAATCTCCATGAGGGACCTATGTGTAGCTCTTTGAAAATTATGATGTGGGACAATAGGTACTTCCTGCCATGAAAAATAATGACGCAAGTGAAGTGTTTTTCCTACCAGATGCTTTGGTCTCCCTCAAGAATTGTCTCCAAGTAACTACTCCCTGTTGTCCCAAGTTTATTGCAAACATCAGATGATGAGAGAGTGTGAAAGTTCCCTGATGTTGCCTCAGTGCTCTGGAGAAGTAATAGTAGTTCTTGCAGCTTTGTCATTCAGCTAAGACATTTTTTTTTTAATGTAACTACCATGCTTTGTGTAATATGGCTTTTTCCTGAAAAATTGTGTAGCAATAGATCTTTGGTAAATTGAAGTTGATTTTTCGTGTGTTAGGAAGCTATTTTAAAAAAATGTTCTACTGAAAATTGCAGTATTATGAGTAATGGTTACTCCTACTTATGTGTACTGTGAATTCACGTAATCAGTTTTCAAGGTATTCCTAAAATAAAACAATAATCTTGTAGCATATCCCAAAGGTTTAATGTCAATTGAGGAAGAAGACCTTTAGGGAGAAAATTACATTTGCTTCCTTTTGTATTTTTGCTGCTTAGTTCTGTTAAATTAATGAAATGTTTTTAGTTGTAAATATCCACTTCTTTCAAAATTAGAAGCTAAGTTCTAATAAATTGTTTTTTAATTGTTCTCTTTGATTTACTCATTTAAATTTTCCATACAATATGTTATATATCCAGTATTATTGCTGTGGTTGCTTTAGCCAAAAAATGGCTTGCCTGTAACTTTTCATTTGTTTTAAAGGACTGTTACGGGCTGTGCAACCAGTTTTGGTGTCCCGTGTAGATCCGGATTCCCGAAAAAACACAATAAATGAAATAATAAAGCGAACAACATCAGGAGGAGAATGGCCCCAGGTAAAACATGGTAGATGTTAATTTAAATATAGTGGGAGTTTATTAATTGTATGTATGTAGACTTACTCATTTGGATCCACAGATAGCAATATCTGTGGACACCTATACTAGGTATTGTTAGCATAATAGATGCAGAGTAAATACAGTAGCCAGTATTAAGAAGTCCTCTTCCCCATGAGATACTCTATGGAATTAAATGTATTATTCTTTTTTATTCTCCAAACTCTTTGAACCAATTTTCTCTTTGTGTTACAAAAATTTGATTCTCTAACTCTAAATTTAATTACCACTTTATAGATGAGATAGGGGATACCTTAGTATCTATTACCATTATACTAAAGTATCTCCTATTTCATATTTTAGAAGCTTAATTATATAAGCTCAGTTATACTCAATATTGTGGTGGGTAAGTGATTAAGATCTTTAATCTCACCTGAAGTATATTTAGATAGTGCTTTTCAGTTCAAGGGGCATATCAAAATCACCTGTAGAACCTTTTTTCAAACTTTACCATCTCACCACTCCCTTCCCTGGAATGCGGGGGTGGGGGGGGGGTAACATTTACTGCAAAATAAGCCAAGGGTGATTCTAATAGTCACTCCTTTATCTTTGCCCAGTTGAAAACAACTCATCTCTAGCAGACTAATAGTCCTACAGTTATCTAGCCACACATGATGACATGAAGATGTTAAAGTCCAAGAGAAAGTATGTGACCAAACAGGTTGTTTTAGAAACCAAAGCATGTAAGGAGTGATTAAAAAGAGGATTGAGAATAGGTGGCATTGGGAGTAGGGTTTGATTTTTCTCTGTGGATCCAAAGACTATATCTAGGACTGGTAGATGGGAGATAACAAATATATAAATTTCAGCTCATTTTGCTCATCTTGAGGAACAACTTTCTGTCCAGAAGTGGAATGGTCTGATGTGGAATCCTTTTCTAGAATTTTCAGGCATTGGCTGAACTACCACTATTGTAGAAAGAAATCAAGCATTAGATATGCTAGGTGACTTTTAATGGCCCTTCCAGCTCTGAGATTTTACGATTCACTGTATACCCATTAATCGTTAGTAGTTTAGTTGTTGAATTTTCACTGAATAAAATATATTTGATATTGTATCCCGTTGTCATAGGAAACCCACTTTTAAACTGGAGAATGGAATTATATCCTTTCATAATTTTTATTTTATAAATAACCTGTTATTGTGGCAATGTAGCCCAATAATATTTTCCCTATCTAATTATCATAAAAACACTTTGCTAACTGCTGTGAGTGCAGGATGTTACTTTATTTTATTTTATTCACTTAGCAATTTATTCATGGCTAAATTTTAAAAGCATCAGAAAATTAAGTTGCTATTTTACTTAATGGGGAAACTAACGTACTGCATATCTTTTACTTTGAAAACATGAAGAAGTATGTTAAAAGCTAAAAACACTGCCTCAAAAAGAAAAAAGATATTAAGTTGTATTCCATATGTCAACTAATTCAAGTAAACATGAAGCACATTGTACACATATCTTTTTTCCTTTGTCCTCAAGACATGCCTGAACTATATGTTGTGGGAGTAAATATTAATGGGAAAACTGAAACAAAGTTGGAAATTATTTGGTTAAGGATATATAGCAGAAGAAAGAATTTAATGTAGCCTAATGCACACTTTGACCATGAATTATGCTCTACATCTTTTAAGTTTATTCAGATCATTAGTTTTATCATTAAGAGACATTTGTTAAGTATATTCTTTATTCAAAGCTTAAATCCATTTTCTAATTAAATTAGACAACACTTTCTTTACAAGAAAATTGAATAATCTGATAGTAGCTTTCATTAGAATCAAATGTTAGCCTTTTATTTTGTTTTTGTTTTTTAAGCATTGGCAGCTGTTTGTGAAGTCATAAGAAAGCGAGTAAAGAGGTAATTTATTAATTAGATTGAAATATTAAATCTATTCCTTTTTTCCCAAGATACTAGTTTTCCCAGAAGGTACTTGTACTAATCGTTCCTGTTTGATTACTTTTAAACCAGGTGAGAAAAATTAAATTATGTATTCTAACAAAGTAATATGTGAGATTTTGCAAATGATTTTATAGAAATACACAAAATAACTCTTTAGCTTGCTCTGAGCATTTTTTTCTTTTCTGATAGCAACTTTTTAACGTTGTGGATCCACAGAACTTACTGCTTTGCTTTCTCTTTTGGGGTCATAATTCCTCTCCCCTTGGAGTGTCCACTCCATGCATGTGCACTTAGGATGTGTGGCTGTGTGTGTGTTTGGGAACCCTCACGGACACATAAGGTTCTATGTCATCAAGTAGAAAACCTATCTCATTATCATTATAATGTCTTCAGATGCTTTCTAAGGTTCACCTCTTTTTTAACATTAGAAGTCAGTGAATGCAGCTTTCATTATAATTTTTAATACTTTAAAATGTTTTTGTATTAGCTGCCAGAATGCTCAGCAGCAAAGTTATGACTCACTTCTAGCAAGTGTGGTAGTTCTTGCTTCAAGCATTTGGTTTCATGTAGCTTTTCTTCTTATTTTTTCTTTGTCTTGATTTTATCATTACTTAAAACAATTCTGTTGAATATTAACACTTGGAAAATGAAAAAAAGTGGAGAAATAAATCAATGAATAAACAAATATTTTAAGTGGCATAGGCACAGCATTTAATATTTTGCTTCAGTAGTTCTTAATTAAAAAAAAAAAATCCCTCATTTTGGTAAGCACTAGGGATTTACCAACATTTAGCAAATGATTTCTGTTACACATACTCTTAAAATATTCAGTCTATTTATACTATTTATTAATTTTCTCTTTATCATAAAACTTTTATTCACATAAAAACACATTATAAACTTTCAATGTGGTTGCAGGAGCCTTCATTCCAGGAGTTCCAGTGCAGCCAGTCCTCCTCAGATACCCAAACAAGCTGGTAAGCACAGTATTTTACCACAGGAAGAATTTCAGTATTCCAAGTAGCACAGATTCTCTGGGACCCCTTTTAATATATAAATAAGGTTGTGAACAGATAAATGGTGGAAGCAAATGGGAGAGCTCATTCTGCTCGCCACATCTAGTTTTTAAAATTTTGCAAGATAGGCACATATCCATTGATACCAATATTAAATATTATTTTGCTATTACTGAACTTCAGGAAGATATTTTCTTAGCCTTTACTCTGTTGTCACCATGTTGGTGTGATTAATTCCCAGATTAGGGTCTCATTAGAATGAATAGTTAAAAATCTGTGATTTTCATTAACTCTAGAAAGAAATTTTTCCTGACTCAGTGGTCATTACTAGTGAAGAAGTATTGAAATAGCAGGATAAATATTAAAGAGGCTTGGTCTTTCATTACTGCCTCAGTACTTACTAATTGTGTGAGCCTTGGTAGTAAGTAACTTAATTAAATAAGAAAATACCTGAGAAAACTTAACATCTTTTTTTGTTTTTCGGGTTTTTTTTTTTTTTTTTTTTTTGAGACAGAGTCTTGCTCTGTCATCAAGGCTGGAGTACAATGGCGTGATCTTGGCTCACTACAACCTCCGCTTCCTGGGTTCAAGTGATTCTCTCCTTTCTCAGCCTCCCGAGTAGTGGGGATTACAGGCATGTGCCACCATGCCCGGCTAATTTTTGAATTTTTAATAGAGACAGGGTTTCACCATGTTGACCAGGCTGGTCTTGAACTCCTGACCTCAAGTAATCCACCTGTCTTGGCCTCCCAAAGTGCTGGGATTACAGGCATGAGCCACTGCATCTGGCCTAGCTTAACATATAAAGTCCAGAGTTGACTCAGGAAGTAGTCTCTTCTGTTCCAGTTGGGTACATTGTTGTCCTCTAAATATTGATTTTACCACCATTTTCCTAAAGAAAGATTTTTGAGGGAATGTTTTGGTTCTGAGAGGAACTTTCTTTACTAGAGAATTTATATTAAAAGCCAGGATATAATTATTAGTTATCTCTACTATTTAATATTAAGGGTTATTGATCAAATCAGTTTTCTATTTAGAGGCTGGTTTTTCAACCTTGGACATCTATGGTTAAAAAAAGAATTAAAATCTATCAAACTTTTATTTGTTGTACTTCTGCCCATAGGTTTGAGTTTATTGTATGTTCATATTATTTTATTTCCCCCAAATAAGCTTTTTTTTGAAAACGGATATATTCTGAGTTTTTTGTAATCAAATTAATTATCCAGATATGTTCATATTAGGAGAAAAGTGGCTAAGCATGTAAAATAGTTTTTAAAAAATTAAAACAAGTCATTTCATCAAAAGTTGTTGACATTAGGAAGATCTTTGCTATGTAGATATGTAATCCAAGAATTCATAGATCAGTTCACTGTTCTTTAACAATAATGTATTTATTTTACTTCTCAACATGTTGCTTTTAATTTCAGAAAAAATACATGAATCCCCATATTAAAATAAGATCTTTATTTTATTTAGTATTTTTCCTCCAGACCAACAGCTAAAATAATTTTGTTATTATAGGATACTGTGACCTGGACATGGCAAGGATATACATTGTAAGTCACTTATGTCTATTATTAGTTTATATAAATTTTATTTTAGTGAAGAAAAAGAAAGATCATTTATTCATTCTTTAAAAAAGTATTATTTTAAAAATATTGTTATATTTAAAAACATAAAGATTTCTGATCAGAGCCCTAAGTCTTATAACTGATAAGTCTCTGTAGAGAGCATCACTATCTTGACCACTAACCCCTGGAGTCTTCTGTGTGCAAAATTCTAGTCATCTGTCCCATTCAAATGGGTCTCAAGTGTTTGCTAGTTCGTAAGTGACCTAGTTTGCATCATAGTTAGCTTTAATTTTGTAGTTTTATTTCCATTGCAGATTTGGCATTATCTAGTGTCTCTATCCTTACTTACTATGTTGGTTTAAGCCATTCAGAAAAATTTAGTCATATGGCCTGAAATAGCTATGATGTGTCTGATATGAGTTGAAAAAATAGCTAACCAAGATTTCAGTTCTGCTCTTGGATTTGAAAAGCATTGGAATCAGCAGTTTCTATAAGCACTTTACTTAAGAGAGAAGAGGAATACAGTTTCATTATTAAGCAAGCTGATGTGAAGTAGGCCTTTAAAAAGAACAGAACATGTAGAAACTTGGTTTCTCTCAAGATCGTTTGTTTAGTTCCCTCTGAATAAGTCTGAGCCTGTTTAAATTTTGGTGAGAGCCGTATGAAATACCTGAATTTGAAGACTTCCTTTAGGGTCTTACCCAGTTTTCATATTGTTAAGCACAAAGCTCAGATAACATTGTTGATGGGTAGGTGACAATAACTTGGAAATATTTAAGGAAATCATCAGTTGCCTTAAGCACATTGTAGGCTTTTTTAGATAACTTCAACGTAATCCAACCAACTTCTGAAATCAAAACTGCATAATTTCTCCATTTTGTGTATATATACATTGCTTTGAAATAATAAATTTAAATCAGAATAGGTAACTGATGAGACAGTAGAATAAATATTAACACATATGAAACACTTATATTCTTGTTATGCTTCAGTCCTTGATAATTGAAGATACACAAATAACGCCAAACATAAAGAACATAAATTGTAAAGGATATCTAAACAGCATATTATCTTTCACTTACCAGGAAATCAATTTATTCATTTGACTAAAATACATGTTTCATGCCATTACTTATTTTGAATTCCTGATTGCTTTTAGACATGGAAGAATTGGGAGAAACAGGTAGTATGAAAGTATTTGGGAAAACGAAGTGCCTTAACAATGGATGCATAGCATACTTCCACTTTCTGAGGTGTGCCATCCTTTGGGCCTTTACAGGTTAAGTTCCTTACAGAGATAGTGATGTGGCCAATAGGACTTTTTTTGGTTGCCCAGCAGTCCAGGTTAATGTGATGATCAAATAGGAGAAAGCTTTTCTGGAAGAGGAACTGGGGATAGAAAATATAATAGACGGGTTTAGTTAATCTAGCCTTCTCAACTGAGAAGTATGTGAGAAGAGGAAAAGGAAATTAGGAGAAAGAATTCAGGAATGAAAGGGAGAAAAAATATTTTGAGAGTCAAAAATTTTTCAGGACTTTTAAACAAACACAAAATCTTTGAAAGGCACAGCTTTGTTTTGTTCAATCTATTGCAAATCTCACGTCCACTTTTGTCTTCTCATCTACTTAATATTATTAGCACTGTGTCTGTTACTTCTAAATCTGTTTTCTCAATTGCCCTTGCTCAAAGTGCTACTCCAGTTACAGATTCTAAGAAACAGATTTTATACCAAAACGAATATCCCAAGGAAAAGGAGACTTGGAATAAACTTAGAGAAGTTTTGTATCAGACTAAGAAGTATTTGGTCTGTCTGTAGGGTGGACAAGACAGGTTAAATGAGATTTTATGTGTGGTTTCATATTTTTCACAGTATTCAGAATTTTCAGAATAGAATGCATCTATTCAAGTAATTGAATTCCACAGCTCCATTTAAATAATTAAAAACAACTTATGCTAGATAGTGTGGATTGACTTTAGAGTTTATAGATAGTAAAAGATTTTTTTCTTTCAAATGGAAGATTTGTGAACTGACACATTAACAATTTATAATTAATTATGAAAGTGATATATCTACTTTCTAAATTATTTCTTTTAACTAAATTCTTAAGCTCCTACATTCCTTAAATAAGTTCCCTCAGGTAATTTTTACAGATAAATTATGTTTTAATTTCTTAACAGTGAAAAGAGATTGGTTGGTTCTTTTTTTAAATGTGTAGTTTAATCCATTCTGCCTGGTTTCTGGGTCAATTGTCTAATGAGACTAAACTAAAAATCCAGTAGAAGTCTTATCCAGAGAGTCTAAATATGTACTGGAAAGCTATAAGTAGGAACAACTATTTCAAACATTATCTTTTAGAGGGTTGCTTAACCACTTTAAAGACAGCATTTGCCTGCCTTTACAATGAAATTTGAAGCTTTTCAGATTTCCTCATAACTAAAACATTTATTAATAACTGGGACAATTTTGATAAAGCTTCCACTTTTAAGGAAAGGCCCATTGATTTTTTTTAATGTCAAAAAACAGTTCAGAAATGTAATGATCTACCTAGGAGTTTTATAAACACATTTACATACCTTAAAATGTGGCCTTGGGTAGTTTCTCTAGAGACTTGGGCCTTTGAGTCTGTGTTGTCAAGGAAACTTCAAATTTGTGGTTTAGTCTGTTGAGCTGAGGCTCTGACTGAAATACATATTTGGTATTCATTTGATGATTTAACTTTTGAATAATAATTGTCAAGAATACTTGTCTAAGCCGGGCACAGTGGCTCACACCTGTAGTCTCAGCTACTTGGGAGGCTGAGGTGGGAGGATCACCTGAGCCCAGGAGGTTGAGGCTGCAGTGAGCCGTGATTATGCCACTGTACTCCAGACTGGGTGACGGAGTAAGACCCTGTCCCCAAAAAAAAAAAAAAGAATAGTTGTCTAGGCCCAAAAAGTGTTATAGCTGCAGTGTAGCATTTATAAATGCAAAATATATGTGAAGTGTGATGTGAGGGTATTTGTGTATAAAGAAATGATTGTTGAATAATATAAGATGATACTTGCATGACTGTATAAAGATAGACTTTTCTTTTTTCTCTTCAGCATTCAGCTTTGTATGCTTACTTTCTGCCAGCTCTTCACAAAGGTAGAAGTTGAGGTAAGTCATTCAAAATGTGGCCTTGGAACTTGAGATTTGGCCTTTCCTTTAATTTTGAACCTCTAGTCTAGAGAGACCAGATATAAAGGTCCATCACCAGGTGTTTTACAAATTGTGTATATAAACCTAGGCTGTCAGATTTAGCCCTTGAAATCATGTTAGAAAACACCTCTAGATTCTGGGAACTTGAAACATGTAACCACCCTGGCTGGCCAGAGGGGCATCACCTTGCTCTCATCTTTTTACTCCTTTAATGCTGACCTCTGCCAAATTGAATGATATATTTTCACATCCTGACAAAAGGAACTGACCATAGCTGATAGAGCCCCACACCTCCTTAAAGAAAATGTTTTGTGAAAGCTAAGAGATGCTACTTGGGGTCTAGGGGAGAGACATAGAGGTCAGAAGCCTTCACTGTGAAATCACCCTGCACATGAAAAGCCCAAGGAAATTCTATCTGGGAGGCAGCACATATCATCATCCACAGGACAGTCTTTTGGTTTGAATTACAGTGGCAGGTAGTGAGAGAGGAGTTATTACAACATTCTGAAAATTTTGACCAGGTTTTTAAGGCTCTAAAGGTTGGTTCTAGAGCTGTTCTTAGTTTCTAGATATGATGTAGAGTAGAACCCTGAATTCAGCATCCAGTCGGTTTTAGCAGTACCCTCAGGTAGTCTCCGAAGAGAGATGGTTTGATAATGGGTCTCCTAGATTTTCTAATTGCATCCATGGATTGTGTAACGAAAACCTTAAGTTTGCCTGTGTCATGCAGAGTTCTGAGTGGGGTCTAGTGCCTAAGTGACAGGACTGTGGAATTTAATTCACAAGAATACTATTTTGCTTTGCTAGATAGCTTAGTGATTTGGCCATTTAGAGACTGTCAGTAATACCAAATGATTTAGGAGGGCAAATTACATTTCAGAATGAGTTTTGTGAAATTTTCTTGAGATTTGCATGTTTTCTGCCTGTCTTGAAAATATCTGTTTATTAATTATATTTCATACACCCCCACTTTTAAAACCAGTTCAGTTATCTCTCACTGTGGCCAAAAAAAAAAAAAAAAAAAAAAAAGAAAACCCACACTTGTTCTTGGGTTTTTCTTAGAGGTTCCTGGGGAACAAAAACTAATTTAATAACATTTGGAAGTATCAAGGGAAACAAAATGAATTTTTTTTTTCTCAAGACTACTCAGTGCCTTTGAAATGTCTGACTTACAGAACCTTTTTCTCTAGATATCTCCCGGAACCAGTGTTCTATAGAATACACTTCAGGAAGCCTTATATCATAATATTTCTAAATACTCTGAGCACTGCTCTTGCTTCTTTAATAGCTGCTCAGGTAGTCTAGGCCTGTTTCACTTTTCTAAAAAAACAAGAAAACTCATACTTTAAAAAAGCCATGCTATCTTCTCTGCAAGATATTGTCTCTTCCTCTCAATGTACCCCTCTGTAGCTAAAACAAGATCTAGCAACACATGTAGAAATGTATACAAAGCTGTCTTTTTTGCCATAGCATGTCAGTGGTCAAACTGCATTACAACAGAGGTATTCAGATTCCTCTTTTTTTTTTTGTCATGACCATTATTACCACATTTCCTTTCTGTGTCATGGCTTTCTTTTTTTTTTTCTGTCTTTTTTTTTTTTAATTACGATATTTGCATTCTCCAGCCAGTTCTGAGACCTGTTTGGATCATATTTTTCTGGCAAAGAAAACAATGTATTCTTTGTTCCATAACTTCACAAATAAAATGACTTTCAGCTGCTTGAAAATAGCCGCGTCGACAGAGATTTGATGAATTAGAATCGTAGTGCAGAACAAGAGGATGGGAATTTGTGGACTTCAAATTTAGTACAAATATTCTTATTTTAATTATGTTTACTTTAAATTTATGACTCCCCCTTTCACCCAGGTGACTCCTAAATACTTTATGATATTTTAATATTTTAATACTCACTGTTGGATTTAACTGAAAATGTATCCCAGCAGCCCTTCAGGCACTAAGTATACCACACCCTGGCTTGAAGCTCTGTAAGAGCTGGGCCATCTCTGAGGCTCCAGCTTTTCCACTACGTCTGCTGAGGCCCAGCTTGAGATTGGTTTGTGGTCTCAGTACATTTAGTTGCTCCAGTTTCAATTGTCTTGGTTGTTCTCAAGTAACCCCCTTTTTTCTTTTTTTTTAAATTGATGGAAATCCTTGTTACTATCTTATTTTAAACATGTTTTTAGAACTTCTTGAATATTAGGTAAACCTAATTCAAGATATATTATTCAAGAATATGGTATTAATTTTATGGTTTTTCAAATGAACTTTGAATGAATTATCAAAGTGCCGTTTTAGACAGTCTTGCTTTTGTGAGTCACATGACACCCCATTATGTTGGCTGCCATATCCTTTAGTTTCACAAGTCTCCCCTCAGTAATCATGACTACCAAAGTCTTTAATTACCAAAATCATTAGATATCTAAGATATAATGAGTCTAATATTTAGGAATATTTTCTTACCACCTCTTCCCAGCCCTCTCTGCTTCCCAACATAGAGACATACAGTATTTTTGAAAAGGTTATTATTTTCTCGACTCTTGGATCTTAAAAATATAGTTAGTTCTAAACCTCATGTCCTGTGTAATTGTTCTTCTGGCATCCTTGAACAATGATGAAGTTGTCTGTCTACAGAATGGTTCTACTAAAAGTTATTCTTTGAATTCTAATGTGGCATAATGGGTGTTCTTAAAGTATCTTTTAGTCATACTTTTATTAACCAGCTGTTTCACAAGTATCCCTTTATAAGGATATGGCTTAGGGCATAGGGAATGAAATAGCTAGTAGGAAACATTACAAAATGTGACATGAATTAAGAGTCTGTTAGTTTATCTCATGAGAGAGAATACATGCTATGTCACACTATAAAGCACTAAGTGGGCCGCAGCTAGTTTATGAATGGAAACAAGCCATTTACACTGACTGTGCAGTCAGTTTCCTTCATAGGCTATATCTCAGTTTGCATTAAAAGCGTGTTGACTTTAGAAGCCATTTAGTATATATTATAGATAAATAAAAATTGTCTGTAGTGGGCATATTAGATATATAATAAGTCCCCCCTTATCTGTAGGGGATATGTTCCAAGACCCCCAGTGAATGCCTGAAACTGCAAGAAATACCAAACCCTATATATACTAACTTTTGTCCTAAACACACATACCTCTGATAAAATGTATTTTATAAAATAGGCACAATAAGAGATTAACAGTGACAACTAATAATAAAATAGAACAGTTGTAGCAATATAGATAAGAGTTGAATGTGAATGTGGTCTCTCTCTCTCTGTCAACATCTCATTGTACTATATTCATCCCTCTTCTCCTTGTGATGAAGAAAGAATAGAGAAGGATAGCATGAAATGTTATCACCCTACTCAGAATGGCATGCAATTTAAACTTATGAATTGTTTATTTCCAGAATTTTTCATGTAATGTGTTTGGACCATGGTTGACTGTTGGTAACTGAAACCACGGAAAGCAAAATCCCAGATAAGGGAGACTATTGTGTTTTCTTTAGGAAAATTCCTTTAAAAGCTTATAGTGAGCTTATAGTGGCTAGCATTAGGCCTAAAATACTCTGTTGTGGGCTTTTCATTTCCTTAAAGTAATAGAAAGGTTTGTTTTTTTAATTTAAAAAGAATTTCTGATTTAGGGAAAGATTGCAATTAATAATGAGTATTATGATCAACAGCTACATGTACATATCACTTTTAAGATCTTTAGAGAGCTAATTACTTAGGGAAGATTCAAAGACATTTATATAGTTTATTTAAGTATCCAAATGCACTACAATTATTTGTAGTTTTTAATCTAAAATGAGCCTTTTAGAAAACCTCAATCATACAACTACACACACACACACACACCCTACATATATACTTGTTCTAACAAAGCTAATTTCTTCTGGAACTTGGTAAAATTCTGGAATTTGTGAATACTAATAGAGAAATAAAAAGGGTATTAACTAGAGTTTTTGTTCTAATCCTGTTACTACCTACCTGTATGTACTTGAGAAAATTAAACCTTTCTAAGCCTGCATTCTCACTGACAAAAATGGGGATAATGACAGAAAATTTATAGAGTTTTGAGGAGTAATAAAGTTACTTATGTGCTGGCACATAGTAAGTGTTCAATAAGCACTAACTTTTACTTTCTGTCTCATCTAGATGTTTCTGTTCTTTTGGGAAGGAAGCAGCAAGCATTGTTTAAAAATATCTTCCTTCTTTTGCATTTTTTCTCTTCGAAGATTTAAAAGAAGAATTACACAAAGAACTAGAACTGCACATTTGTTAAGATTGTCCTTTTAAAATTATTTTCTGTTACAAGGAAAAAATAAAAGATTGATTATAGTGTCATAATTCTTCAATCTTCCTCATCATTTTTTTAGTAGAAAGGAATGTGCTTGATGTAGTCAAGAAAAAATGAATAAACTAGCTTTAGTGATACTGAGAATCTATGTAAGTGACTGGCTTTGGTTGATGGATGTCTTAAATAGTAGGCTGAAGAATTTTATATATTGCTTGTATGCTAAGGACCAAGAGGAAGTGGGGGACTCTGGGACCAAAAGCACAAATGAGATGTTAACCTGAGAAACATGTCGCTTAGTCTCCTCCTCATCTGGGACAGGATGGTGCAAAGTTAAGTATGGGGAAGGTACAGAGAATACTGTATTTGAAAGGAGAGGGGAGTGGAGCTGTGAAGCCAATTTCAGGTGCAATAGAAGGGAATACATTCACATAAGCTGTCTTCTTTATAAAGTTGAAAGTGAAGTACCATTTGTACCTCACAAGAGTGAGGTAAAAGTGGAATTGCAACTTGAAAAGCATGGAACATATGTAACATTTTTAGCATCTCTCAGTGGTCCCTAACAGGAATATGAAGGCAAGATCAGGAGAGGTGGCTGAGGATGTGTGATTGGCACTGTGGGCATGGCAGAAGTGAAAGATTCTAAGTAACAGGTCATACAGAAGTATCCGACTCCCAAGTCCAGTGTAGATAGTCAGGGAGATGTTGCCAGAGGGAGTGGATAAAGAGGGATGATTGATCCAGATGTGACCATTAGGTTGTCATGGTCTATGCAAGACCAGATTAGGGAAGAAATAAACACTAATGGATAATGAGGGGAAACTGAAGAACTTAGCAGAGATTAGAGTCATAAGTTTGTTTCCATGGCTGAGGTAGAGTCTAGAAGAATATCTGTGGCAAGATGTCAAGTGAGTCATCAATGTGAGTAATGAGGATACTGAGAGAAGATGAAGTTAGAAAGGAAAACTTGGGGGCTTGAAGTCATTGGGGTATATAGATGTCTGTTGGGAACCATAAAAGATAGTGGCAATCATGTTCACCTCTCTTTGATTGATTTTCCTTTCCAAATAAAGGATACATTCATACTGTGAGCCTTGAATGACTGTACAAAATGGAAATGTGATATAGAGGGCAAGGTCTTATTCTAGGAGAGGTGACTTTTTATTAGAATTTCCATTGAATTGCTTCTTAGGAGGAATGGGGCCTCCAAGGCCCATGGGTGTCAAATTTAGGATTTTAATTATTTTGTACTCTCAGTGGAACTTTATTCCTTAAGAATAAGATGTCACGCCAATATGAGAGTTATTAAAAATCATTTTATGAAAAATACTACCTGCACTAATATAAAACCAAACCTGTATTTCATTGTATTATGTTTGGTTAACAGTGTAGCAGCAATTTATTTTTCAAGGTTTTCAGTATGACCTTTTATGACCTAAATCAAGTGTATTACAAATGGTTGTTTGACTTTTTTAAAAAATGAAGAATTATATGGCAATTAAAAACTTTAATTTCTTACACTGTTTTGTTAGAGATTTTATGAACATTAATTTCAACTTACTGTTTTTTTCTTGGATTTTATACTAAGCAAATACAAGAAATTTTACTAGATCAGGATGCAGGGAATTTTTAGAAATATTTCTTTGCCAAGATAGTTATTCTAGATATATAAGGATGTGGGGACCTCTGGTGGCTTAGTTTATTTTTCTATCTTAAAAAACAACTATGCAAAATAGAGAGCCACACACAGAATTCCAATGGGAAGGACTTCAGAGATCGTTTAGTTAAATTTTTTCATTTGACAGGAGAGGGCACTGAGGCTCATAAAGGCTAAATGACTTTTCCAGGATCACACGGCAGATCTCAAGCAGCAACCCAGTCCAAGAACACTTTCTGCAGCTTGCAGCTGCCCCCTTAGAGAGGAAATAATCAGATAAATGTGAAAAGTAAATATCCTGTAGCACATTATTCTATAATTCCATACATTTTATCTTAAAAAGGCAACTTGCATCCATGCCATCCTCCACATCCTCACTCCCTCTACTCAAGGTCTTATTATCTCTCCCATGATTGCAGCTGCTTCCAGACATTCTCCCTGCTCTTAGTCTCTTCTTTGGTGCATACACTCCTTACCGCTGAAGTTACCACTTAAAAACTTGGACCTGGTCATGTCATTCCCTTGCTTAAATGTCACCTCTGAGATACCAATGCTTACAGTTTTCTTAATATGATTGACAAGACTTGAAAACAGGTCCATTTGGAAAAAAATGGTATTTTTAACTACTTCTAGTTGCATTCTTTATTTATCAAATGGAAGTGGTAAGATTTACCTCAAGGAATTGTTTAGAGAGTTAATCATATAAAGCCCCTAATATAAAATACCCAGCACACAGTAGATGTTTAATGGATGGTAACTCTTATTGGTGGATTTAGCTCACTGTTTCATAAATTTCTACCCTACTGAATGGAGAGCTTCTTGAGGGCAGGGACTTTGCTGTCATGTTTGTAGGGCTTAGTGCAGTGCCTGAGCACCTACTATGGGGGAAAAATTAATGAAATAAAATAACGTATGTAAAACACCTAGCATGATGCCTGGTTTGTAGTTATAATTCAATAAACAGTAACTATTGGCAAAATCTCACTTATTCTTAAAAAGCCAACATCAAGTATTAGTTCTTCTATAGAGCACCCTTAACAGAATTAGCTTTCCTGTGTGCACTCTCTCCCTAGGCACCACCTTCCTCTTTGGCTGCATTTCCCTGGCCCCTGACAAAATTAATCCTTTCCTACCTCTTGCTCTCATACTCCAGGAAGGATGGTTAGTGGAGAAAATAAGGGTTTTTTTTGAATCTGACAAATCTTGGGCTGAATTCTGGCCATGTGACTTGCATGCCTTTAGGTAAGTTAATTAAGCTATTGAGCCCCATCTATAATTGGGGGTAATAAGGGTAATGACACTTAGCATATGGGGTTATTAATGTGTTGTTCTATACTATTAAAATATTGATCTTCTTTAGAGCAGGAAATAGGGTCCTATTAATCTTGCCTGGTATATAGTAGGTGCTGAAAAATACGTAATAACTTGAATATGGCACTAAAACCTTGTTAATGTCAGGAAACCATAAATAAAAACAAGAACAATACAATTGAGGCATCACAGAACATCAAGTGGAGAAAAAGTAGAATTAAAAATGCTAAAGCAAAAAATGGTGTTAAGCAAAAAAGCTGTAAAGCCAATACTAAGAGTTTTTTTAAAAAGCAGAATAAATGACAAAACATAAAGTTCAAACAAATAGTAAAAATATGGTTGACATTAGAATGGATAGAGAAGATGAAAGGCAAAGAGAAAAGAAAAAAAAGTTTTCACATAAAGGGATGGGAGTTTCACATAAAGGGATGAGAGTGGTAGAAAATGCAGCTCGAGGAGAAAGATCTTAGTAGCTACAGCTTTACACTTCCAGAATTCCAGACACTGACTTGTTTCACCCTCACAATCACCAGGGAAGTAGTGATCTTAGCCCTCTTTTTAGAGTTGAAATGGTTCATCAAAGTTAAATGACATACTAGTTAACACACAAGCAGACCCAGGGCTTAGAAACAGATCTCCTGAGTACAAGCCCAGTGCCCCATTACCTCATATAACCTATGTTCTAGAAAGGTAGATGATTCAATATATTGATAATGTATAAATTAATTTACTTGGCATTTAATGTCTTAGGCTTAAGACATTGTTATGGAAAGGTATATTTGTCTTTCAGTTTATGCCAGTTCAAGTACCAAATGATGAAGAAAAAAATGATCCTGTCCTTTTTGCCAATAAAGTCCGGAATTTAATGGCAGAGTAAGTGTCTATATTTGATTATAACTCATAAATAATTTGAAAATTATTTGTGCATGTCGTTTAACTCATTTTAAGGATTTTTTTTTGACCCCTGAAGGCCTCGTTCCCCAATTCATTTTGATACGTAAAATAATGTGCCCAGGGATGAGGTCAGTATAACAATCTATAAGTATTTTCCCCAGCTGCATACCACAAATAAGGAAATATATCTTTACCAGAAAGACTGGAGAGGATACAATAACCAGAAAAGACCAGTTAGTGCCTTGCACAGGGTGGATTCTCCTAAGCTGGCCCGCCACTGTCAGATGAGCCTTGTGATGATCTCAGTGGTTCCTGCCGTGGCCCACCTTCTATCCCTTCGACTATAGCACCAAAAAAGAGAAAGTTTGCAATGCAAAAAGAGATGCATAGAAGAGGGAAAAAGTCACCTCTTCATGGATGGCTATAAAATAGGATTTAGAAACTATAAAACATAAGGTTAATATTTTCCTGCACATAAGGGAGTTCTAACTGGCCATTATTCTGACTAGATAAATCACCCCCTATCTTGTAATGAAAGAATGTATTATACTATACCACCACCCAGGTAGCCTCAGAGCCCTCCAGGTGTGCATCCTCTTCCCACACACCACCTCTGTCATTCCCAGTAGTAGGTTTGGAGCTAATAGACCAGCAGTGTTTATTGTCTTAGTAAAAATTCAATGAGAACTCTGAATTTAGCTTCATAGCTGAATTTAGCTTTATAGCCAGATTTCATATATATATAGCCAGCCATGTATATGTGTATATGTATGTGTCTCTATAAGTATATGTTTTATTCTAATATATGTATCTTAATATTTTTCTGCAGAATAACTATTTTCAAAATAGAATAAATGTTTGGCAAAAAATTTGCTATTAAGTGTATATAGATGTGCTTGTTTTATCTAGTTTCTAGATCAGCTACAAAGTTAGTTTTTATGTTTTCTTCTCTTCCTTTCTTATGTTTTCATGCCAGCTTATATCCAAAAGGTAGAAAGCAAGATAATTATTAGAAATTGAGAGAACTGGGCTGGGCGCGGTGACTCACACCTGTAATCCCAGCACTTTGGGAGGCCGAGGTGGGTGGATCACAAGGTCAGGAGTTCGAGACCAGCCTGGCCAACATGGTGAAACCCCGTCTCTATTAAAAATACAAAAATTAGCCAGGCATTATGGCAAGCGCCTGTAATCCCAGCTACTCAGGAGGCTGAGGCAGGAGAATTGCTGGAACCTGGGAGGCAGAGGTTGCAGTCAGCCAAGTTTTCATGCCACTGCACTCCAGCCTGGGCGACGAGTGAAACTCCGTCTCAAAAAAGAAAAAAAAAAAATTGAGAGAACTTATATCAGATATTTTGGCTTCCCAAATTGTGCTTAGAAACAAGAGAAGGGATTTGTTTAGACAGCCTTTTTCTGAATTCAAAGGTGCGGAGGTAATAATGACTTGTGATAAAAAGTAAGAAAAACCTTGATTAGCTGCACAACTTTGGACAAGTCTCCTCCAAATCCCCTTCTCCTCACATGTGAAATGGGAGTTAAAATCATTGCCTTGCCTTTCTCATGGTTTTGATTATTAGGAGACTCAAGTAGGAAAGTATATGATAAAAGCATTGGAAAACACAAGTACTGTGGTAGGCCCTCAACTTAAGTTATTTAACATTATCTTTACATCAACTCTATGATATAAGTAAGAAAGCTGACTTGGGGAGGTGAGTAGTTTGCCCAAAGTCACACTAGGTAGTGACTGTCTGGGCTAGAACTCAAATCCACATTTCCTGTTACCAAAGCCCAAGCTGTTAACTATTATACTGTACTATTTATTGTTATAAGTCCCAAAATATTTTAAAATTTAATTTTCCATCTTATATATTCTTATACCAAAACACTTATTAATCAAAGAGCTTAGAAAAAATATTTTAGATAGAAATTTTTTTTTTGTTTTTTGTTTTTTTGAGACAGTCTTGCTCTGTCACTCAGGCTGGAGTGCAATGGTGCAATCTCGGCTCACTGCAACCTCCGCCTCCTGGGTTCAAGTGATTCTCCTGCCTCAGCCTCCTGAGTAGCTGGGATTACAGGCGCCCACCATCATGCTCAGCTAATTTTTGTATTTTTAGTAGAGATGGGGTTTCGCCATGTTGGCCAGGCTGGTCTCGAACTCCTGACCTCGGGTGATCCGCCTGCCTTGTCCTCCCAAAGTGCTGGGATTACTGGCGTGAGCCACCGCACCTGGCCAAAAAAAATGTTTTATTCTGATTGTATTCATTCAAAATTTAATGTTTCTAGCAATGATTCAACAAAATCCAGTACAGCTTAAAGACATAATTTTATGGTTTTCACTGAATATTTGTGAATAAAAATTTAGTGAAGAGGAATGTTTATCTCATGTACTGCACCTTTTTTTTTGGTATTCGGTGTTTTTCCAGTTCTTATAAATATGTATTTTTTTCAAATCTAATTCACTATCATTTAATTTGTGAGTAGTGAAGTAGGAACTAGGAGTTATACTTTCCCTTAAGGATGGAGGATGTTTAGGTTTAGAAGAAATATCTTTTGCTTCAGTATTTTTGGAAGATTGCTATGTAGCAAGAAGGTGATCTCTAGCTATAAAAGATGAAAAACATAGACAGCTAGTAATTTGGATAGATTGTTTACTTACACTATATACAAATGCCATTTATCTGTTTATTTTATTTTATTTATTTTTTGATATGGGGTTTCCCTCTGTCACCCAGGCTGGAGTGCAGTGGTGCAGTCTCAGCTCACTGCAACCTCTGCCTCCTGGGTTTAAGCAGTCCCCCTGTCTTAGCCTCCTGAGTAGCTGAGACTACAGGTGTGCCTCACGTAATTTTTATATTTTTAGTAGAGATGGGGTTTCACCATGTTGGCCAGGCTGGTCTCAAACTCCTGGCCTCAAGTGATCTGCCTGTGTTGGGTTCCCAAAGTGCTGGGATTACAGGTGTGAGGCACTGTGTTCGGCTCCATTTATCTGTTTAAACAGTACCCTCCACAGGCATTCTTTTTTTGTCCTTACTATAACCATTTGGAATAAGGATAGTATTCACTCCTATGTACAGATGAGAAAAGTGAGGCTTCATCCACAGCTGGTGAAAAACTCCACTAGGACTTGAACCTAAGTCTTCTAATTACTTTCCATGAGACTGAAGGCAACTATTATTATTATTATAGTTAAAACACAAAGCAAATATTATCAGCTACACATACAGAAGCATGTAGATATAAGGAGATTAACTTGATCCTTAGTAAGTCTGTGAAGAAATGGAGAAACATGTCTCTTTGTCAAGAAAAGCGAGAGTTACTGGTTTAAAAAGTAGTAAATACTTTTTCATTTGCTGTCGTTTGGAACCAGTTAAAGCCTAGTGAAATATGATTACTTTTTTTTTTAAAAAAAATGAATTTTAGTTTGCTTCTTAATACTTTTAGAGCTCTGGGAATACCAGTAACAGATCATACCTATGAAGACTGCAGATTGATGATTTCAGCAGGACAGCTAACATTGCCTATGGAAGCTGGGCTGGTGGAATTTACTAAAATTAGCCGAAAATTGAAGTAAGTGTATTTTAAAATGACTACACTTTCATAAAGTTGTCCAAAAGGGATCTGAAATCCTGTTTATTTTCTCCTGCTTTATTAATGCTCAGCTCTAGTTCCCATTTGGTGTATATTAGGAAAGTCAGAGTTGAGAATTTATCTCACATTTTATTCATCTACTTTTGCTTTTTCAAGAACAGTTAACTCAGAGATATGTGCATTGGTCACAGGAGGAGACCAAGGGATAATAAATGTGGATCCACACAGATCTGCCTCCCTACTCAGAGGGAGTTAGTGGCTCAGAGAAGTTAGTCCTGCCACCTTCTTACAAGGACAGCATCATTAGATGATACTGGCATGTGGTAGTCAGAACTTCACATGTGAAACATGAATTGATTTGTATAGTTGCAATTCTTACCACCACTGAACATTAAATACTTGCCCTAGATCTGCCTTTTTTTCTGGATACCTATTTTTTAAAAAAAAGGCAAAAATCTTCTTCCTGCTCTTTTGATCTAGTTTAAACCATTGAGAACATTCTTGTTGAGCTTTTCGCTATAAAAGGTGTAACCCTCAACCTCCCTCTACCCTTACTGCAGTTCATTCTGTTCTCAGCCCTAACTGGAATTTGCAGAATTTATTAATTAACATCCTGTCTATGAAGGAGCTGAAGAACCAGTTACTATATCAAAGTTCAGTATTAAAGTATAATATTTTGATAACTGATATAGAAAATATTATTTATATTGTAAGATAATAAAAATGTTTTGCTTTTGTTTGCATATTATAGTTACAATGTTCTGTAGATTTAAAAAGTTTAGTTAGTCACTGAAATTGGGCTAAGAATATATGTTAGGTCATTAGTTTAATTCAACAAAGCAAAGATAGGCTATGATGTAAGCTACAGTACATTTTCCAGTGTTTTATCACCGTAGTTTTTCATAACTAATCTTGGAGGACATGTGTATAGTCTAATGAATCCCCCTATCATAACATTTTGTGAAATATGAATTCATTATCAGCCTGAAAGCTTCTTGAAAGCAAGAATTGTTATTTCATCTTTAAAAACTTAATACAGACTATGGACTCACTAAGTAATGTTTAGATTTAAAATATTTGCTTTCTTATTTTCTTCTCATGAATAATTTATTATTCCACTACAATGTTCTTCTTTTCATATACTTTTCTTTCCCTGAGATATTTGAGATAATTGTTAGTTATACAAGTATCCTTTAAAAGATTAAATGCGGGCCGGGCGTGGTGGCTCACACCTATAATCCCAACACCTTGGGAGGCCGAGGCAGGCGGATCACGAGGTCAATAGATCGAGACCATCCTGGCCAACATGGTGAAACCCCATCTCTCCTAAAAAATACAAAATAAAAGATTAAATGCCTGCATATATGTTGAATATGTGCTTTTAAGTACCTATTTTATTCTCCTTTACAAATTTAACACTTAAAATATTTTTCTCCCAGATACATTAATAAAATAATGATCATAAAATGTGCATGTGAATTGTAAAGGGCTAATAACATGTATCTATAATTCTTTGTTTGTTTAGATTAGATTGGGATGGTGTTCGTAAGCATTTGGATGAATATGCATCTATTGCGAGTTCCTCAAAAGGAGGAAGAATTGGAATTGAAGAATTCGCCAAGTATTTAAAGTTGCCTGTTTCAGATGTCTTGAGACAACTTTTTGCACTCTTTGACAGGGTATGTTAAAATTTAATCTTTCACATTTTTACTCTGTCAGTCCTACAGTGAGTAAATCAATATGGTAGGCAATTTGAAAAACTTGATAGGTCAGTGTTAGAAGAATCAAGGCTGAGCCTATGGTTTAATTGCATGATTTTGTTTTTTTCTCCTTAATAGTAATATTAATAATTGTGTGTGTGTATTGTAACATTTATTATACTGTCATATATAATAAAATATCATATCATATCATATCATATATATATCTATTATTTTAGTGTAATATGATATAATGTATGTATCTATTATTTTAAATACCAGGTCAGAAATAAATATTGTGACCATATAACCACATTTGTGGTATGGAACTGGAAGAGTTTATATCATTGGCAGGAATTTTAAAATTTATATCAAAACTCATACATTGATGACATGGGTGTTTAGAATTTTATTCTGAAGGTTTTAGACTTCCACAAACCTGTATGAAGACCAAATAGATTTTTATTTTCAAGTGACATTTTGTAACAAAGATTTTAATTAAAATCTGGCCATTTGCCATTATATTAGGGATACAGTTTGCTGCTTATGAATATTTAAGGACATGCAATTAGATAATTGAACTGTCAAAAAGTTTCCCTAGGAAAACTGTTCACAACTTCAGGTTTTCTATTTTTTAATTTGTGTTTTAATATATAAAATTGATAGTATACAGAAATTAGCCAGGCATAGTGGTGCACACCTGTAATCCCAGCTACTCAGGAGGCTGAGGTGGGAAGATCACTTGAGCCCAGGAGGCGAGGTTGCAATGAGCCAAGATCATGCCACTGCATTCCAGCCTGAGCAACAGAGCAAGACCCTATTCTCAAAAAAAAATTGATAGTAAAATGCACTCTTTTGGTTACAGTTCTATGAATTCTAACAAATGCACAGAAGCATGTAACTACCACTGCATTCAAGATACACAACAGTTGAAAAAATATATATATTTTCTTGCAGCTATTCCATTTGTAGTCAAGCCCTTCCCCCAGTTTTAAGTCCTGGCAGCCAGTGATCTGTTCTCCATCAATATAGTTTATCTTTTTCCAGATGTCATATAAATGGAATCATACAGTATATAGTTTTTTGAGTATGGCTTCTTTCACCAAGTATAATGCATTTGAGATCCAGGCATGGTGTTTTATAGATCAATAATTAATTCCCTTTCATTGCTGAGTAGTATTCAATTGTATAGATGTACCATAGTTACTTTATCTATTCCCTAGTTGAGGAATATTTGGTTTGTGTACAGTTGGGGGCAAATGTGACTATAGCTGTCATTCTAAGAATTTGTATATAGGTTATTATATAAATGTAGGTTTTCATTTCATTTTACTTGGGTAAATACTTAAGAGTAAGAACCCTTTGTTTTATCTTATTTGAGAATTACCTTGTTTTGCATTCATTCTGAAGGATATTTTTGTTGTACAGGCAGGTCTTAGAGATGTTTGGGGTTTGGTTCTAGCACTGCAATAGAGGGAGTATCACAATAAAGTGAGCCATATGCAGTTTTTGTTTTCCCAGTGCATAGAAAAGTTTATTTATAATATACAGTAGTCTAGTGAGTATGCAATAGCATTATGTCTAAATAAACAATGTGTATACCTTAATTTAGAAACCCTTCACTGCTAAAAAATGTGAGCAATCATCTGAGCCTTCAGCAAGTTGTAATCTTCTTGCTGATGGATTGTCTTGCCTCAGTGTTGATGTGTGCTGACTCATCAGGATGGTAGTTGCTGAAGGCTGGGCTGGTTGTGGCACTTTAAAAAAATAAGACAACAATGAAGTTTGCTGCATTGATAGACTCTTCCTTTCATGAAAGATTTCTTTGTAGGCTGGGTTCAGTGGCTCATGCCTGTAATCCCAGCAGTTTGGGAGGCCAAGGTGGGTGGATTTCCTGAGGTCAGGAATTTGAGAACAGCTTGACAGTTGAACAGGTGAAACCCTGTCTCAACTAAAAATACAAAATTAGCTGGGCATGGTGGTACATGCCTGTAATCCCAGCTACCTGGGAGGCTGAGGCAGGAGAATTGCTTGAGCCTGGGAGGCAGGGGTTGCAATGGGCCGAGATCATGCCATTGCACTCCAGCTGGGCAACAAGAGCGAAACTCCATCTCAAAAAAAAAAAATTATTTTTGTAGTATTCGATGCTATTTTGTAACATTTTACTACAGTAGAACTTCTTTCAAAATTGCTGTCAGTCCTCTCAAACCCTGTCATTGCTTTATCAACTAAGTTCATGTAACAGTCTAAATCAATTGTTGTCATTTTAACAATGTTCACAGCATCTTCATCAGGAGTAGTTTCCATTGCAATAAACCACTTTCTTTGCTCATCTATGAGAAGCATCTTATCCATTCAAGTTTTATCATGAGATTGCAGCAATTCAGTCACATCTTCAGCCTCCATTTTTAATTCTAGCTCTCTTGCTATTTCCACATCTGCATTTACTTGCTCCACTGAGGTCTTGAGCCCCTCAAAGTCATCCATAAGTGTTGTAATTGGCTTCTTCCAAACTCCTGTTAATATTGATATTTTGACCTCCTTCTATGAATCATGAATGTTCCTAATGGCTTCTAGAATGGTGAATCTTTTCCAAAAGGTTTTCAATTTACTTTGCCCAAATCCACCAGAAGAATCACTAGCTATGGCAGCTATGGCCTTACAGCATTTCTTATGGCAGCTATAGCCTTATAGCATTTCTTAATAAGGCTTCAAAGTTGAAATTACTCCTTGATCTATGGGTGGCAGAATGGATGTTGTGTTAGCAGGCATGAAAACAACATTAGCCTATTTCTATATCTCCATCAGAGCTCTTGGGTAACTAGGTGCATTCTCAGTGAGCAGTAATATTTTGAAAGGAATCTTTTTTTCCTGAGCAGTAGGTCTCAACAATGTTCTTAAAATAATCTTTAAATCATCCTATGAACAAATGTGCAGTCATCCAGGCTTTGTTGTTCCATTTATAGAACACAGACAGAGTAGATTTAACATAATGTTTAAGGGCCCTTGGATTTTCAGAATGGCAAGTGAGCATTGACTTCAACTTAAAGCCACCCACTGTATTAGCCCCTAACAAAAGGATCAGCCTGTCTTTTGAAGCCTTGAAGCCAGGCATTGATTTCTCTCTAGGTATGAAAGTCGTAGATGGCATTTTCTTTCATTAAAAGGCCATTTCATCTGCATTGTCATCAATTATCTTAGCTAGATTTTCTGGATAACTTGCTGCAGCTTCTCCATTAGCACTTGCTGCCATACCTTGCACTTTTATGTTATGGAGACAACTTCTTTTCTTGAACCTCATGAACCAACCTCTGCTAGCTTCAATCTTTTCTTCTGCAGCTCCCTCACCTCTCAGTCTTCACAGAATTGAAGAGAGTTAGAGCCTTATTCTGGATTAGGCTTTGGCTTAACAAAATGTTGTGGCTTTGACCTTCTATCCAGACTATTCAAACTTTCTTCATAACAGCAATAAGACTGTTTCACTTTCTTATTATTTGTGTGTTCACTGGGGTAGCACTTTTAATTTTCAAGAACTTTCCTTTGCATTCACAACTTGGCTGTTTGATGCAAGAGACCTAGCTTTTGGCCTGTCTGGGCTTTTGACATGCCTTCCTCACTAAGCTTAATCATTTCTAGCTTTTGATGTGAAGTAAGAAATATGCAACCATTTATTTCACCTGAACACTTAGGGGCCGTTGTAGTGTTATTACTCGGCCTAATTTCAGTATTGCTGTGTCCAGGGAACAGGGAGGATCAAGGAGAGGGAGCAAGACTGGGAATGGCCAGTCAGTCCATGGAACAATCAGAACACACACATTTATCAATTAAGTTTGCCATCTTACATGGGCAGAGTTTGTAGTGCTCCAAAACAATTATAATAGTAGCATCAAAGATCACAAATTATAGATCACCATAGCAGATATAATAATAATAAAATTTTTTGAAATATTAGGAGAATTATCAACACGTGACATGAAGACATGAAGTGAGCACGTACTGTTGGAAAAATGGCACTGATAGACTTGCTCATACAGGGTTGTTACAAATCTTCAAATTGTTACAAAAAATACATTGTCTGTGAAGTGCAGTAAAGCAAAGAACAATAACATGAGATATGCCTGTATGTAGAATTCTGAGTTGACTGTTCTTTTCTTTTAACAGTTTAATAATGTCTTACTTTAAGTGGCCTCCATGGTTTTGCAGCCTTACTAGTTGTTCTTCAAGTTTTGACTTTCCTCACCAATCCTCCTCTTATGGTATTTTGTCCAGAGGTAGTTGCTTATTGTATTTTGTTCAAAGTTGCCAGTTATAGTCGAGAATGATAGGCTGGCTAAAGATTCCATCCATCTTGGTGTGTAGCAACAGTTCCAGTTTTATATTTACTATTGGGAAAAAAAGTAGTTTGTAAAGAAAACATGGTTTGATGACCGAAATAACCAGGGCTTTTTTCTTTTTTCCCAGAGCACACTAAATTCTTCTAATGACTTATTCTGTGATCTCATAGATGAACTATTCTTTAACAAGATGCTGTTAAGCAACCTTCTTTTAGGTGTAGTGCCTGGACTTCTCTTCTGGGCTTGCATGCAGCATACAAATAATCTGTCATCATCTATGAAATACTAATGTATGACTGCAGCAGTACTACTATAAAGTGCAATGAAGATTTAGGGGAAGAAAGAAGTAAATTATTGTTTATTTGTTTTTTTCTTGAGACTGAATGTCACTCTGTCACCCAGGCTGTAGTGCAGTGGCATGATCTCAGCTCACTGCAACCTGTGCCTCCCGGGTCCAAGTGATTCTCCTGCCTCAGCCTCCCAAGTAGCTGGGATTACAGGCATTCGCTCCTACACCTGGCTAATTTTTATATTTTTAGTAGAGACAAGGCTTCACCATGTTGGCCAGGCTGGTCTTGAACTCCTGACCTCAGGTAATCCACCCAACTTGGCTTCCCAAAGTGCTGGGATTACAGGTGTGAGTTACCACACCAGCCACAAGTAGATGATTGGATGTAACTGCGCAAGTTGGAAAATTAGAGGTACCTTTTTACTTGTATGATTACTAATATTTCTGAGATTTATATAGCATTTTCCACTATGGTTTTAGAAACCATGCAAGTAATTTTAAATAAAATGTATGTATATATGAAACTAGTGACGGGAAGGAATATGGCAGGGATGTACAAACCAGGACAGGAGATAGGGAAATAGGAAGGGACATGAAACAGGGACAAAGAACGAAGTTTATAGCATATCTTAGACATTGTGCTCATCAGGATTTTTAATCAAAATTAAAAATAGTATCTGTAGAGCTTTCCCTGTCCTTCAGGTGTCAAACTATTATAGCTAGCAGTTACAGAATTGTTATGACACCAGGGCCGGGCGCGGTGGCTCACGCCTGTAATCCCAGCACTTTGGGAGGCCGAGGTGGGCAGATCACGAGGTCAGGAGATCGAGACCATCCTGGCTAACACGGTGAAACCCCGTCTCTACTAAAAATACAAAAAAAATTAGGTGGGCGTGGTGGCTGAGGCAGGAGAATGGTGTGAACCCAGGAGGCGGAGCTTGCAGTGAGCCGCGATTGCGCCACTGCACTCCAGCCTGGGCGACAGAGCGAGACTCCGTCTCAAAAAAAAAAGAGAAAGAATTACTGTGACACCAGTTCTGTCTTTTGATGATTGATGATACCTGCCAACACCCTCATTGTTTGTACAGCACTGTTAACTATAGGAGGATTTGAGTGGGGAAGGGGATATAAACCAAAGATTAAAATAACTGCCAGCTAGCTGATTGACTAACTCATACTAGAGATAACAATTGGCCCAGGCAGTTGGAAGACTGGTGAGCCTTTGCAGCCTATTTGGTTACCGCATTTTCGCATGAACTGATTTGGTAGGCTGACATATTATTTTATAATTGTGGGGCTTTTTTTGATGTTGTTTGTTTGTTTGTTTTACTTCTTTGTATGATATGTCTGAGGTTTAGATATAAACCGTAACTGTTCTTCAAAGCACTTTTCTTTTGATCTCCAACATACTGGAAGGTAGAGAAAATAGTCTGGAGAATTAATGATTAATGCATTTTCACCTTTCTTTCCTTCCTTTTTCCTTTTTTCCTTTCTCTATCTCTGTCTCTCTATCTCTCTGTCTCTGTCTCTCTCTCTCTGTCTTCTTCTCTCTCTCTCTCTTTCTGTTCTGAACACACCTGAATGTCTGTGCCTGTGAAGATTTACTTTGTTTTGAGAAGCTGAATTGTGCAATTGATGCCACACCTTATACACATACCCACTTTCCATGCTAGGCTTGTTTTCTCAGTCTCTGTGAGTGATTTAGCAGAGGGAAGTTTGATGGGAAAGGCAAGAAATTTCAGCAGCTCCATAGTTTGTTTCTCTCAGGGTAGTTTATCTTGCTAAACTAAGTACACAATGGGAGGAAGGATGGGAAAGAGAAAAGGTAAGGTGTCCCTGTTGCTCTTTCAGCAGCTAGAAATTCCTGTAGTGGAAAATGCTCCCATAAGCCCTTCCCATGTTCCCTTCCCACTTTATCCTCCTTTCCCCCTTTCTTCTTTTCTTTTCTTATCTTTCCTCAAGTCTAGTGCTATTGTGGTTGGCATTTGGGGGATGGAGGGAAAACCTCAATATCTCTCCACCATTCTTTTACTTTTTCTTCCCACCTGCATTCTTGGTTCGTCTACAAAAACTTCATAATGGTTTTTGTCTCAATTTATCCTACAAAAATATGCTATTGGCTCCTTCTAACATGTCTTTACATTCTCAGATATTTGATGGCAGACAGTTTGAAGGCCCAACAAAAATGTGGTATTCATGATCCAAAGCATGGCATAGTTCACTAGTTTGGGATAATTTCCTTTGGAAAGGTCTCACATCTTTGAAAAACAAAAAAGACCCTTTCCGTCTTTGGGTTTAATTTCGCTTCTTTATTTTCATGAACTTGTTCTTAACTCTCTGCTTCACAGTTTCATTGGGGATTAGTTAAATGTCCAGATGAGTGAGAGCTAAGAGCTTAAACAATGGTTTAAAACAATGACTTCTCAACATTTTATATGTTTATAATTCAGATTAAGAGTAGACGTTATGCCAGCACACTTGAAGGGATTCAAAGACACTTAACAAGATTAGGAAATTTTTACACTGGCTAAATCAGAAGTAATTATAGCACAATCATTTTTACAGTTATAACAATGTCTTGCAATGTCCAAACAGCATCATTGTTCATTTCATCCTCCTTCAGCACCACATTATTCAGCAGTTGTATGCTGCCCTGGCAGCGGTATCTTCTGTACCTATAAAACAGTTCTCACATATTTCTGTAAGCACATAATTTTTTTTGCAAACTTGCCAATATACCATATTATCTGCCTCTTACCTCCTACCACAAGCAAGTCATATCTCTTCCACACTACATCTCAAGATGCATTCATCTTAATTTTCTATCTAACACTGTCACCATACTCAATAGCAGCAAAGCTATATTTCAGTCAGGAAACTTTTTCTGTAAAGGACCAGATAGAAAATAGTTTTGACTTTGCAGACCACATGGTGTCTGTTACAACTATTCATCTCCACTATTATAGAGCAGAAATGGCCATAAAAATACATAGATGAATAGCATGACTATGTCCCAATAAAACTGTATTTGCAAAACAGGCCCAGATTGGATTTGGCCCACCAGCTGTAGTTCGCTGGTCCCTACTGTATTTCCTAAGCTGATGAAAACAAAGCATGCTCATAGGTTTAAGAACTGGATTGAAGGATTACTACAAGTCACTATAAGTCTGACTTATAGTGATTGTTATTAATTTGTGGGTATTCTACATCTGATTTAAAGGGATCACTAAGACTCTTTATTATTGACTAATCTGTCTAGCTCTTGTTACTATCCTCCCATAGTTGTAAGTAGTGGTGTATCATTCATCTTCACAGATGAAAGGAAAAGAGTGAGGAAATTGATTTCTAATTCTGAGCTGTAGCCTGGCATTAGCTCACTTTCTCTTTTTACCAACACCATTATGTGCATCATAGATTATTCCTTAGTAAAATTTAGATAGGTGATTATGATTTCCATTCTGTAAGAAATTTAACAATGGTCATGATTTTTCCCATTTCTGCTCCTAACAAGTACTTAGTTCTTCTGGCATTACTATGTACTTTGTTTAAATACTGGACAGGAAAAGTTTGTGTATACTTTAGCACTTTGGCAATCCAGCCTTCTTAGCTATTGTAAACTTCTGTAGATGTTTTATTACTGTTTCACATTATGTGGAATGAATGTGTTTCTTTATTCCAAGTTTTTCCTGTCTGCCCTGTTCTTGTTCTTGGTATTAGTTCAAGTGTTAAATCTTGAGTGCCAATAATAACAAACATCCTTGCCTGCCCCTTCCTGTTACAGAATGTAGGGTGCTGTAGTGTGCAGGTTTTCTGCTCATGCTGAGAGTTAGGACAGGGCACTTAGGTGGCTTAAATGACTGGAAACAAACAGTAAAGTCTTCTATATTTTAAGTTTCCAGTTAACGTTTTATATGTAATACAGTATTTCATAATTCACATGAAAAGAACCATTTTGATTCCAATCCCAGTTACTCAGGATTTGCTATATGAAGTCTATTCCACAACTTATATGATACAATTTGAAAAAAAAAAAAAAAAGGCTACAACTTTCTGAGTGTGACACATAAACTTTTCTATTCAGTTGTATAAGCTGCCTTGAAAGTTTGGTTCTATATGTCTGAGTATTTCCCTATTCAATTCTCAGGTTCACTTAGCTCCTCCATTTAGTCCATCACAGTATTTTCTATGTCTGAGTGTAGTTAACTAAAATGTCCATTTAGACATGAGAATTATATGCTTTACTTTTGGCTTCTCAATGCAAGTATACTTGGGAGATGCACAGAGGAAACAGAAAGGAGACTGTAAAATTAAAATGTAACTTTTTAAACTAGAGCAAGGGAGTAATTAGTGGCCTCCTCCAAGAGCACAAGGAAGTAAAGAACAAGGCTTTGTAAAAAGAAAATTGTGTCAGACCAATTTAAATTCCCTCTATGACAGAGTGACAGTCCAAGATGATAAGGAAAACCAAATAGATTTCATCTGTATGGACTCTAGAAAGGCTTTTGATTTCATCCAACATGACATTCTTATCAACAAATTAGGAAGGTCTGGTCCAGATCATATTGCAGTTAGATGAAGGCCCCACTTGACAGAAAGGCTTCATCTAAAGTGGGAGTTGTGAGTCCTTCTGTGTTATTCTAGACGAGGTTCAGTTCCCCTTGGAATTCTGTTTGGAAAGCAACATACTTAATAGGTTGCAGTCACCACACAATATGTCAAAGTGGGAATAAGGGTAAGTGAGCATGTCTTTAAAAGTTGTAGAACCAGACCCAGATAAAGAAAGATTAAATTAAATTAACATATAGCATAAAAAGGTATAGGCACCAGAAGGAAACTAAATACAAGAATGATGTTGCTGTCACAAATCTAGATTCACAGAATTGTAGAGCTAAACAGACCTTTGGGTATCAAATTGCCCATCTTCTTCATTTTGCAGAAGATTGCCAGCTCAAGAGAGGAAGTTACATGCCCAAGGCCACACAGCTGGTTAATTGCAGGACTGAGACTAGAATTCCTAGTTTGGTATTCTTTTTTACTACAAACTGTCACTATTTTTAAAAAATAATTCTCTTGAGGCATATTTTACATATCCTAATTCACCCAAGTATACAATTCAATAATTTTTTTTTTGTAAATTTACCAAGTTGTGCAGTCATCAACTTTCAAGCAGTTTTAGAACATTCCCATCACCCCAGTATGATTTTTTATGTCATTAACTGTTAGTTCCTGTCACCTACTTATCCCCTAGCCCTAGGCAAGCACCAATCAACTTTCTATCTGTATAGATTTGCCTTTTCTGGACATTTTATATAAATGGAATCCTATAATGTATGTCTTTTGTGTCTGGCTTCTTTCACTTAGCATAATGTTTTAAGGTTTATCTATCTTGTAGCATGTATCAGTCATCATTTTATTGCCAAATTGTATTCTTTTATGTGGATATATCGTATTTTGCTTATCCATTTGCCAGTTGGTAAACATTTAGGTTGTTTCCATTTTTGGACTATTTTGAATAATGTTTTTAATAACATTGTGTCTCATTGTGTACTTTTTAAGTCTAATAACTTTGTTCCCCAAATTGGGACTAAATTATCCATCAGATGTGGCTTCTTCCCCTCCTATACTTTTTTTTTTTTTTTGCAGATATGGATGGTAGAGTTCCCACAGACAGCAATTAAGGTTGCTATTAATGTTCTAATAAATAGCCATAGGGGATTAAATCATCCAGAGGAGAAAAAGCTTGTTAATCTAATAATAGTCTTTTATTCTATGATGGCTTATGAGAAACTGTTAGCCAAATGCCCTCCATCTTCACGGAAAATAAATGAGAAGAATTGGATTTAAACCACAGCAAAAAAACACTTCAGATGGGCACAAGGAGGCACATTTTATATGACAGTCGATATTATCAAGTTAATTTGCAATATTATAAAAACAAAGTTCATGTAATTTTCTCTGAGAGAAGCTTATATGAATGGGTTTAAATCTGTCTAAAGCCAGATGGCCCCTTGTGATTCCCTAAAAGGAAGAGAGTTCTTTTGTGATACTTTTGCTGAGTAGTTAAAGAAGACATTTGGTTTTTGGTGTTCACAGAGGCCATTTCATTGTGCCTATGAGAAATAAAATCAGTTGTTGGAAAGTTTTACACAAACCACTCAGTGTGGCAGAAGACAGGACATTGCTCTCATGTCCTAGACAGAGCGATGTCCCTTGGCTACTATTCTCTCCCTAATAATAGCTAGAATAATCATTATTCAGTTCTAGAATTACATAATTTCCAAAGTAATTTCACATCTAATCTCCTTTTGACTTTACATTTGAGCTGTCAGTAGTTTCTACAATTACTTGTGAGAGAGACTCTGCCACATAGCAGTTCAAACCCCCTTCCAATCTGATTCCATTTTATTGATCTCCCTTTATCTCTCATCACTCCTAGCAATAGAGTCTCATCTCATTGTACTATTCACCATCTCTTGAATACCTCATATCCTTTAGCTCTTCTGTGTTTTTGCTAGACTGTCCTTTTATATCCCTTATCTATTTGGAGAACTCTGAGACTCAGCCTGTAGTCAGGCCTACACATGATCTCTTCTATAGGTAAATGTTCTCCTTTCCTTTGCCTCAGTAGAATTCATTGATCCCTTTTTGTGTGCCTATACTTGTTTGATATCATAGGACAGTGTACTAGCTGCGTGACCTTGGATAACTAGCTTAACTTTTCTGAATTTTTCTTACCTTATCTAAAATACATTTGTATCTTTCAGAGGAATTCAATGAAACCTAAATACTAAAACATATATATACAAATATAATAGATTAGTATTGATAGTAGAAATGTGAACACAGACTTCATATTATAATTATACCAGTTTCCTGTAGTTCTACTTGATTTTTGAGCACAGCCATCCTGCTTTATTCACCTTTGTAACCTAAGTACTGAGCCCAAGTCCTGATACATAATAAATCAGATTGAATCATTTGAAGTAAGCAAGGGCGATATTATTATTATCATTTTGTAGATTCGAAATTGAGACCCCCAAATGCTAAGTAATATAATGACTTAATCATTAAGTCCTAGCTACTTTTCCCCAAGTTCCCCAGTAGAACTTCCAATAACCTCTGGAGGACCTGTACTCTGACTATAACTAGTATTAAAGGTAGGATTTCTCAAAGTATTATCCAGGCTACCTGTTACAGACTGACTTCTGAAGATGCTTATTAAAAATATAAAATCAAATCTCAAAAATATACTGTTGAGGGGGGAAAAAGCTAGACACATAAAACCAGAAATGAAAGAGAAGACATTGCTACCAATTTTACAGAAATAAAAAGGATGATGAGTGAGTACTACGAACAACTGTATGCCAACAGATTGCATAAGCTAGATGAAATTGTCAAATTCCTACACAACCTACCAAGACTGAATCATGAAGAAGTAAAACATATGAATAGACCTATAACTAGCAAAGATATTGAATCAGTAACCAAAAACCTCCCAACAAAGAAAAGCCCAGGACCAGTTGGCTTCACTGGAAAATTCCACCAAACATTGAAAGAAGTACTAACACCAGTTCTTTTCAAACTCTTCCAAATAATTAAAGAAGAGGGAATACTTTCTGATTCATTCCATGAGGCCAAAGTCAGATAAAAACACTTGGAGAGAAGAAAACTACAGACCAATATGCCATATGAACATGGATGCAAAAATCAACAAAATACTAGCAAACACAATTCAACAGCACACTAAAAGTATTATACACCATGATCAAGTGGGATTTATTCCTGGAATGCAAGATGGTTCAATATATGAAAATCAATTAATGTAACACAGCATATTCTCAGAATGAAGGGGAAAAATCACATGATCATCTTAACAGATGCAGAAAATGCATTTGACAAAATTCAGTACTCTTCCCTGATAAAATCACACAACAAACTAGAAGGAAAGTGCCCCAACATAATAAACACCATATATGAAAAGTTGATAGCTAACATTGTGTTCAGTGATGAAAAGACTGAAAGCTTTTCCTCTAAGATCAGGAATAAGACTAGGATGCCCACTCTCATGCTTCTACTAACATGGTATTGGAAATCATCGCGAGAACAGTTAGGCAAGAAAAAGAAATAAGAGGCATATGAAATAGAAAGGAAGAAGTAAAATTATCTCTGTTAACAAATGATATGATCTTATTTGTAGAAAACCCTAAAGATTACCCCTCACACATACAAAACACAGAACTAATTAAGGGACTTAGCAATGTTACAGGATATGAATCAACACACAAAAATCAGTTGCATTTTATACACCAACAATGAACAATTCTGAAAAGGAAACTAAGAAAACAATTCCATTACAATGGCATAGAAAAAATTAAAATACTTAGGAATAGACTTCAAGAAGGAAGCTAAAGACTTGTACACTGAAAACTACAAAGCACTGCTGAAAGAAATTGAAGAAGAGACAAATAAATGGAAAGATATTCCATGTTTATGGATTAGAAGACAATATTAAGAGTCAGTACTTCCCACAGTGATCTACAGATTTAAAGCAATCCTTTTCAAAGTCCCAATGTTTCTTTACAAAAATAGAACAATCAATCCTAAAATTCATAGGGAATTTCAAGGGACACTGAATAGCCAAAACAATCTTGAAAAAGAATAGCAAAGTTGAAAGCCTGACATTTCCTCATTTCAAACCTTACTTCAAACCTACAGTAATCAAAACAGTGCAGCACTGGTTTCAAGAAAGACATATAAGCCAATGGAATAGAATAGAGATCCCAGAAGAAACCCTTGTGTATATGGTCATATGATTTTCAGCAAGAATGCCAAAACCATTCAATGGGGAAAGGACGGTCTTTTCAACAAATAGTGCTGGGAAAATTATATATCCACATGCAAAAGAATGAAGTTGGACCCTTAACTTACACATATACAAAAGTTAACTCAAAATGGATCAAAGATCTAAACATAAGAGCTGAAACTATAAAACTCTTCAGTGAAAACAGAGGAAAAGCTTCATGACACTGGATTTCTCAATGATTTCTTGAATATTACGCCAAAAGCACAGGCAGCCAAAGAAAAATAGATAAATATGACCACATACAAATTTTAAACTTTTGTGCATCAAAGGACACTAACAACAGAGTGGAAAGGTAACCTACAGAATGAAAGAAAATATTTACAAATTATATATCTGATAAGGGATTAATATCTAGAATATTTAAAGAACTCCTGCAACTCAACAACAAGAAACCCAACAAATAACCAGATTTTAAAATGGCCAAAAGATTTAAATAGACATTTTTCCAAAGATCTTCTTTGGTCAGTAAGTATTAATACATTAAAAGATGCTCAACATCATTAATCATTAGGGTAATGCAAATCAAAACTACAATGTTATACCACTTTACAGCCATTAGGATGGCTATTATTAGAAAACAAAACAAAAGAGAAAATAACAAGTGTTTGCAAGCATATGGAGTAATTGGAACTCTTGTGTATTGCTGGTGGGGATGTAAGTGGTACAGTCAATAAGGAAAAGCGTATGGTAGTTCCTTAAAAAGATAAAAATAGAATTATCATATGATTCAGCAATTCCACTTCTTGGTATATACCCAAAAGAATTGAAAGCAAAGACTCAAACAAATATTTGTATACCCATGTTCATAGCAGCATTATTCCCAATAGCCAAAAGGGCAACCCAAGTATTCACCAATGGGATAATGGAAAAACAAAATGAGTATATTAATGCAATACAATATTATTCATCATTAGAAAGGAAGGGAATTCTGACACATGATACAACATGGATGAATCTTGAAGAAATTATGCTCATTGAAATAAGCAAGTCACAAAAGAACAAATACTGTATGATTCCACTTATATAAGGCATGCAGAGTAGTCAAATCATAGAGCTAGAAAATAGAGAGATGGTTACCAGGGGTGGGGGAAGGGGAGAATGGGAGTTATTCTTTAATGGGTACAGTTTCAGTTTTGCCAGATGAAAAAAGTTCTGAAGATAGCTGGTGGTGATGGTTTCACAATGCAAATATACTTAATGCCACTGAACTCTATACTTAAAAATGGTTAAAATAGTATATTTTATGGCATGTGTATTTTATCACAATTTTAAAACATTTAACATTTTTATAATGAAAAAGGAATAAATGAAAGAGTCTGTACTGTCTGATTTAATTTATTTAAGGTGCAAAAATAAATCTATGGTGTTAGATGTCAGGACAGTGGTTATCCTTGGAAGACGGAAGTAACTAGAAAGAAGTATGAAGAGGCCTCTGAGATGTGTGCAGTCTGTGAAATTCTTTGAGCTATCCATTTGTGATTTATATGATACATTTTTTACATGAATGTTACATTTCAAAAAAGATTTTAGCAATGTCGATCACAGACACCACAGCAGCCCTATGGAATCAGAATCTCTGGGAGTGGAAATTCAGGACCTTGCATTTTAAAAATCTCCCTTCTAAATTTTTCTTAAGACTACTGGATTTTGAGAATCTTTGCTAAAGGAAGAGGATTAAATATTCTTCCAATGCCCAAGATTTCTTCAATTCTATTCTAACAATAAATATTTCTTAGAGAATAAATTTTTGATTTCCTTGCATCATTTACCTTTTTCCTGTTAGGAAAATGCACATCATTTTTTAGGTGCTGAGACAGAGGACTAAGAAATCAATGACATAAAAATGCATACTTTAATATTTTTTCTTTAAAACTATTATCCTAAGGTGTCCTACATACTATAATTTATAAGTATCTGGAAGAGTGAAAACAATTTTATTGAGGCCTTGTAAAATATGGCAGGTGCTAGGACCTCATGGAACTCAGGTATCTTCAGTAGGATGTGAAACATCACATCATGGGGCGTGGTGCAGTGTAAGCAGGTAAAGAAAAGCCAGTTCTTCCACATGTAAACTACTTGAACTCCATTTCATCTTTTTTCATACCATCTCTAAGATTGCTGCCGCATTTGCTTGTTAAACTGAAAGCATGTTTCTTGCAAAGGCTCTATTGGAAGGAGCAGATCGAGGTCTTGGAGAAGCTCTTGGAGGCCTCTTTGGAGGAGGTGGTCAGAGAAGAGAAGGAGGAGGAAGAAATATTGGAGGGATAGTTGGAGGAATTGTGAATTTTATCAGTGAGGCTGCAGCAGCTCAGTATACTCCAGAACCGCCTCCCACTCAGCAGCATTTCACCAGTGTGGAGGCCTCAGAAAGTGAGGAAGTTAGGCGATTTCGGCAACAATTTACACAGCTGGCTGGACCAGACATGGAGGTGGGTGCCACTGATCTGATGAATATTCTCAACAAAGTCCTTTCTAAGCACAAAGATCTTAAGACTGACGGTTTTAGTCTTGACACCTGCCGGAGCATTGTGTCTGTCATGGACAGTGACACGACTGGTAAGCTGGGCTTTGAAGAATTTAAGTATCTGTGGAACAACATCAAGAAATGGCAGTGTGTTTATAAGCAGTATGACAGGGACCATTCTGGGTCTCTGGGAAGTTCTCAGCTGCGGGGAGCTCTGCAGGCCGCAGGCTTCCAGCTAAATGAACAACTTTACCAAATGATTGTCCGCCGGTATGCTAATGAAGATGGAGATATGGATTTTAACAATTTCATCAGCTGCTTGGTCCGCCTGGATGCCATGTTTCGTGCCTTCAAGTCTCTGGATAGAGATAGAGATGGCCTGATTCAAGTGTCTATCAAAGAATGGCTGCAGTTGACCATGTATTCCTGAAGTGGGAACTGAGAAGTCAAGATCCTCCCTGGAGGACAGGACTGAAAACCTTGCCAAGCTGTACACAGTTGCTGATACCCTGTGCAACAGCTCTCATTTCCTGGCAAGCTCTTTCACAACCCTACATATTTCTGATCATGTGCTGCCTTTTACTGCTGAATTAAAACAGATATTTCACGAAAAATGTTCTGAGTGGTTTGTATATCAGCTTTTTGAGATTTGGATTTATATGGACTTGCATATATATGGTGGGGAGGTTGTGGGGTAGAGTTCTAATGGAGTAGATTTTAAAAGGTGTTGCTTATTTAGTGAATAAATTCCAAGGAGTAGGAACTTTATTATTGTTGTTATTGTTGTTAAGAATGAATTTTTTTAATCCTAGAATAAATCAAGAAAGCCCTCAGGAGATACATTTTCCATTTTAAAAAGTTGAGGAGAGAGGTTCAAAATCTGTTTTTCTTGTAATTTTATACCTGGTTTTCCCATTATGTAAAAAAATGAAAAGTGCTTTTTAGGAAACTTATTTAACCATAAAGAAACAGGTTCAGACAATGAAATTAAGCAGTTTTATATAAGGGTAGCATTTTTTTAAATGATGGAGCTACTATCTAAAATTCTAAAGTTCTTTAATTCTGTTTCTTTAGTAAAAAAAAGCACTAGCAATTTTGTTTTGATACATTTGTAAAGAGAGTCAAAGACATTGAGGAATAAAACAATATGCTCATAGTTCAAAAATGTCTCTAGCTGCCTTAATGAATCAAAATGTTTGCTCTTACACGTACTTCATACAAAATCAGGCATGCCCTGTTGACGTTAGCCAGCTCTTGTCGTGTCTTGTCCTGCCTTAGAGCAAGGAAAATTCTTTTGTTCATCTTTGAAAACTACAGGCAGGAAATAAGCAGCAAACAAAGAAAAACAAAAAAAGAAAAACACATGAACAGTAATCAGTTAAATGGAATGTAAACCAATATAGAGAACACATATTGCTGACTATTGCAATTATTCTCAGCCCTGGCTGCAATTTGGAATCACTGGGAGAGCTCTTTAGGAATACTAATACTTGAGTCTCCAAATATGTTAAATAAGACTTTTTAGAGGTGGGGCCCAGAGATGAATATGTTTAAAGCTCCCCAAGTGATTCTAATGATCAGCCAAGGTTGACAGCCTTGATTGCTTTGAAGTAGGGCCACCTCACAGTATTTTTCAAGCCTGTCTCAGCCAAAACTAAGGCCATGCAGGAGAGTCAGTGTTGCCAGCATTCAGGAGAAGGAAGATAGAAATACCAAGAAAATGCCACCCAAAAGCTGGGGTAGTTGTGCCTTTCTTGCGTACAGACCTTGGTTTGGCTTTATAATTTTGATAATAGGCTAATATAGCAGAGCAAACAGAATCCAGGATTCCGGTGCCAGTAGACACAGCTAGAGAGGCTACATTTGCAAGTGCTTGGTTCCTCTGTCTGCTATTTAATTGGTCTCTACCCATTCTGCTTCTCTGATTTTTAATGCATTGTCTCTATCCCAGGCTACTTTGGAGGGTCATCCCGAGTTTGCAGATAAATTCTTCCTTCCTCTTTGGACTCATTTAGAAGAAAGTTGTAACTATGGAAATGATGTAACTAGCCTGTTAACATCCCTCAGCTTCCTGTTAGAAATCCCCAGTGAAATGTGGAGAGGTTGGCTTTTGACCTTTGTGTTCACCATCATCACCATCATACAATATTTATGAAACACCACACACATATAATTCTGAACTGAGCCAAGCACAGAGATCACATCCACTTTCCTCAAGGGACTTGTAATTTAACCTTGGTCTGGTGTGCTACTTAGACCAGGTGTGGTTACATAAGAAGGAGGCTGCTGCCAGCAACCACACATTAATAACAATCTCTCTATTTTAGAATAAGTCCAGGAATATGTTAGGCATGGATGTAGTAAAGTAGCCAAGAAAGGGGAAAGCTGCCAGACATCTTTTAAATTCTCAGAATATTAGGTTTATAATTTAACCTTTCCATAGGATGGTTGTGGAAAGAACAATGTAACCACATTTTTGTTCCTCACTTTATTGTAAATGTTTCATAAAAGTTAAAACAATCATCTCACACTAGGAGTGGTATTATTGCCCTTGCTTCTCAAGTTGAGGGATTACCTACTTTTACAATTCTCTTCCAGCATGCTCATGGAAAAACACCCTGAAATTACCTAAGTTTCTCTCCTTTTCTCTTCTGAATTTGTATAAGTAACCTCAGACATCAGAGTGGATACTAGAACTAAAAAATCTGGACTTTTTCCAAGTAACCAAATATTTAGCATTGTGTAGAACCAATAGCCTAGCAAGTGATTGAATTTCTTAGTTTTCATTCAATATTTGATGTTTTAAAGGCACATTTTTAATGTTAGAAGCAATATTTAACTTGACACCTTTTTAAAAATTTGCCTGCTCTATATGCAAGACTATTTATAGCCTAAGATTTATATAATTCATATAACTCCATGCCATTATTCTTAAATTTCTGACATTAAGTAATTTAATCAATGTAAATTGAAAATCATACTCAGTGATAAAAATATGTGAAATTATACATCTACATTTTTAAATTTCAAAAGATCCCATGTGATTTTGAAAAGTAACTTTATCTTGATATAATCCACTAAATTTTATAACCTATAAAAAAGGAAAAAGAATCATGTGCTCTGTAACTATGAACAGCAAACTACCAGAAACATTCAAAATTTTTATGTGATCTTAAAGGTCACTTTAAAAATATTTTTGGGTAGCGGTGCATGTGTTTTTAAAAGTTGGTTTATCTAGCTACCCCAGTCAGAAATCTTATCAGTACTGGCTAGGCATGGTGGCTCATGCCTGTAATCTTAGCACTTTGGGAGGCTGAGGTGGGCTGATTGCTTTGAGCCCAGTAGTTCAAGACTAGCCTGGGCAACATGGCAAAACCCCGTTTCAACAAAAAAATTTAAAAAATCCCCACAACTAGCCAAGCAAGTTGGCGCACACCTGTAGTCCCTGCTACTTGGGAGGCTGAGGCGGAGGATCGCTTGAGCCCGGGGGGTCCAGCCTGAGTGACATAGGGAGACCCTGTCTTGAAAAAACAATTATTTAAAAAAATCTTATCAGTAGTATTAAACAACTACCCGTATAGTGGGGACTTAAAAAATATTTGTGGAGGCACTTACAAAGTATGGATATCTAATGTGCCTACTGATCTTGAAGAACCTTCAGAATTGCTTTTTAAAAATATTTAAGTATATTAAAACAATTTTATTCCTAGAAACTGATTCAATTATGTATATGGGTAGAAATATGCTCTTAGAATATTCAGTTAAATCGAATACTTCTTCCTGTACTCTTCTGTACAGCTCAGAATTTACTGTATTTTAATAATAATACTCCTTTGGATTTATAGAGTATCTCTGACGATGTGAAGACTTTTTTCTGTTGGTTGCTGCCAAGTAAATTCTGTTTTATGTAAACGTTTTAAAATTATTTTGACAACACTGATTATCTCTCATTTACAGGGATGATATATTTCAGTTATAACATCAGAAGGAAAAATAGTCCCTCTTCTTGGGAGTTTATCATTGCAAAATGTATTCAAAACCATATCCTTAAATTTTACTAAACATAAAAAGTTATAAAGAGTATCTAATTCCACATGAATAAAGATGTTGAATAAATTCAACTATGAAACAACTGGAAGGAACTGATACCTGAGAATCAGACACATGAGAATCACCACTTATTTTTTCAAGAGTTTTAAGTGGACAATATTTGAACAAGTAGCCTAGAGCTTCCTGCTGGCCCTGAAAGCTGGTGTTGTGTGACTAAGCAGATGAAAGGTGCTGGGGGGCCATGAGCTCACAGTGACCTCCCCTCACACACACTTCCATGCTTTTCTGATCCTGCTGACTTCCAGGAAAGGGATGGGGCCCACTGTCTGGAGTTTCCATGAGACCATTATCTTTTCTATTTGTACTTACCCAATGTAACTCCTTAGTTCTAACTCTGGACTTCTCTGGGCTCCAGATTAGGACAGGTTATGGAGGGATTACGGCCTCCCTCCAAAGAGCTGGTCTCCTTTGAAATGTGGCCCTGAAATATCTTCAAGTCTGGATTTTTTTTTATTAAGTTTATAATTCTTCCTGGGGACCTCAGTAGGTTTTAAAGAAAAGAACCAAAGATTGTGCAATAATTCTTATCATGATACTGATTTGACATTTAAGAATTAAAAAAATAGTATATTTTGCTGTATAATTTTTATCTGTTTTGGGGTACATTTTATCAAGCTATTTGCTTTAGTAAGCAGCCAGATTATCTAAATTTTAATTGCAGCTATGGCAATAGTGAGTTTTGTGACCTCAAGAGAAACTTTTGTCTCATTTTTTTCATTGGTAAAATGAAGAAGTTGAATGGATGATTTATAAGATTCCTTCCAGTTCTAAATTTTGTTATTCTGAATTTGGAATCTTAACAGTATATTGATTTACTAATCCAATAATATAATCTCTCAGAGTAATTTCCATGCTGCTTTTTCCTTCATATTACTAGGATGAAAAGATTCATATACCCTCTCTTGTGATCATCAAGATTCTTTGTCATTCAAAACCACTCGTATGTTAATGAAATTAGGGGTCCAGAATGTTACCTTGTTCTGTGACTAGTGGTAATGTTAAGAGTTTGTCACATTTCTATTTCTCCATCTGCAAAATGACTTAATGATGCTTCCTGACAAGTGTTACACATAGGGTTTGGTAGTATAGATAAAAACTGGATATCTCACAATAAAGATACAACATAAATTCAAAGGGGTATTTCCAATTATACAGACAATCTATGATAGTAACTTCAGTGTCCAGAAATCATTCTTGGATCTGTTCTTAAGAATTTCTATTTAAGACTTCTATGTTGCTTAGTGGAAAAAGCTAATTGCAGAAGAAATGTATCTATGTTGAGCAATAAAGCCATGGTTCAAGAAGCTCCTCAACCTCTAAGGTTCAGTAAAAACAGCCCTCCAGAGTGCATTAGAAAATTAAATGGTGGTGGCAAAGAAGGAAATGATTTCCTTTAATACTCTGCCTTCTCTGAAACATCTGGAGTGATGAAATGTAGATATTGGCGCTGGTTACCATGGTGTATACATTTGTCAAAACACATCAAACTAAGCTGGGTGTGGTGGCACACGCCTGTAGTTACAGCTCCTTTGGAGGATGAAGTGGAAGGATCTCTTGAGACAAGGAGTTCAAGCCTGTAGTGCGCTTATGGTCATGCCTATGGATAGCCACTGCACTCCGGCCTGGGCAAGAGAGTAAGAGCATATCTTTAAAAAAACCAAAGACCAAAAAACAAATCAAACCGTACATTTAAAATGGATGCATTTGGTTGAATGTAAATGTAATCAACACAAATAAAGCTGATTAAAGAAAAGGAAAAACAAAAAACAAAACAAAACAAAAACAGCTCTCTGACAGACTGGTAATCAGACAAAAGAAAGTCAGATGACCTGAATGTTTGTTTCAGGAATAAACCTTGTTCCTTTAGGGAAATCTTGAAACCTCTGTTTCTACCTTCTCTGGTGAGAAAACGAGATTAAATTATTACTCCTTTTAGTTTCCGCCCTGCAGTAAGATAAAGTAATATGGTGAAAATGATTCTTAACTTTTTAAGTTTTGGTTGCTTTGAGAAGCTAATAAAAGCTACATTTTTCTCTAGAAAGATGTCATAAAAATTGCATACCATTTCAGGGGCTTCACAGCCCTTCCTTCCCCAAATTCATCCATGAAACTCCAGCAAAGAATTCTTGCCTTAGTGTTTTAAAGTGGAAGTTCTATGAACCTAGAGTAGTAGGTAACGGTAGATGAGAAAAAGTTGTGTTTGTTTTTTTGTTTTTTTTTTTCTTAGCCCCTGTCTCTGTGCCTCGGAATGAGAATACATTGTTACACAAAGGAAACAGCCCTTGCTTTTAAGAAACTTTTGATTGAAGCGTAGATACTTCAACACAGATGATTATCATACTCTTGTTGTGTCAAATATTATTATTAGTCTATCAAATTAAGTACTGCCCTAGCTTTGTTGTTACTAGTTCATAGTTTATCTGGGAATTTATCACTTGAAAATTTTGCTGCCAAAATAATTCTAACACCTGGTATTATAATCAAGTACTTACTTACAGTTTCTCTTTCTTTCTCCCTCCTCCTACCCTCCCTCCACCTCTTTATCTTTTTCTAACACTTCCATCTCATTTGTCCCTTCTCCTCTACTCCCTCTTTCTTTTTTAGTTCTCTGTCTGGCCTCTCTTCCTTCAGTCCTCCCTACTTTCTACCTTATCTCTCTCTCTCTTTCTTCCTTTTCTCCTAAGCTTTCTTCTCTCCATTTTCATCTTCTTAGAGCTCCTGTCTAGGTAAACAGTTAATGTACAGGGAAAACTCTGTATTTAGTCAGCCTGAATTACAATAATCAATTTCTTCCCTTATATTGCCATCAGGAAATGCCTCCTAAGGTATATTATACTAGTTATGCTTTATTTTCATTGGCTTAGAAGTGTAAGATCTTCTGGGGTGATGTCCCCCAGGGCTATTAAAGTTGCCCAAGTTTGCTTCAGTTGCTCCTGGTTTACTATAGATTAAGCCTGGAAGAAAGAAAAAATGTAGCTGTGATTATTGCCCTTTTTCTTTTCTTTCATTTTCCACATGTGGAAGATTGCTTAGTAACCCCTTAGGACCCTTAATGACCCTTTGGTGTTGGTCTTTATGGCAGGACCACCAGTAATGGTGGAATGAACACTTCACTTCCACAAAGGATGAAACTCATAGGTCCTGCCTCCCAGAGGGGCTCCCATCATGGCAAAGCTGAGCTCAAGAACCCACACTGGGTGCCATAGAGCCATGATAAATGGCCCCAGTCATAAAAAGTTTATATTTATTGCTGAACAGAAAATATATTTTTCTTCCTTCTTGGGAATAGTTGGGCTACTTGCTTGCTGTTCCTTCTTAGTGAGACTTTTCTCCAAATAGTGAATGATGAGGTTGAGCTATAAGACATACCTGAATTTTACCTTGTAGTAGGATTAATAGTAATTCCACTAGTGGCCCTCCTAATTGATTTATCCCATCCTTTCACAGAACCATGATGGCAGCATTGACTTCCGAGAGTATGTGATTGGCCTGGCTGTCTTGTGCAACCCTTCCAACACAGAGGAGATCATCCAGGTGGCATTTAAGGTACTGTCAGCCCCATTGAAAGCATCTTGGTCTGCCTTGTAAACAAGTGTTGACTCTAAGTGTATTATTTGAAAATCAGTGAATCTATTATGTGATTTTATAGATCTGCTGTGACATGTACAGGACAATAATGTGATTAAGTCAGTTGCTACTAAGAATAAAGAAAACACAAGCATTTATTTAAGCAAAAAGTTTCTAGAAGTAGCCTAATTAACAACATCAAGATTGAAGAGCAGGAGATTTCACAAGCTAACTTAAAAAATTATTTCTTTTCAGCTTCCCCATTTTGAAGCCCCAAAGGGAAGTTTATAAATAAACACCACCTGTCACTAGTCATCCTAATTCAGTCTCTGGAAAGTTCTGATCTATCGTTATTTTCTCATTCTGTATGTCAGTGATATTTTCAGTGGTACTTTTTCTAATAAAATTTGTTTTGGCATTGTGGCGTCAGGTGAACACCATCATAAATGTCCCAAGTTCCTGCCCCTCATGTCTTCCTGTCTTGTCACATATATTTTCACAGCAATACAGGGATCTAAATTGGGAGCAGATGAATAAAATTCATGTCCCTGGTTCCCACAGAGCTTGATGAAAGTTCAAATTTTGAAGACCATTTGCTTACAAGTGCAAAACAAGAGGGAAGAATACATTCCCAAAATGTGTGTTCTGTTCTGAGAGTAAAGGGGCTTCATCTAATCAGTATGTTTAAATATGATACTCCCTTTTAGTTCTCTCAAGTAAAAGAGAAACTTCATTTCTCTCCTTGTCTTGCTAAGCTATGTATATTGGCTCTTGTTGTACAGCCACGTAGTTTCCTTGCTTTTGTCCAGCAAGAGAGCTGCAGACCTTCTCTGTTTCTGTTTTCTACTCATCTCTTCCTGACTTTCTTGGAGAAGAATGTCTCCCTGCAATTCCAAGAAGGCTTTCCCCCCTCTATTATCTAGAAAGACTTTCTTCTTCCAAGAGTTCTTTCTTATGTCTTAGAGGCCAATTGGGATAAGCCTTAGGAATTTTCATGTGCACTATCATTGACAGAAGAGCCCCTGAGTTTACTTTTTATTTCAGATTGGTTTAAACTGAGTTAACTGCCAGGCTTATAAAGAACCTAAATGGTTGATGCTTAGCAGATGGTCATAAGGCAAGGGCCAGACTTTTTCCAAAGTTTAAAACCTTCAGCTTTTACAGACTTATTCATCATAAAACCTAAAATTACACACATAGCTAACTTATTCTTCTGATCTAGATATTTCTGTTTCTGTTTGGGGATTGTACGTGTAATTATCAGTTTAGTTGAGCAAATGGTCATTTTTGGTTTACCAATGAAAGACCTGATATAAAATTTGGCCCTTAATCACAGTAATTACGATTTGAAAGAAGCTGTGAGATTTTTGTCTAGCCTAGACCTTGGTTTGGGGAAGGGGAAGGGAAGAAAGGAGGGCTTAAAACTATAATTAGCTTTTTTTTTTTTTCAGTAAGACAAGAATTATGCTTTACATTGGTTATTTTTTAACCCTCCTTTTTAAATGTGTTTTATGTTTTGGAAGTATTTTTGCATACTTTTTATTTAGTAGTATCCTTTTACATATAGGATTCTTTTACATACTTTTATTTGGATAGCACTTCACAGTTAATTTCCCATCTTTTATCTCATTTCACCTTCACAGTGACACTTAGAGTTAGAATATTAGTCAAGATTCTTCATTTGCAAGCAATAAGATAGACTGACTGACTGACGCCAAAGTGGAATTATTTGTAAGGCCAGGGAGTAGACTCAAGGGAAAACTCACAGCCAGGAAGCTTCAGAGGTCCTGGCTGCAGGAACAGCCTTACAACCTCCCTGGCCACTGCAGTTAAAATGAGCAAACTCCAACTCTGTTCATAATGCACATTTCAGGGAGGGTCCAGCTGGTCTTGGGCCATGTGCGTGATGGGAAAGACAGAATGTTTTCATTAAGATTCCACATTATTCTGTGCAATGGGGAGATATCAGTCCCCATTTCAAAGGAAACTGAGGTGTTAAACTTTCTACCAGAGTCTAGATCATGCATGGGGTTTACCTTAGATCTAGGAACTTTGTAGTGGGGAGTGACGAGTAAGTGAGGGAAATTGAAGAGTTTAGAGAGGGGAGTTATGGCAAAGGACACATATAGAGGAAGTAAAAGTCTTTAGTATGGACCATGTAAAAGGAGCTTATACAGAAGTGAGAGACACCAAAGCACCAAACCTGGCAAGAATTTAGACTGTTTAGATGAGTTGGCACAAACTGTTTAGAAATGGAAGGCCTCTGAAGAAAGCTTAGAGCTTGTGAGGAGGGAGCTAGGACTGAGTCCTGGCAATTACTGTTGAAGTCCAAGGCGCATGAAGAGCCTGAGGTCTACAGTTTGTGAAAACAGATGTCGATTCACTTTTCACTTTCCAACTATTGTATCCCCTAACTAGGCACTGAGTGGTAAGAAATGGACTTGAAGCCAGAGCTTTGTCTGCTGGGGCAACAAATCTCAACTTCAAATTATACTTTTTTATCCTCCTACCCTTTAGGGACCATTAAAACATGATTCAGTATTTGCTTATTATTTTTTTCATGGTTATCACCCCTTATCTAATACCTGTTTTTCTCTGTTTTTGATCTTGTATTTGGTCAGAAGTAGAAATCTCAACATCAGGAACTCTAGATATTATCTGCCTGGATTTGGATGCCCCCTGTACTACTTGCAAGTGGTGTGACCTTGGGAAAAGTTACTTAACTTCCTTGTGCCTCAGCTTTCCCATCTGTAAGATAGGACTGACAGTGGCACCTACCATAAGACTATTGTGAGGGTTGAGTGAGTTAGTACATGTAAAGTGATTTGAACACTTTTGATCAGTGCTTATAAAAAGTAAGTACTCATATCATTAAAAATTCTTAAGACCCAGGAGAGGATTTTGAGTATGGAATATTAATTATCCATCAGTTATCCTTATTTTGCTGCATGACTTTCAGTCTACCCCACTCTACTGCCTTTTCCCCTCCTCCTAAACCATATTCAGTCTCTCCCTTCCTAAAATAACCTCTTTTGTGCTTGGATACTACCCCGATTATCTCTTTCCCTTTGTTTCATAATTCCTTAAAATGAAGAGTCCATATTTCTTGCCTCTGCTTTTCACTTCTATTCATCTCTTGATTCCCATTACCATCTGGCTTCCGGTCCCCTGAAATTGTTTACTAAAATCATCAGGATCCTCTAATAATCAAATCCAACAAACGGTTTTGCTTCTTGCTAGGCCTTCCTATGGCATTTTGCTCTGTTGGCCCTTACCACTGTTAGCATCTCTTCCTCTTTCCTGAACACACCCCCTTAGCTTCTAAGATACATGCTCTGATTTCTTGGTTCTCCTATCTGGCTGCTGCTTTTAAGCCTTTTCTGTCAGTTCCTCTTCACTACTCATACCTCAGCTGTTGCTGTTCCCAGGACTTTGCTTTACTTTGTGCATTCTCTACAGATAAGCTCAAACATAACCATAGTTTCCATTCTTACCCAAATTCGTATCTCAAGACTCATCAGTTTCCTAAAATGATATTCTGAATCTCTTCTTTACTCCTGGCACCTCTGATTCAAATTTAACCTATCTAGGTCTAATTCTTGATCTCATTTGGCGCTTGTTCTGTTTTCCCACTTTGGCTAATGTAATCAGCTTTCACCCAGTTGCCTAAACTAGAAGATACCATTTTTACTTCTGACCTTTCCATCACTACAGACCCCTTATTGATATGCAAGTCTTGTCTTTGCTTTTCATGAATTCTATCCCTTCCTATCCTTCCTGCTTCTCAAACCCAGACTCTTAACTGGTTTTCCTGCCTCTGGTTTTATCAACCTCTTGCTCCCAATTCATCCTCCATACTCTGCCTCAAAGTTTTCTCAGTTCTCATAGGATCACACCACCTCCACTCCCATTATAATCCTACAGGATTTGGTGAGGAATTATATACCCACCATGATCTAATTCCTGTTTGTCTCTATCTCCTGACTGGAGCCCCAGGCAATCACTTGCCATTCTTTGTATATTCTGGGAACTTTTCTTCATGTTCTAAGACCCAACTCAAATGTCAACTCCTATGAAGCCTTCTTGGACCTCTCTGGGTAGGATTCATTATGTTCCCCATGGAGATCCCCTGTCCCTTTGTACTATGGACCATTGGTATAGCTCCTGTTTTAATCCTGTCTCTCTCAAACACCAAGCTACAGGTGTTGTGAGGGTAGTAGAGATGATACTTTCTTAATATACATATTTCTAGCCCTTGCCACAGTAGATGTTTGAATTATTAAAGACTTTATTTTCCAAGATTATTCCCTACCACTATGATCCTGAGGGAGCTAATTCTTACATTTTATTTTCTTCAGCTGTTTGACGTTGATGAGGATGGCTACATAACGGAGGAAGAGTTCTCCACCATTCTACAGGCTTCCCTTGGAGTGCCTGACCTTGATGTTTCTGGTCTCTTCAAGGAAATAGCCCAAGGGGACTCAATTTCCTATGGTGAGTAGGCAATCTGGCCTCCTGACTTAGTTTACAAGGAGGACATCCAGACTATGGACTGATGCTCAAGAGTACTGTTTCTCTTAACTAATTACATTAATAATAGACATAATAGTAATATTGATGACCACAGTAATAATAGTAGTAATGGCATAATAGTCATAGCTAATTATTGAGGACTTATATGCTAGGCACTCTTCTAAACATTTTATATATATTAACCCATTTAATCTTTATAGCAAGCCTATCTAATCGGTATTCTTAATTATTCTTGTTTTACTAAGATACAAAGACTTTAAGTAACTTATCTAAGACAATTTAGCTAAAGAACATCAGAGCCACAATTCAAAAACCAAAACAGTTTGACTTTGGAGCCTGCACTATTGACTCTACACTTTAGTGATCTCTGCTTTCAGTGTGGCCAGGCAAAACTGAACAAGTAAACCAAGTAGGTTGCAACTATAGTAAAGGAACATGGACTGAGGCACCAACAATAATAGTAGCTAAACGATTTATTGATGTTTACTATTAGTGACCTATGTAACTTTTCACATTCCTTGTCTCATGCCATCTTGTTAGCAACTCCTGTGAGTTAGGGTCTATCATGGAGAAAGACCTTGTGGCAAAGTGGCAGGTCTATCCATCAGTAACTGTCTTTTCTCTTGATGGCTCAAGTCCACCCATCAAAACAAGTTGCACTGGACTGAAGCTTCTCTATATTCACAGTGCAGTTGTTGAGAAACACACCTCAATGGAGAGACCAAGATAATTGTTTCCCTGTCTTGGGTTTGATGTGGTCATGGATGTCAAGCTGGCTTATCTTCCCCAGTCTTTCCCCTGAGGCTGGATGGAGACTCCTCTTTAATTACTCTTTCCTTATGGTGTTCAAGAGTTTCAGCTTGTTAACTTTCATGGGATGGGAAAAGTAGATCACATACTTCTCTTACTCTCTGTTTTTAATTACTGTCATTTAGGTAATTAAATGCCTAGGGCACTTAATCTATTGAGTTCATTTGAAAAAACAGGATAAAATGGGAAGTGTAAATACTGAGATGAAACTTATGAGTCATAAATTCAAGTGTACTAATTCTTCTCTGGCTATTTTCATAAGGAAGACTATTACTCCAAACTACTAAATTTTGAAAAACTAGTTGGAATAACTACTTCAATGGAAGCTAATACTAAAAATGATTTGTAGATAGCCATAATAACCTGTTGATTTAAGTAATTTTTCAGGGAAATCTGCTTTGTTTTTTGGAGTTCAACCTTTTTCTTTGCAGAATACAGAATATCTCCCCTTTCCCAATATTAGGCAAATCTGCTATTTTTTTCAAGAATGTTTGAAGTATTTAAGTATAATTTTGTTTAAAAAGTAGATATTGATAAATGTCATGAATGTGACCATTTAGATTGTTTAAATGTGATCCTTTAAATCAGGGGTTCCCAACCCTTAGGCCATGGACCGGTGCCGATCTGTGGCCATTAGGAACGGAGTTACACAGCAGGAGGTGAGTGGCAGGCGAGTGAGCATTAGAGCCTGAACTCCGCCTCCTATCTGATCAGTGGAGGCATTAGATTCTCATAGGAGCGCATGAACCCTATTGTGAACTGCACATGTGAGGGATCTAGGTTGCACGTTCCTTATGAGAATCCAATGCTTGATGATCTGAGGTTGAACAGTTTCATCCTGAAACCATCTCCCCAATCCCCTTTACCATCCATGGAAAAATTGTCTTCCATGAAACCAGTCCCTGGTGCCAAAATGGTTGGGGACTGCTGCCTTAAATTACTTTATTTTCAGTTTTCCATTATCTAAATTAATGCTCAAATTCCACATAGAGTCAATCACAGGACTTCCAGCAATGAGTTACTCTTTAATGCCACTGACATCCCAACAGAGGATCTTGATCTTTTGGCCATAGCACAAGTCTTGAAATTAAAGTTCTTGGTTTCAGTAGATCAACTGTCATGCTCACTTATCTTCAAAGTCACTTAAGTCTTCTATGTGTCTCCGTCATTGAAACAGACTCATGTAGATTAAACTTCATCTATTTTTATTTTTTTCTATAATGTATCCCTAGAAACAAGAACCTTTATTTTGGAAGTTAAAAAAGAACAGTTAGTAGTTTGCCTGATTTAGAAATAAAAAGTGGTTTATTAATGCAAAACAACATTGCAATTGCAAATAATGATTTGAGTTCAATCTGGTGACTTCCTCATCACTAAGACCTGTTTGTTTATTTGTTTTTTTGAGATACGGTCTCACTCTGTTGCCCAGGCTGGAGTGCAGTGGCATGATCAGAGGTCACTGCAGACTAAGACCTATTTTTATATTCAAGAGTTAGGTAGCCTAATGTGTCATGAAGCAGACCCTTGCTTATCAGAGGATTTTTTAAAAGTAAATGTATAGAAATAGGACATTTAGTTAACATTATTTTATTATAGAGCCAAATGGCAGCTAATCCAAAGACCATGCTATCTTTGCTCTAATAAGCTCAATAAAGTTTTATCCACCCAAAAGAAGAGAATAGAAGGATTTCAAAATAGAAGACAGAATAATATTTCAGAAACTCCAGGTTACTGGAGGATTGAGGTTCAAGTCCTGATAGTTAACTAAGTAAGCCTTCTGTAGCCCTATCTCAGCTTCTAAAACACTTGAGATAAAAAGAACTCCTCTACTTGGAGGTCTTGTGGTATGATTATTATATATTGTACACTTTCCTATCCATTATTGATTACAAATCAAGGCTCAGCTTTTTAAGACTGTATTTTTCTGTACCAGAGTTAAGGGCTCAAATGGTTTTAAAAACCAATTATAGAAAGTGGTGGGTAATATAATTTTTTAAACATTTTTTAAATTGCTAGAAAGAACAAAAATACAGAAAACTAAATAAAACATATAAAGCACAACGAAGTTTTATAAAGTGAACACCCATGTAACTACCATTCAAGTCAAGAAATAGAGCTTTTCCACAACTCCAGAAACCCCTGTGTGCCCTTTCCCAACCACACCCCTACCTCTCTCTTAAAGAAGGGGGTTGTTATCCTGACTTAAAAAGGAATCTCTGCCTTGCTTTATTTTACTTTAACAGTTCACCCCTAAAGTATGTACCTTTAAATATTAAATTTTAGTTTTGTCTAAGTTTTTGGGCTTTATATAAATAGACTCATACAATTATGTGTTACTTTATATCTTGCTTTTTTCATTAAACATTATGGCTTTAAGATTAATCCACATTGTTTCTACATAGCTGTTTATTCATTTTCATTGCCATATGGCCTTATGTTCCATGAGTATGACACAATTTATTTATGCATTTCTACTGTTGATGGACATCCAAGTTGTTTTTATTTTTTATCTATTATAAATAATGTTGCTGTGAACATTCTCATACATGTCTCTCAGAGCACAATATGCACAAATTTCTCTAGGATATATACCTCAGAGTAGAATTAATGGGTCAAAGAGTATGTATATCTTCAACTTGACTAGATAATGGAAAAACTATCTCCCAAAGTGGTTGTACAACTTATATTTTCATCAGCAATGTTTGTGTGTTGGGTAGTAGAATTTTGTAATAATTGCATTATTAGAGTCATTTATTAATCTGCATCATGCCAAAAGAAGATTCACCCCAACTTATTGGATTTTTTTTCTTTCTCTTCTAGAGGAATTTAAAAGTTTTGCCTTAAAGCATCCAGAATATGCTAAGATATTTACAACATACCTAGACCTCCAGACGTGCCATGTGTTTTCATTACCAAAAGAAGTCCAGACAACCCCCTCCACCGCCAGTAATAAAGTCAGCCCTGAAAAGCATGAAGAGAGTACCTCAGACAAAAAAGATGACTGAAAGCAGTATTTCCAATAAGGAAAACACAGTAGCTTTTGCTTGAAATTGTAAAGGCACTTATTGATAATACTTTTAATGTGTTGGTAATGATGTTTAAAATTGAAAGATTTTTAAAACAAAAATGATAGATTTTCTTACTAAAAATGTTTTTATTAACCTTGCTTTTATTGGAAAAAATCAAGCAATATTTCGTTTTCTTTTGTGTTATATTGTACTTTACTGATTCATTTACTGGTGATACATATGTTTTTATGGATTTTCCAGTTTAATTTGCATATACAAATGAATGCAATGGTCTATTGGTGAGCATTGAGCAACACTGTATAAAGTTTTAAAAATGTAAACACTTTTTAATCTACTTTCCTCTAAAAATCAATAATATTCTATTATTTCTAATCCTTTTCCACTTGGGAAATAACAATGAAGAATCTGAGAATTTGACATCTATAACTTTACAGATTCATTTTTCCATTTAAATTTCAGTTTCTTGGATCACTGAATATGGGAAGGGAGAGCTTCACTAATTAGACGCAGCTTCTTAAGAACTTATATTCTCTTTGACATACATCTCTATTGTAGTTTTTTGTTTTGTTTTGTTTTTTGAGATGGAGTCTTGCTCTGTCACCCAGGCTGGAGTGCAGTGGTGCAATCTCAGCTCACTGCAACCTCTGCCTCCTGGGTTCAAGTGATTCTCGTACCTCAGACTCCCGAGTAGTTGGGATTACAGGTGCCCACCACCACACCCGACTAATTTTTGTATTTTTAGTAGCCATGTGGTTTTGCCATGTTGGCCAGGCTGGTTTCGAACTCCTGACCTCAGGTGATCCACCCACCTCAGCCTCCCAAAGTGCTGGGATTACAGGTGTGAGCCACCGTTCCCGGCCTATTGTAGATTTTCTTAACTACTTGCTAAGGAAATCATATCCTTTTACATGAACTACAGGTTTAGAACTTGGTTTTAAGACAACTGCTATGGCCAGAAGGTAAATGGGAATTGCCTTATTGAAGGTAACATTGATTGCCTAATAAGAAAATGAATTGTTTGCCACAGAGTTGAATTTAATTTGAGTTAGATAGTTCAGAATGTAGCACTTGCCCTATAAATGAATCAGATTTGTTCTATTTATATAATATTAGAATTAATATATTATCATGTAAGTGGGAATTTTATTTTGTTAAGTGGACTCTCAAATTTTAGAACTTGTGTGAAATATCTCCCAGAAAACACAAAAGGTTTCAAGGTATCACCCAAAGCTAGGGAATCAACAAACGTACTTTATTAATGCAAGACCACAATTTAAGCCCCAGGCAGGAATCCAACAGTAACATTTTTCCTTTAGGTTAAGCAGTAATTTTTTTGAATTGTCATTTTTAATGGGTCTCACACATGCATATTGCTAATATCATTCATGTTTGAGGTTTTCAACAAAGAACCAATTTATTAATATAATGTACAAAAATAGTTGGTTCATTTTCTGAATTCAGTCTTTGAAATAAAACTCCTTGTTTTGGCCGTGTTTCTGAATGTATTGGTGATTCACCCCCAAGCTAATTTTTTAAAGTCATTTTTGAAGTTGGGAAGTCTCATGAGAGATGTTGAAGTATGTATTTAATCAAGAGTCATGATTTCAAACTAGTTTTACATATTAAGCAGTTAGTGTTCTAATTTAATGGGTAAATGTGTGTTTGGATAAATATCTGAAAATTTTATCCTTAAGTATATATAATTATTTGCCTCTTATATGTCTTAAAGCTATTTAAACAAGGTGTTAAATGAGCCAAAACAATTAAGTAATTAGAACAGTACATTTTTATCAGAGTGTCTGTCATATGCAATGAATGTATGTAATACTAAAAAATCATGACTACTTTTATCAAAGAAAAACCACACATTAATCCTATTAATCATGAAAGCGTAGCATTGTAAATTAAAGGTTTTCTTTGAGGCTCTTGAAAGTGATCCCATTGCTTTCCTGTTTTAAAAATATTTTATGCTCTTTATTTCCACTTCTGTGAATGTGATATTTCTATTTTGTGATTATGTTACTGAATAAACAAACTTGCTACATAAAATTCTTAGCAATTAAAAAAATTCTGATTCTGCCATTTTGTCTCAAATGTAATATACCCTTTTAATATCATATGTTTACATATTTATGAATGATTAATCATTTTTGTTTGCATTAAACTTTATGAAATGTCAGAAATGATTTTACTCTAATGAAACTCAAATTTTGCCCAAAGTAGCAATATTCTTAAAGATGTTGAATTTTGACTGGTTGAATTTTATATAGTAACACACAAGTCGTGATCATCAATATTATTGCAGACCAGGACTCTGCTTATATGCCTTGCTAACAAAGATTTCTTTCACAGAGGCTTTTCTCCTCTCAAGACTTAAAGTAAGAATTACATTTTATTAAGTCAGTTAAATGCACCATGGCTTCATATAGTAATATAAAAAAACTCTTTGAAGTGAGAAATATTATATCCTAAAACCTCTAAACCACAAACATTCAATTGAAAGAGTTCTGTTGAAGGATAATGACATACTGACTGCTTACAGACCAAGTTGCTTGCATTTTGTATGTTTAGCCCTCCTTTGCCACTGCTTTTAGAGCCTTGGAAGGCTAAGTGTGATAGTAATGCTAGCTCTAATGCATATTTAAAGGAGACTGCCTCGCTTTTAGAAGACATCTGGTCTGCTCTCTGCATGAGGCACAGCAGTAAAGCTCTTTGATTCCCAGAATCAAGAACTCTCCCCTTCAGACTATTACCGAATGCAAGGTGGTTAATTGAAGGCCACTAATTGATGCTCAAATAGAAGGATATTGACTATATTGGAACAGATGGAGTCTCTACTACAAAAGTCTTTGGGTATTTGTTTCTTACATAGAAAATGCTAACATGAATAGAAAGATACTGGTGCAAGACCATTCCCGGGAAAGTAGACATACTTACATTTTTTTCCTTTTCTGCTCATTTGAATGAACTCAATTTTATGTTAAATTGTTATATCAGAGTGACAAATAAGTGCTATGGCTTGATAGAAGTGAAGCTCTTCACATATATTCAAAATACATATCACAAACTTTGGTAAATAGGATAGTAATCTGAAGAACTTTTGCCCTTTTTACCCCATTTACTGTAACTCTTGTTTCTAGGTAATCGTTCTCTCTCAACAAACTTCTCAAGCGTCTGTGTAACAAGCCACATGTTCTAACAAATTGTCTCCATCGCACTTCAACAGCCAGGTCCCTATTTTTTATAACGTATTAACCTTATTATTTTCTTATTATTTTAAAAGAATCTATGCACATTAGCAAAATTTAAAAGATAGAGAAAAATATAAACAGAAAAAATTATGTTTACTTCTACCACCCTAAATCAACTATTATCAATTTTATACATATTTTACTCCATCTTTTTTCAAAGTTTCTTACATTTTCCAATGTCATTAAAATTCTCTGTGAATGTAAATTTTAAAAACTGTACCTACTGTTTTTTGGAAATCTGTAACAAGCTATGTGTAATCATTCTTCTAATATTAAACATATTGTGTCCAGAATTTATTTCTTCTGGTGGGTTCTTGGTCTTGCTGACTTCAAGAATGAAGCGACGGCTCTCACTGTGAGTGTTATAGCTCTTAAAGGTGGCGCGTCCAGAGTTGGTTGTTCCTCCAGTGGGTTCGTGGTCTCACTGACTTCAAGAATGAAGCCACGACCTCGCAGTGAGTGTTACAGCTCTTAAAGTTGGTGCGGACCCAAAGAGTGAGCAGCAGCAAGATTTATTGTGAAAAGCAAAACAACACAGGCTCCACAGCATGGAAAGGGACCCCAGCGGGTTGCCACCACTTGCCCAGGTGGCCAGCTTTTATTCCCTTATTTGGCCCCACTCATGTCCTCCTGATTGGTCCATTTTACAGAGTGCTGATTGGTCTATTTTTTACAGAATGCTGATTGGTGCATTTACAATCCTCTAGCTAGCCAGAAAAGTTCTCCAAGTCCCCACCCGACACAGAAGCCCAACTGGATTCAGCTCTCAATATGAGTTTGATTTTCATTTGGGATCTATTAAAAAATCCAACTCAATATTCCATAGTAGTTCATAATTAGAAATAGTTTGCTAAAACTTACTGAGAAATCTGCTGAAGATTTTATAATTATTAAAATTGGGTTTAAACTACTTTTATTACAGGAAAAATTTGATATTATTATTATAGATTACATGGAGTATGGTAATTTTAACCATAACTTAACGTGAAGGTAATTTTACATGAAGTTAACAGGTTCATGTCTTTTAAAGGTGAGTAGATTTCATCTTTTCAAAATATTTTTTTCCTTTATAAAAGTAACAGACAACAATTATTACAATAAGCAATAATAATTATAATGGCTACCTATTTGGAGTGCCTACCATGTATTAGTCATTGTGCTAACTGATGTATAGGCATCTCATTTACAGTTCAACTCATTTGAACCTAAATGAAGAATAGTTGTTTGTCCCTTATTTTATTTAACAAAATTTAAAACTATTTCTAAGTCGCTCATTAAATGACAAAGCTTAAACCAAATTTTGTCTGATTGTAAAGGCCATACTTTTAATCATTTATATAAAACAACGCAGCCATATTTAACTTCTGCCATATATTTTCTTACCGATGAATGATATATATCAAATGTTGACTTAGTTTTTAAATGGAAGACAGAAGCGGTTTAGAATGGCCTATTTTCAGTCAGCCAAAAATGTCAAAACCTTCTGTGAGTAGTCCAGGTACTGGAAATCAGACAATTTGAACTTCAGGATACTACAATAATTTTTTCCTTTGTGGGTAGTGGTGGAGCATGAATTCTCTACTTCTTATTGGTCCTTCTGCTATGATGGCCCTTTCAGTCACACCTCTGTTCTCAAAATAAGAATATAATCAATAAAGTAGAGTTTGAGGGAACGGAGGACTAAGTCAAAAGTGGGATACCTAGGACTTCATTCTAGTTACTGTGGAATTATCTCCTTTGCTTTTCTTCCTGTTTGTGCTTTTTCTATCCTGTTAATTCTCCTGCCTTATGGAAAGCACAGTGATTGTTTCACAGCATAAACCAGACATCACTTTTCCAGTTTAATTTTTTTTCAAAGGCCCCCATTGCATTTTGGAAAAAATTCAAAATATTCAACATGGCCTACAAAGCCCTGTCACCCTTAAATAGTGTGTTGAGTCTGGCTCCTACCCACAGTCTAAATCTCAACTGTCTCCAATCTTCTCCCTCACTAAACTCCTACCAGCAAATCTTTTCTTCAAACTGGCTAATGCCCTATTCTAGCCTCAGAGTTTTGTGCTGCTGTTCTCTTAGGTACAGTGTTTTTCCCCAAGATTTTTATCTGGCTTTCTCTTCTTCATTTAGACTTTTAAACAAACAGCTTCATGAATTACTTGAGATGTAATTAATATACATACAATTTACCCATTTAAGGTATACATTTTAATGTTTTTATTATATTCACAGAGTTGTACAACCATCACACTCTAATTTCAGAACGTTTTCATCTTGATTCAGATTTTAAATCAAATGTCACATCATCCAGTAGGAACTCCAGTCACTAATTAGAAATACCCATTATGTTTTTACACACATTCTCAATCCCACTACCTGTTTGTTATTGCACTTGAACTTACATGAAACTATTTACTTGTTTATACATTTATTGTCTGTTATTCCTAGCACATAGAAGGTATGTCTGGCACATAGCAAACACTCGATCTTTGATGAATGAATGAATAATGATAACATTAACTTTTTTGCTTATTCTGCCTTGTATTGTGTAAGATTAGAGACAATCCTTACAACAAACTTGAAAACCCAGACTTAACGATCTCTAAAACTCACATGTAAGTTAAGGCTCAGAGAAGTTTCATCACTTGCTCAGAGTTACGTAACTGGTGAATACCGAGGCTAGATTTCAAACCCAAGGCTGCCCGGCTCTAAATGAGGGGATATTTGATTAGGCCAAAGTAACCTGAACCCTTAAAATAACCAGGCTTTAACTTCCAGAAACATGGGAACTAGATAACCTGAGAACCTGCTGGCCACGAAACCCCTAGAATACTGAACACAATATCACAAACATATTTTGAAATGCATAGATGAGCATGTAAAATACTGAGGGAACTCCTCAATGGCCAAAAGTGGAAAGCAGATGAAAACCAGAACTGTGTAAAAGCCTGAAAGTTACAGTCGTCCTGCAGACATTTGTCAATCTCAGTAACAAAGGGACTTAGTATTTTTTGGCTATGGAAGACAAAAACAAGCTTTTTGTATAAGGTGGGAATGTTGAACTGAGACCTCATGGGAGAAAAAGCAGATGAAGGGTTAGAGGCTCAGTAAAAGAATGAACTGGAAAAATCCATCTTCTGACAAAGAAAGACAATGAGGAAACTTTTCTGTCTTGGGCTGGGTGCTTGGTTGGAGCAGGGGGAAAGAATCTCTGATTTTTCAAAAACTTTCAATTAAAAAAATGTTTCAAAACTCATTTTATGGCCCAGTCTATGTATGTCTTGTTGAATGTCCCATGTGCATTTGAAAGGAATATGTGTTCTGCATTTGTTGAATGTAATGTTCAGTAAAGGTAAATTAGGTTCAGTTAGTTAGTAATGCTATATAAGCCCTCTATAGCCTCACTGATTTTTTTGTCTGCTTATTCTATAATTATTGAAAAGGGGATATTGAAATTGTCAGCTGCAACCATGGTTTTATTGGCAGTCAGTTTGTTTGACGTCCTGCCCTTAGATTCATAATCACTTATGATTTTCATATAGTCTTGATGAATTGACCCTTTTATCATTATGAAATATGCCTCTTTAATTCTAGTAATACTCCTAATGTTACCATAGCTACTCCAACCATGCCAACTCTCTTATCATTAGTGTTTGCATGGTTTATAGTTTTTCATCATTTTACTATTAACTTGTGTCCTTATTTTTTAAATGCATCTCTTAAATGAATGTTTTATGACCCATTCAGGCCTTGATTTTTTTATTCTATATGACAATTTCTGTCTTTTAATTGGAGCAGTTACTCCACCTACATTTAATGTAATTATTGATACAATTAGGTTTACTACCATACAGAGTCTACTATCTTGCTTTTTGTTTTCTGTTTGTTCCATCTGTTCTAGGATACTCTCTCTTCCTTTTCTGACTTCTTTTGAATTAATCATTTTTTTTGACATTTTATCATTTTATATTTTCTTTTGGCTTATTAGATATAATTACCTATTTTTAATGGTCGCTCCAAGGCTTATAATATCTTTCACATCTAAACTGTATCTTTAATGTAATATAGTTTACTTTCAAATAACAGTATACTTTTTCACCTATAGCATGTGAACCTTACAACAATATACTTTCATTTTACTCTACCTTATTATTTCTGCTATTGTCATATGTTATTTATGTGTTTTAAACCCCACAAGACACTTTAATTATTTTTGTTATAAACAATTACCATTGAGAGAAAGTAAGACTTTGATAAAGAAAGGTATTTTATATTTATCTACATATTTACTGTTTCTAGCACTCTTCTTTATATAGTTCCACTTTTCATCATTTTCCTTAAGCATGAGGACCTTCCTTGAACAATTCTTGTAGCACAAGTCTTCTGTCGATAAGTTCTCTCAACTTTATTTTGTCTAAATGTGTCTTTATTTTGGCTTCATTTTTGTAGAATATTTTTGATGGATATAGAATTCTAGGTTGATTTTCTTTTCCTTCTAGTACATTACAGATTTCATTGTCTTTTTCTTTTTATTGTCTCTGATGAGAAATTAACAATAATTATCTTCCTAGTTCTGTTGTATGTAATTTATCATCAGGCTACTTTTAACATTTTTTTTTCTTTATTACTAGTTTTGAAAAATTGTATTATGATTTGCCTTGGTGCAATATTCTTTATGCTTCTGGGGTTTATTGAACTGCTTGGATCTGTAAGTTTAGAGTTTTCATGAAATTTGGAAAATTTTCAGCTATTATTTTTTTCAAATAATTTTTCTGCCCCTAATCTTTCTCATTTCTCTCCTCTAATTACATATATGTTAGCCCATTTGGACTATTCCATAGGTCACTGAGTCTGTTAATTTTTTTCATCTTCCTTTTTCTGTATGCTTTGGTTTTCATATTTTTTGTTGCTCTTCAAGTTCACCAGTTGTGTCTCCTGCAGTATAAATGTTTCATTTCAGATACCACATTTTATGCTTCTTGAACTTTTATTTAGTTTTTTTCTTAGTTTCTATTTGGCTAATGAGAATTCCTATTCTCTCATTATGTTCACAGATTTCCTAAATTTCTAGAATATATTTATATGTAGTTTTAAAGTTCTTATTTCCTATTCTGTGTTTGTTATTCCTGATTTTATTTCTATCGCTGATTTACCTCCTAGTAATAGGTCATATTTCCTTTTTCTTCACATGTCTGATAATTTTGTGTTATATCCTGGACATTATGGATGCCACTTTATTAAGTGTCTAGATTTGGCTGTCATCCTTAAATCGGGTGTCTAGTTTTGTTCTGCCAGGTAGTTAATTTACTTGCAGATCAGCCTGGTTCTTTCTAAGCTTATTTTAAGGTTTTACAAGAAAGAGTCCATAGTATTCTTTACTCTAGGATTACATTAGCCTTATGCCTAAAGTGTAGCCTTTCTGAGGGTCTCTTTTGAATCTCCTGTATATTCAACAAGGTCTCTACGCTCTGGCTGTTCAAAAATCAAATGTGTTTTAACCTTGTGTGAGCTTCAGTAGTTATTCAATATACAGCTTCCTCTGTAGATATTCTTTCCTCAGTACTTTTTGTTTCTCCAATAGATGTTCTTTATCTGTCCTCATGGAGTCTTTCGCTGAGCATGTGCAGCTTAGTAGCTATATTAGTCTACTTAGGCTGCCATAACAAAATAACACAGACTGGGAGGCTTAAAAAAACCAGAAATTTATTTTCTTACACTTCTAGAGGCTAGAAGTCCAAGATCAAGATGCTATTAAGGATGGTTTCTGATAAGATTTCTGGTTTATAGACAGCTGCCTACTCATGTGTCCTCACATGGTCTCTTCTCTCTATACATGTCTGGAGAGAGAGAGAGAGAGAGAGAGAGAGCGCTCTGGTATCCCTTTCTCTTATAAAGACACCATTCCTATTGCATTAGACCACCACTCTTATGATCTCATTTAACCTTAACTTACCTTTCTAAAGGCCCTGTCTTCACAGACAAGCACATTGAGGGCTAGGGTTTCAACCTATGAATTTAGGTGAGGGAGATGAAGACACAATTCAGTTCATAACAATAATTAACCAAAGACTTAAGGGGTTTCCTGTAGAGATGTCTGTAGCTCTGTCTATAACCAACTTCCTTTTTCTCAGTACTATACTCCACACTTTCCAACCAACTCAGCCTCCTCAGGCTCTAATCTCTGTCTCCTTAGCTAAGTGACACTTCTGTATTCTGTTTGGGCTCTTGCACTCTACAAAACAGTCCAGAAAATTTTCTAGACAGAATAAAACAGAGTGGTCATTATATCACCTCATTTGTTTTCCTTCTCTTGGGAATCATAGTCCTGCATTGCCTCTTGTCCAAAGTCTGAAAATAGTTTTCATATATTTTGTTCATTTTAATAATACTTTATAGCAAGAGGGCTAACCAAGTACTAGCTATTCCATCATAGGTGGAAGCAGAATGTCCTCACTGCCTCCATCCCAAGCATTTTAAAATGTAGAGCTGACCTCACATGTGTTCGAAGTTTGAAAATTACTGACATGGTCTATGAACCCCCAATGCTGAGAATTAAGAATTCCCTGGGATACCAACTAGACAGAAATGTAAATCTTTGGAAGGATACATTTTCAACCTAACATGTGATAGAATGCCAAGTAAAGCCCAGCCAAACCAAAGTTCTGAAATTATGAAATATGCAAGGATATAAGGCAAGAGTCAGCACAAACAAACATCAGGAAAAATCTCAGAATCTTTGGATTATAGAATTGTTGAATATAAAAATTAAAGCAAGATTTTAAAGGCTGTTTGAGAAAATTATGAAACTATGAGAAATGAACATGGTACCATAAAAAAGACCAGATCTATTTGAAAAAGTCTTCTAGAAATAGAACATCTAGAAAATAAAACTATATATTACACTAAATAGATGAGTTAAACTGTAAATATTGACACAGCTTTACAAAAGAATTAGGAAACTGATAATAGATTTGAAGAAACTATCCAGAATGCAGCATACAGAGGCAAAGAGAGAAAAATGAGGAAAAGAAGGTAAAAAAATACAATAGAATGAGAACAATTGGCACACATTTCATTGGAATTTGAGGAGACAGTAGTAAGAATGAGGAAAAAAAGCACTGTTTGAAGAACTAATAGATATTGCTACTCTGGAGTCGACAAATATGAATCCCTTGGATTCAGAACTGTAATGAGCCCCAGGGAAATTTTTAAAATGAAATCTGTACCTCAATTCAACATGGTGGACTGCAGAAACTAAAAGACAGAAGTTCTTTAAAGAAGCCAGAAGTAAATATATTACTTACCAAGGAACAAACTTGTCAGTAGCACTGCTAGATTTGTCAGCAGCAACCACGGAAGCCAAAAGACAGTGGAATAGTATCTTTAAAGTGCTGAGAGAAAATAACTGTTGACCTAGAATTGTATATCTTACTAAGCTAATTTTTAAGTACTGAGAGTAAAATAAAGCTATTTTCAGACAAACAAAAACAGGTTTGTAACAAAGAAAATTTATTCAAGAAATATCTAAAGTATATACTTCAAAAATAAAGAAAATGAACCCTGATGTAAGGACCAAAATTCAAGGAAGAATGGTAAATAAAATAAGTGGTAGATAAATCTTTTTTTAAAAATTGACTGTAAAGAAAAAGAAATACGAGGAAGAAGAGGAGAAAACAGTGGACAGTGAATAAATATCAGTAACAAAGTGGAACTAAAATACTACACCATCATAACATATAAAAGAGGAGAGGACCATGATCAGGTTTAAAGCCTTAGTCAGGAGTATGATTGAGATATGGATTTCTTTAGATTTTATTAATTATCTGTGTTAAGATTTTAAGGGAACCATTAAAAGAATAGAAACAGCAGGTGAAATGTGGAAACTGTTTTGGGAATTTAAATTTAAAATTTTAATTTTTTAAAAAATCAAGCAACCACTAGTGCATAAAATAGATAAGAACATGGAAAAAGCAAGGTAAATATCACAAAAACAATATGGCTGAAATAAATCTAAATTAACCAATAAGCAAACTGATGTAAATTGATTATATGTAAACAAAATTATCAAGATAGCTAAAGTTAATCCAGTGCTGTGCAGTTTGTAACAGATATAAGAAAAGTTTAATATCAGAAGAAACCCTATAAGCCAAAAGACATTGTGGGCCTATATTCAGCATTCTTAAAGAAAAGAAACTCCAGTGAAGAATTTTATATTCATCAATCTAAGCTTCGTAAGCAAAGGAGACATAAGATCCTTTTCAGACAAGTAAATGCTAACAGAATTTGTTGCCACCAGACATGCCTTACAAGAAGTCCTTACATGAGGAGTGCTAAATATGGAAACAAAAGACCATTACCAGCCACCACAAAAACACACTTAAGTACATAGACCGTTGAAACTATAAAGCAACTACACAATCAAGTCTGCACAATAACTAGCTGGCAACATAATGACAAGATCAAATCTGCACATATCAATATTAACCTTGAATGTAAATGCGCCAAATGCCCCAATTAAAAGGCACAGAGTGGCAAGTTGGATAAAGAAGCAAGACCCAACTGTATACTGGTTTCAAGAAACCCATCTCACATGCAGTGATACCAATAGGCTCAAAGTAAAGGGATAGAGAAAATCCTACCAAGCAAATTGAAAAAAAAATATCGGGGTTGCTATTCTAATTTCAGATAAAACAGACTTTAAACCAACAATGGTCAAAAAAAGACAAGAAAGGGCATTATGTAGTGGTAAAGGGTTCAACTTAACGAGAAGACTCAACTATCCTAAATATATAGGCACCCAACACAGGAGTATCTGGATTCATAAAACAAGTTCTTAGAGACCTAAAAAGAGACTTAGATAAACCATACAATAATAATAGGAGACTTCAACACCCCATAATAGTGATCATTGAGGCAGAAAATTAACAAAGATATTCAGGACCTGAAGTCAACATTGGACCAAATGGATCTGATAGACCTCCACAGAACTCTCCACCCCAGAACAACACAAGATACATTCTTCTCATCACCACATAGCACATCTTCTAAAATCCACCACACAATCAGGCTAAAATAATCCTCAGCATATCCAAAGAAAAATAAAATCATACCGACCACACTCTCAGTATAATAAAAATAGATATCAATATCAAGAGGATTTCTTAAAACCCTATAATTACATGGAAATTCAACAACCGGCTCCTGGATGACTTCTGGGTAAGCAATGGAATTAAATCAGAAATCAAGAAATTATTTGAAACTAATGAAAACAAAGACACACCATACCAGAATCTCTGGGCCATGGCTAAAGCAGGGTTAAGAGGAAACTTTATAGCACTAAATACCCACATTAAAAAGTTAGAAATATCTCAAATTAACCACCTAATATCACATCTTGAGAAACTAGGAAAACAAGAGAAAGCCAACCCCAAAGCTAGCAGAAGACTAGAAATAACCAAAATCAAAGCTGAACTGAATGAAATTGAGACAAAAAAAATTCAAAAGATTGATGAAACCAGAATTGGTTCTTTGAAAGAATAAATAAGATAGATAGACTGCTAGCTAGACTGATAAAGAAAAGAAGATCCAAATAAACACAATCAGAAATGACATAGGGGACATTACCATTGACCCCTAGAAATGCAAAAAAACACCAGAGATGATTACAAACACCTCTATGCACACATATAGAGAACCTATAAGAAATGGATACATTCCTGGAAACATACCTCTCAAGACTGAACCAAGAAGAAATTGAAATCCTGAACAGACCAATAATGAATTCAAAAATTGAATCAGTAATAAAAAGCCTACCAACCAGAAAAACTCAGGTCAAAACAGATTCACAGCCGAACTCTACTAGACATATAAAGAAGAGCTGGTACCATTCCTACTGAAACTATTAAAAAAAAATTAGGAGGCACTCCTCCCTAATGCATTCTATGAGGCCAGCATCATCCTGATACAAAAGTCTGGTGAAGAGAGGAAAAAAAGAAACCTTCAGGCAATATCTTTGATGAACAAAGATGCAAAAATCCTGAACAAAACACCAGCAAACTGAATTCAGCAGTACATCAAAGAGCTATTCCACCACAATCAAGTAGGCTTTATCCCTGGGATGCAAGTTTGGTTCAACAAAGGCAAATCAATAAATATGATGCACCACATGAACAGAAATAAAAACAAAACCACATTATCATTTCAACAGATGCAGAAAAAGTTTTTGATAATATTCAGCATTTCTTTATTTAAAAATCCTCAGTAACCTAGGCATTAAAGAAACATACCTCAAAATAATAAGAGCCATTTACAGCCAATATCATACTGAATGGGCAGAAGCTGAAGCATTCCCCTTAAGAACTGAAACAAGACAAGGATTCCTACTGTCACCATTCCTATTCAACATAGTACTGGAAGTCTTAGCCAGAGCAATCAGGCAATAGAAAGAAATAAAAGGCATGCAAATAGGAAGAGAGGAAGTCAAACTATCTGTGTTTGTAGAAAATGTGATTTTAAACCTAGGAAACCTGATTGTCTCTACCCCAAATCTCCCAGATCTGATAAACAACTTCAGCCAAGTTTCTGGATACAAAATTAATGTGCGAAAAACAGTAGCATTTCTATACACCAATAATGTTGAAGCTGAGTGCCAAATCAAGAACACAACCCCATTCACAATAGCCACAAAAAAAGAAACAATGCTTAGCTAGCCAGGGAGGTGAAATCTCTCTATGAGAACCACAAAACCCTACTCAAAGAAATCAGAGATGACACAGCAAATAGACACAAACAAATGGAAAAACATTCCATGCTCATAAACAGGAAGAATCAATGTTGTTAAAATAGCCATACTGCCCAAAGTAATTTGCAGATTCAGTGCTATTCTTATTAAACTACCAATGATGTTCTTCACAGAATTAGAAAAAAAACTTCTGCAATTTTTATAGAACCAGAAAAAAAGAGCCCAAATAGCCAAAGCAATCCTAAGCCAAAAGAACAAAGCTGGAGGCAACACATTACCCAATTTCAAACTGTACTACAAGGCTACAGTAACCAAAATAGCATGGTACTGGCACAAAAACAGACACATAGACCAATGAAACAGAGTAGAGAGCGCAGAAATAAAGCCATACACCACAACCACCTGATTTTCGACAAAGTCAACTAAAACAAGCAATGGGGAAAGGATTCCCTATTCAATAAATGGTTGATGAAATGACTGGCTAGCCATATCCAGAAGACTAAAATAGGACCCCTTCTTTACACCATATACAAAATTAACTCAAGATGGATTAATGGCTTAAATGTAAAACCTAAAACTGTAAAAACCCTTAAAGAAAACCTAGAAAAATACCATTCTACATATAGGCCCTCGTAAAGATTTTATGACAAAGATACCAAAGGCAATTTAAACAAAAACAAAAATTGACAAATGGGACCTAGTTAAAGAGCTTCTGCACAGCAAAAGAAACTTTCAATAAACAGACAACCCACAGACTGGGAGAAAATATTTTCAAACTCTGCATCTGACAAAGGTCTAATATCCAGAATCTATAAGAATCTTAAATTTACAAGAAAAAATAAAAAAACTCTATTAAAAATGGCAAAGAAGATGAATAGACACTTTTCAAAAAAAGACATACACACAGCCAACAAGCATATGAAAAAATGTTCAACATCGCAAATCATTAGAGAAATGCAAATAAAAACCACGGTGAGATACCATCTCATACCAGTCAGAATGGCTATTAATAAAGTCAAAAAGTAACAGATGTTGTCAAGGCTGCAGAGAAAAGGGAATGCGTATACACTGCTAGTGGAAACGTAAATTAGTTCAGCCACTGTGGAAAGCAATTTAGTGATTTCTCAAAGAATTTAAAACAGAACTACCATTTGACCCAGCAATTTCATTATTGGGTATGTACCCAAAGGAATATAAATTGTTCTGCCATAAACACACATGTGCATGTATGTTCACTTCAGCACTATTCACAATAGCAAAGAAAAGGAATCAACCTAAATTGATTATCCAGTAGACTGCATAAAGAAAATGTGGTGTATATACACCATGGAATACTATGCAGCCATAGGAAGGAGCAAAATAACATCCTTTCCAGCAACATGGATGGAGCTGGAGGTCATTATCCTAGCGAACTAATGCAGAAGCAGAAAACCAAATACCACATGTTCCCATTTATAAGTGGGAGCTAAACACTGAGTACACATGGGCACAAAGAAAGGAACAATAGATACTGGGGCCTACTTGGGCATGGAGTGTGGTAGGAAGGTAAGAATTAAAAAAAAACTGCCTTTTGGATACTATGCTTATTACCTCGGTGATGAAATGGTATAGGGACCAAACCCCTGTGACACGCAATTTATCTATAGATGTACTCTGAAACTAAAATAAATGTTAAAAAAAAGGAAAAGAGGGGGAGGAGCCAAGATGGCCGAATAGGAACAGCTCCGGTCTACAGCTCCCAGCATGAGCGACGCAGAAGACGGGTCATTTCTGCATTTCCATCTGAGGTACCAGGTTCATCTCACTAGGGAGTGCCAGACAGTGGGCGCAGGTCAGTGGGTGCGCGCACCGTGCGTGAGCTGAAGCAGGGTGAGGCATTGCCTCACTCGGGAAGCGCAGAGGGTCAGAGAGTTCCCTTTCCTAGTCAAAGAAAGGGGTGACAGACGGCACCTCCCACCCGAATACTGCGCTTTTCCAACGGGCTTAAAAAACGGCGCACCAGGAGATTGTGTCCTGCACCTGGCTCGGAGGGTCCTACGCCCACAGAGTCTTGCTGATTGCTAGCACAGCAGTCTGAGATCAAACTGCAAGGTGGCAGCAAGGCTGGGGGAGGGGCGCCCGCCATTGCCCAGGCTTGCTTAGGTAAACAAAGCAGCCGGGAAGCTTGAACTGGGTGGAGCCCACCACAGCTCAAGGAGGCCTGCCTGCCTCTGTAGGCTCCACCTCTGAGGGCAGGGCACAGACAAACAAAAAGACAGCAGTAACCTCTGCAGACTTAAGTGTCCCTGTCTGACAGCTTTGAAGAGAGCAGTGGTTCTCCCAGTACGCAGCTGGAGATCTGAGAAGGGGCAGACTGCCTCCTCAAGTGGGTGCCTGACCCCTGACCCCTGAGCAGCCTAACTGGGAGGCACCCCCGAACAGGGGCACACTGACACCTCACACGGCAGGGTACTCCAACAGAGCTGCAGCTGAGGGTCCTGTCTGTTAGAAGGAAAACTAACAAACAGAAAGGACATCCACACCAAAAACCCATCTGTACATCACCATCATCAAAGACCAAAAGTAGATAAAACCACAAGGATGGGGAAAAAACAGAACAGAAAAACTGGAAACTCTAAAAAGCAGAGCGCCTCTCCTCCTCCAAAGGAACGCAGTTCCTCACCAGCAACGGAACAAAGCTGGACAGAGAATAACTTTGACGAGCTGAGAGAAGAAGGCTTCAGATGATCAAATTACTCTGAGCTACAGGAGGACATTCAAACCAAAGGCAAAGAAGTTGAAAACTTTGAAAAAAATTTAGAAGAATGTATAACTAGAATAACGAATACAGAGAAGTGCTTAAAGGAGCTGATGGAGCTGAAAACCAAGGCTTGAGAACTACGTGAAGAACGCAGAAGCCTCAGGAGCCAATGCAATCAACTGGAAGAAAGGGTATCAGCAATGGAAGATGAAATGAATGAAATGAAGCGAGAAGGGAAGTTTAGAGAAAAAAGAATAAAAAGAAATGAGCAAAGCCTCCAAGAAATATGGGACTATGTGAAAAGACCAAATCTTTGTCTGATTGGTGTACCTGAAAGTGATGGGGAGAATGGAACCAAGTTGGAAAACACTCTGCAGGATATTATCCAGGAGAACTTCCCCAATCTAGCAAGGCAGGCCAACATTCAGATTCAGGAAATACAGAGAACACCACAAAGATACTCCTCAAGAAGAGCAACTCCAAGACACATAATTGTCAGATTCACCAAAGTTGAAATGAAGGAAAAAATGTTAAGGGCAGCCAGAGAGAAAGGTCAGGTTACCCTCAAAGGGAAGCCCATCAGACTAACAGCGGATTTCTCGGCAGAAACCCTACAAGCCAGAAGAGAGTGGGGGCCAATATTCAACATTCTTAAAGAAAAGAATTTTCAACCCAGAATTTCATATCCAGCCAAACTAAGCTTCAAAAGTGAAGGAGAAATAAAATACTTTACAGACAAGCAAATGCTGAGAGATTTTGTCACCACCAGGCCTGCCCTAAAAGAGCTCCTGAAGGAAGCGCTAAACATGGAAAGGAACAACAGGTACCAACCGCTGCAAAATCATGCCAAAATGTAAAGACCATCGAGACTAGGAAGAAACTGCGTCAACTAACGAGCAAAATAACCAGCTAACATCATAATGACAGGATCAAATTCACACATAACAATATTAACTTTAAATGTAAATGGGCTAAATGCTCCAATTAAAAGACACAGACTGGCAAATTGGATAAAGAGTCAACACCCATCAGTGTGCTGTATTCAGGAAACCCATCTCAGGTGCAGAGACAGACATAGGCTCAAAATAAAAGGATGGAGGAAAATCCACCAAGCAAATGGAAAACAAAAAAAGGCAGGGGTTGCCATCCTAGTCTCTGATAAAACAGACTTTAAACCAACAAAGATCAAAAGAGACAAAGAAGGCCATTACATAATGGTAAAGGGATCAATTCAACAAGAAGAGCTAAGTATCCTAAATATATATATGCACCCAACACAGGAGCACCCAGATTCATAAAGCAAGTCCTGAGTGACCTACAAAGAGACTTAGACTCCCATACATTAATAATGGGAGACTTTAACACCCCACTGTCAACATTAGACAGATCAATGAGACAGAAAGTCAACAAGGATACCCAGGAATTGAACTCAGCTCTGCACCAAGTGGACCTAATAGACATCTACAGAACTCTCCACCCCAAATCAACAGAATATACATTTTTTTCAGCACCACAAAACACCTATTCCAAAACTGACCACATACTTGGAAGTAAAGCTCTCCTCAGCAAATGTAAAAGAACAGAAATTATAACAAACTATCTCTCAGACCACAGTGCAATCAAACTAGAACTCAGGATTAAGAATCTCACTCAAAACCGCTCAACTACATGGAAACTGAACAACCTGCTCCTGAATGACTACTGGGTACATAACGAAATGAAGGCAGAAATAAAGATGTTCTTTGAAACCAACGAGAACAAAGACACAACATACCAGAATCTCTGGGACGCATTCAAAGCAGCATGTAGAGGGAAATTTCTAGCACTAAATGCCCACAAGAGAAAGCAGGAAAGATCCAACACTGACACCCTAACATCACAATTAAAAGAACTAGAGAAGCAAGAGCAAACACATTCAAAAGCTAGCAGAAGGCAAGAAATAACGAAAATCAGAGCAGAACTGAAGGAAATAGAGACACAAAAAACCCTTCAAAAAATTAATGAATCCAGGAGCTGGTTTTTTGAAAGGATCAACAAAATAGACCACTAGCAAGACTAATAAAGAAAAAAAGAGAGAAGAATCAAATAGATGCAATAAAAAATGATAAAGGGGATATCACCACCGATCCCACAGAAATACAAACTACCATCAGAGAATACTACAAACACCTCTACGCAAATAAACTAGAAAATCTAGAAGAAATGGATAAATTCCTTGACACATAAACTCTCCCAAGACTAAACCAGGAAGAAGTTGAATCTCTGAATAGACCAATAACAGGAGCTGAAATTGTGGCAATAATCAATAGCTTACCAACCAAAAAGAGTCCAGGACCAGATGGATTCACAGCCGAATTCTACCAGAGGTACAAGGAGGAACTGGTACCATTCCTTCTGAAACTATTCCAATCAATAGAAAAAGAGGGAATCCTCCCTAACTCATTTTATGAGGCCAGCATCATTCTGATACCAAAGCCAGGCAGAGACACAACCAAAAAAGAGAATTTTAGACCAATATCCTTGATGAACATTGATGCAAAAATCCTCAATAAAATGCTGGCAAACCGAATCCAGCAGCACATCAAAAAGCTTATCCACCATGATCAAGTGGGCTTCATCTCTGGGATGCAAGGCTGGTTCAATATACGCAAATCAATAAATGTAATCCAGCATATAAACAGAGCCAAAGACAAAAACCACATGATTATCTCAATAGATGCAGAAAAGGCCTTTGACAAAATTCAACAACGCTTTATGCTAAAAACTCTCAATAAATTAGGTATTGATGGGATGTATTTCAAAATAATAAGAGCTATCTATGACAAACCCACAGCCAATATCATACTGAATGGACAAAAACTGGAAGCATTCCCTTTGAAAACTGGCACAAGACAGGGATGCCCTCTCTCACCACTCCTATTCAACATAGTGTTGGAAGTTCTGGCCAGGGCAATTAGGCAGGAGAAGGAAATAAAGGGTATTCATTTAGGAAAAGAGGAAGTCAAATTGTCCCTGTTTGCAGATGACATGATTGTATATCTAGAAAACCCCATTGTCTCAGCCCAAAATCTCCTTAAGCTGGTAAGCAACTTCAGCAAAGTCTCAGGATACAAAATCAATGTACAAAAATCACAAGCATTCTTATACACCAACAACAGACAAACAGAGAGCCAAATCATGAGTGAACTCCCATTCACAATTGTTTCAAAGAGAATAAAATACCTAGGAATCCAACTTACAAGGGATGTGAAGGACCTCTTCAAGGAGAACTACAAACCACTGCTCAACGAAATAAAAGAGGATACAAACAAATGGAAGAACATTCCATGCTCATGGGTAGGAAGAATCAATATAGTGAAAATGGCCATACTGCCCAAGGTAATTTACAGATTCAATGCCATCCCCATCAAGCTACCAATGACTTTCTTCACAGAATTGGAAAAAACTACTTTAAAGTTCATATGGAACCAAAAAAGAGCCCGCATCGTCAAGTCAATCCTAAGCCAAAAGAACAAAGCTGGAGGCATCACACTACCTGACTTCAAACTATACTACAAGGCTACAGTAGCCAAAACAGCATGGTACTGGTACCAAAACAGAGATATAGATCAATGGAACAGAACAGAGCCCTCAGAAATAACACTGCATATCTACAACTATCTGATCTTTGACAAACCTGAGAAAAACAAGCAATGGGGAAAGGATTCCCTATTTAAATAAATGGTGCTGGGAAAATTGGCTAGCCATATGTAGAAAGCTGAAACTGGATCCCTTCCTTACACCTTATACAAAAATCAATTCAAGATGGATTAAAGACTTAAACGTTAGACCTAAAACCATAAAAACCCTAGAAGAAAACCTAGGCATTACCATTCAGGGCATAGGCATGGGCAAGGACTTCATGTCTAAAACACCAAAAGCAATGGCAACAAAAGCCAAAATTGACAAATGGGATCTAATTAAACTAAAGAGCTTCTGCACTTCAAAAGAAACTACCATCAGAGTGAACAGGCAACCTACAAAATGGGAGAAAATTTTCGCAACCTACTGATCTGACAAAGGGCTAATATCCAGAATCTACAATGAACTCAAACAAATTTACAAGAAAAAAACCAACAACCCCATCAAAAAGTGGGCGAAGGACATGAGCAGACACTTCTTAAAGGAGACATTTATGCAGCCAAAAAACACATGAAAAAATGCTCATCATCACTGGCCATCAGAGAAATGCAAATCAAAACCACAATGAGATACCATCTCACACCAGTTAGAATGGCAATCATTAAAAAGTCAGGAAACAACAGGTGCTGGAGAGGATGTGGAGAAATAGGAACACTTTTACACTGTTGGTGGGACTGTAAACTAGTTCAACCATTGTGGAAATCAGTGTGGCGATTCCTCAGGGATCTAGAACTAGAAATACCATTTGACCCAGCCACCCCATTACTCGGTATATACCCAAAGGACTATAAATCATGCTGCTATAAAGACACATGCACATGTATGTTTATTGCAGCATTATTCACAATAGCAAAGACTTGGAACCAACCCAAATGTCCAACAATGATAGACTGGATTAAGAAAATGTGGCACATATACACCATGGAATACTATGCAGCCATAAAAAGTGATGAGTTCATGTCCTTTGTAGGGACATGGATGAAATTGGAAATCATCATTCTTAGTAAACTATCGCAAGAACAAAAAACCAAACACCGCATAATCTCACTCATAGGTGGGAATTGAACAATGAGATCACATGGACACAGGAAGGGGAACATCACACTCTGGGGACTGTTGTGGGGTGGGGGGAGGGGGGAGGGATAGCATTGGGAGATATACCTAATCCTAGATGACAAGTTAGTGGGTGCAGCACACCAGCATGGCACATGTATACATATGTAACTAACCTGCACAATGTGCACATGTACCCTAAAACTTAAAGTATAATAATAGAAGAAAAAAAAACTTAAAAAAAAAGAAAAAGAAAAGCTGAATATCCAAGGAGAGAAAGATATACCATGCAAAAAATAAAGTTTATATTAAAATAAGTAAACTTCAAAGACATTAGGAGGGATAAAGAGAAGTCATTATATGATGGTAAAAGGTATAATTCTCTAGGAAGATACAATAATTCTAAACTTACAGGCATCTAATGATCTAACATCAAATATATTCAAAGAAAAAGTGACAATTAAGGAAAATGAAGAGTCCGTAATCACAGAGAAAGATTTTAATACCTTTCTGTCAGTAATTGATAGATAAAGCAGACAGTAATTAGTAAGATTGTAAAATACTAGAACAAGTTAATTAATAAGCTGGAGCTAATGAACATACACAGAATACATAGAATTTTGCACCCAACGATTAGAGAATATATGTTCTCAAGCATACATGAAATTTGACCACATGCTGAAGCACCAAGAAACACTCTAAAATTTAGCCAAGTTAGAATTCCATGGCAATTTACCAAAAACCCCCAAAACACATCAAAATAACATGTGGGAAAGATACAAAAATATATATGTATATGTATATGTATATGTATATGTATATGTATATGTATATGTATATGTATATATGTGTGTGTATATATGTACATATATACATGTATATATATGTATATATATGATGAGTTAAAGCCAATAGATAAGTGGATCAATAGGAAGATCGATAGATAGATACATGAAAAGAGACAGAGAGCTTTTAAGAAATGGTCTCACATAATTGTGGAGGCTGGCAAGTCCCCAGACCTGCAGTGTTGGCTGGCAAGGAGGCCCAGTGGACAGTTAATGTTGCAGCTGGAGTCCAAAGACAACCTGGAAGCAGAATTCCCTGTTCTTTGGGGGACCTCAGTCTTTTTTCTCAGGTCAATTCAAGTGATTGAATCAGGCTTACCCACATTGTCGAGGGTAATCTGCTTTACTCAAAGTCTACCGATTTAAATGTTAATCTTCTCTAAAAAATGTCCTTACAGCTACATCACACTGGTGTTTGACCAAACATTTGAATACCTCGACCTAGCCAAGTTGACACATAAAATTAATCATCACAACTCCACTCCTTGGCACCCATACAGACCCCCCTTAAACCAAACTTAATCTCCTCTAGAGAAGTATGCCAAGTGAAAACAACCAATCCCCCAAAGTTGCATATTGTGTGATTCCACTTACATAACATTATTGAAATGACAAAATTACAGAAACGGAGAACCAATTAGTGGTTTCCAGAGACTACAGTGGGTAGTGTGGATGGGAGGGGTGGGAAGTGGCAGTGGCTATAACAAACAAAATGAGGACTCCTCCCTCCTGGTGATGGAAATGTGTTGTATCTTGACTATATCAATGTCATCTGGTTGTAATATTGTACTGTAGTTTTGCAAGATGTTACCACTGGAGAAACTGGATAAAGGATACACAGGATCTCTCTGTGTTATTTTTTACAACTGCTTGTGAATCTATAGTTATCTCAAAATAAAAAGATGAGTTTTTAAAACTTCTAGAAAAATGAATTAAGAGAAAAACAACTTTAAGTATCTAAAAACGGGCACTACTACATATTGAGAAATATTTTTTTTAAATCATAAGCCAACACTATGAAACACACTCTTCAGATGAAACAAAATATTCAGGAACAAGCAATGTTTATTCATGAAACTCACAGTAATATAGTTTGTTGGGGTAGAGAGATAAGAAGGAGAATGACCTCTTAAAATTAATCTGCTTTGCTTTAAAGGAGACCCCTTTTACATTTACATTTCCTATATTTTACAGAGAAAAAGGTATATTTCTCATGTATTCTGAATCTTAAGATCATATTTTACCCTGGGGTGTCAGAATTTCCTGAGCATGAAACAAAGGAACAATTTGAAATAGTGACAGGTGGGAAAATATAATCGGTAAATAATTGGGTAACAAATACTTTTGTAAATCAGGTGGTTTTCATTGTTTTCAACAAAATTGGAGGAGGATCAATCAACTCGTGAGCTGTGAATAATTACAAATAATCTGTGATAATTGATCACTATATGATTTTTGGCAAATAAATGTAATTCAAATAAATTTTTTATAATACACTCTTCCATTCCCATCTCTTATACATTCAAATGATTTTTTCAGGGCTTTTATCTATCAAAATGAAAATAGGAGTAATACTGATGATAAATCATGACCTTTTAGCAATAAGTAATATTCATGAACAGATGCATGAACTAATTAGAAAGAGATCCTGCTCATCTCATAAAAAGATGCACTTCCAATGAAAGTTTGCTTTTGTATTTGATAGTACTAAAATATATAATACATTCCATTCAACACATTCAATACAGAAGACGTTTTAATGCTTATGGCCTTAATTTACACAAAAACTAAGAATATTGTGATAGGGTGATCAATAAAAGATTTTAAAGCAAAAACTTGTGAAATGGAAACACACAAAGAAGAGGGAATATTATAAAGTTTCTGACTGAGAAAAGTTTGTTCATGCATTTTTATTATTTTTATAGTTATTTTAATTAAAATATGTAAACATTGGAATGCAAAAATCTATCTGGAAACACTCATGTAAACCACACTCTTATTTCAAAAAGTTCCCTAAAGTCTATTTACAGCTAATAATCCTCATCACCACGGAGACAACTACTGTTTTAATTTCTATCACCACAAATTATCTTTGCCTCTTCTAGAAATTCATATAAATGAAATTATACAGTATATGCTTTAAGTACATAAAATATTCACCCTTTGGTATCCAGCTTCCTTTGCATTATCTATGAGATTCACCTATGTTGATGAATACTATTGCAGAGTAGGATTATATTGTATGAATATATCTCAGTTTGTTTATCTGTTTTCGTAATGATAGATATTTGAATTGTTTTGAGTTTTTACTATTATGAATAAGAGTATTCAGAGAATCTGCTTTGAACATTCATGTACAAGTGCTTTCTTTTAATTTTTATTTTAGGTTCAGGGGTACATGTGTAGGTTTATTATATAGGTAAACTTGTGTCACTGGGGTTTGTTGTACAGATTACTCCGTCACTCAGGTACTAAACCTAGTAGCCAATAGTTATTTTTTCTGATCCTCTCCCCCTTCTGCCCTCCACCCTGAAGTAGGCCCCAGGTCTGTTGTTCCCCTCTTTGTGTCCATATGTTCTCATCATTTAGCTCCCACTTATACGTGAGAACGTGTGGTATTTGGTTTTCTGTTCCTGCGTTAATTTGCCAAGGACAATGGCTTTCAGCTCCATTAATTTTCCTGCAGAGGACATGATCTCATTCTTTTCTATGGCTGCATAGTATTCCATGTTGTATGTGTACCACATTTTCATTATCCCATCTACCATTGATAGTCTTTGCTATTGTGAATAGTGCTGCAATGAACATACACGTGCATGTCTTTATGGTATGATTTACATTCCTTTGGGTATACACATAGTAATGGGATTGCTGGGTTGAATGGTAGCACTGTTTTTAGATCTTTGAGGAATTGCTACACCGCTTTCCACAATGGCTGAACTAATTTACACTCCTATCAACAGTGTAGGAGTATTCATTTTTCTCTGCAACTTTGTCAGTTTCTGTTATTTTTTGACTTTTTAATAATAGCCATTCTGACTGGTGTGAGATGGTATCTCATTGTGATTTTGATTTGCATTTCTCTAATGATCAGTGATGTTGAACTTTTTTTCATATGCTTGTTGGCTGCATGTATGTCTTCTTTTGAGAAGTGTCTGTTCATTTCCTTTGCTCACTTTTTAATGGGGTTGCTTGTTTTTTTTCTTGTAAAGTTGTTTAAGTTCCTTATAGATGCTGGGTATTAGACCTTTGTCAGATGCATAGTTTGCAAATATTTTCCACTATTCTGTAGGTTGTCTGTTTGCTCTGTTCATAGTTTCCTTTGCTGGGCAGAAGCTCTTAAGTTAATTGTATCTCATTTGTCAATTGTTGCTTTTTTGTGATTGCTTTAGGCATTTTCATCATGAAATCTTCACCAGTTCCTATGTCCAGACAGTATTACCTAACTTCTTATCTTACAGGGTTTTTATAGTTTTGGGTTTTACATTTAAGTCTTTAATCCACCTAGCATTGATTTTTGTATATGGTGTAAGGAAGGGGTCCAGTTCCAATCTTCTACATATGGCTAGCCAGTTATCCCAGCATCATTTATTGAATATGGAGTCCTTTCCCTGTCAGCTTTTGTTTTTGTCAGCTTTGTCACAGATCAGATGGTTGTAGGTGTGTGGCTTTATTTCTGGGCTCCCTACTCTGTTCCGTTAGTCTATGTGTCTATTTTTGTACCAGTGCCATGTTGTTTTGATTACTGTAGTCTTGCAGCATACTTTGAAGTCAGGTAATGTGCCTCCAGTTTTGTCCTTTTTGTTGATGATTGCCTTGGCTATTCGTGCTCTTTTGTTGGTTTCATAAGAATTTTAGAATAGCTTTATCTTATTCTGTGAAGAATTTCATTGAAGTTTGATAGGAATAATATTAAATTTGTATATTGCTTTGGACAGTGTGGCCATTTTAATGACATTGATTATTTTGACCCATGAGCATTAAATGTTTTTCCATTTGTTTGTGTCATCTCTGATTTCTTTGAGCAGTGTTTTGTAATTCTCATTGTAGAGATCTTTCACATCTCCAGTTAGCTGTATTCCTAGGTATTTTATGCATTTTGTTGCAATTGCAAATGGGATTGTGTTTCTGATTTGGCTCTCAGCTTGGCTGCTGTTGGTGTATAGGAATTTTTGTATGTTGATTTTGTATCCTGAAACTTTGCTGAAGTTGTTTATTAGCTGAAGGAACTTTTGGGCCAAGGCTATGGGGTTTTCTATATATAGAATTATGTTATCAGCAAACAGGGATAGTTTGACTTCCTCTCATCCTATTTGCTTGGCTTTTATTTCTTTCCCTTGCCTGATTGCTCTGGCCAGGATTTCCAATACTATGTTGAATAGGAGTGGTGAGAGAGGACATTCTTGTCTTCTGCCAGTTCTTCAGGGGAATGCTTCCAGCTTTTGTTCATTCAGTATGATGTTGGCTGTGGATTTGTCATACATGGCTCTTATTATTTTGAGGTATGTTCCTTCAATATCTATTTTATTAAGGGCTTATAACATGAAGAAATGTTGAATTTTATTGAAAGTCTTTTCTGAATCTATTGAAATTGTCTTGTAATTTTTGTCCTTAGTTTTGTTTATATGATGAATCACATTTATTGATTTGCATATGTTGAACCAACCTTGCATCCCAGGGATAAAGGCTACTTGATTGTGGTGGATTCACTTTTTGATGTGCTGCCAGATTCAGTTTGCTAGTATTTTGTTGAGGATTTTTGCATCAATGTTCATCAAGGATATTGGCTTGAAATTTTCTTTTTTTTTCTTTTGTCTCTGCCAGGTTTTGGTATTAGGATGATGTTGGCCTCATAGAATGAGTTAGGGAGGAATCCCTGCTCCTCAATTTGTTTGAATAGTTTCAGTAGGAATGGTACCCACTCTTCTTTGTACATCTGATAGAATTCAGCAGTGAATCTCTCTGGTCTTGGGCTTTTTTTGGTTGGTAGGCTATTTATTACTGATTCCATTTCAGAGCTGATTATTGACTTGTTTAGGGAATCAGTTTCTTCATGGTTCAGTTTTGGGAGGATGTATGTGTCCAAAAATTTATCCATCTCTTCTAGGGTTTCTAGTTTGTGTGCATAGAGGTGTTCATAGTAGTATCTGATGATTGTTTGCATTTCTATGGGGTCATTGATAATATTCCCCTTTGTCATTTCTGATTGTGTTTATTTGGATCTTCTCTCTTTTTCTCTTTATTAGCCTAGCTGTCAGCCTATCTATCTTATTATTTTGTTTTCCCAAAAACAAACTCCTGGATTTGTTTATCTTCTAAATGGTTTTTCGTGTCTCGGTCTCTTTCAGTTCAGCTCTGATTTTGGTTTTCTTGTCTTCTGCTAGCTTTGGGGTGGGTTTGATCTTCTTTCTCTATTTCTTTTAGTTGTAATGGTAATGTTAGGTTGTTAATTTGAGATCTTTCTAACTTTTTGATATGGGCATTTAGTGCTATAAATTTTCCTTTTTTTTTTTTTTTTCTTGAGATGGAGTCTCACTCTGTTACCCAGGATGGAGTGTATTGGCGTGATCTTGGCTCACTGCAACCTCTGCCTCTTGGGTTCAAGCGATTCTCCTGCCTCAGCCTCCGGGGTAGCTGGGACTACAGGTGCACACCACCGCACCCAGCTAATTTTTGTATTTTTAGTAGAGATGGTGTGTCACCATCTTGGCCAGGATGGTCTCGATCTCCTGACCTCATGATCCATCTACCTCGGCCTCCCAAAGTGCTGGGATTACAGGTGTGAGCCACCGTGCCCGGCCTAAATTTTCCTCTTAATACTGCGTTGCTGTGTCCCAGAGATTCTGGTATGTTGTATCTTTGTTCTCATTAGTTTCGTCTTGATTTCTCCCTTAATTTCATTATTTACCCTGCGTCATTTAGGAGTGGGTTGTTTAATTTCTATGTAACTGAATAATTTTGACTGATTTTTAAATTCTTGATTTCTATTTTTATTGTGCTGTGGTCTGACAGTGTGTTTGGTATGATTTCAGTTTTTTTGTATTTGTTGAGGATTGTTTTATATCTGATAGTGTGGTTGATATTAGAGTACGTGCATATGGTGATGAAAAGAATGTGTATTCTGTTGTTTTTGCATGGAGGGTTCTGCAGAGGTCTATCAGATCCATTGGGTCCAATGTTGAGTTCAGGATCTGAATATCTTTATTAATTTTCTGCCTCGATGATCTATCTAATACTGCCAGTACCAACTTATTATTGTGTGGTAGTCTAAGTCTCTTTATAGGTCTCTAAGAACTTGCTTTGTGAACCTGGGCACTCCTGTGTTGGGTGCATGTGTTTTTGTGGGCCTACATTTATACTTCTCTAGAGCAAATATCTAGAAATATTGATAGGTCATTAAGTGACTGTAGGTTTAGCTTTATAAGAAACTAAAATAGCTTTACCAATTTACATTCCCATCAGCAATGGATAAGAGCCCTGATCACTCTACAGTCTTACCAACATTTGATGGTGTCACTATTTTTAATTTTATAGGTTGTGATTTTCGAGGAATTTGTTTATTTCATCCAAGTTTTTTATTTTACTGCAATATAGTTGCTCATAATATTCCTGTATTATTCCTTTGATATCTGCAGAATCTAAGTGATAGCCTCTCTCTTATTGCTAACATTGATAAAGCATATCTTATACTTTATTAATTATAACTGTTGCTTATTTTCTTTTCAATAGATTTGTGTTCATATCTTTCTTATTACCTTTCTTCAAGTTTTGGTTTTCATTTGCTCGTATTTTTTTCTAGTCACTTAACATGGCTTCTAAGATAATTGATTTTAAGCATTATTTCTTTTCTGCCAAAAACAAAATTTCAACGAATTGAGTTTAAAGATCTAACTGTCTTTTATTAGTGATTCCTGAATCAGGAAGCACCACATTTATTAAAAAAAAAATAGAAAAGTGCTCTGTTGGACATGGCTGAATGGTTATTTTTATAAAGTAGGTTGAGTGAGAACAAAGAAACAGAGCAGTACAAAAGGCAAATTGGTAAAAATCAGGTTACTTACAGGCTACTTTCCTTGGAAAGGTTAAAGTAGGGGATTTCATTATCATACCAGCTCAGGTTAACTGGGCTTTCTGATTGGTTGCTGTGAATCTCCTATTTTTAGAAATAACCGGTCTGTTTGGAGATTTTCCTGCTTCCTTAACATTTCAGTTTAATTATGTGGCGCTTAGCACAAGTGACTCCAACTATTCTACAACTAAATAATTGACTGCTGAGTAAGCCAAAAGTCAGAGAAAATTAAAAGAGGAATTAGAAAATATTTGAAACTGAATGATAATGTGAATACAAAATTTGCGGAAAGCAATGAAAGTACTGCTTAGAGAAAAATGTATAAATTTTAATTGCCTATTTAGGAAATGTTAAAATTTGTGGGAGTCCATTGTTTTAGACTGAGCTCCTGCACTAGACCCCAATACACAAAACCATTTACTTTCAACCTATTTATGTCTGTATATTTAAAGAATATCTTTTCTAGATATCCTATAAGTAGGTCTTGCTTTTGTATCCAGTATTGACATTCTCTGCCTTTTACTTTGAGTGCTTATTTTATTTACATTTATAATAATTATTGATACAGTTGGATTTAGGTCTACCATTTTGCCATCTTTTCTTTCTTATATATTTTTTCTTTATTTAGATTAAACGAATAGCTTTTAAGATTCATTTTAACTCATTCATTGGATTTTTATCTGTACCTCTTTGTATTATTCTTTGGTGATTGCTGTAGGGCTTACATTATACAACTTATCAAAATCTTCCCAGTATTGCAATACTTCATGTAAAATATAGGAACTCTCAACATTATAGTTCCATTTACAACTCCTATTATTTGTGCAATTGTTATCACGTATATACCTACATTATTACAAGTGTAGCAACTCTTCATAATTTTTACTGTAAAGAATCATATGTCATATACTTGTTGCTTAATTTGGAAATCATAACTGCCTTGAGATCAGTGTGGGTCTCTGCATTTCAGTCCATGATTAAGGGATCTACTTTTCCACTTGGACATTGGCCTGGCATTCCATTTGCACATTAGTGCCCACTCTTCTTTGTCCTTAGAGTTTCTAAACCTGAAGTTTTCCCAAATACTATGTTGCCAATAAGCAGATTAATTTTTTCTTCAATAAAATAAAATAAGTCATATGTCTTTTAAATAAATTTAGAGGAAAAAATAAATGCAGACTTTTATATTTATCCAGTTATTTACTATTACCCATGTTCTTTATTCCTTCCTATAGATCTGAGTCACCAACTAGTGTCATTTCCCTTCAGCCTCCAGAACTTCATTTGACATTTTTTGTAATGCAGTTCTGCTTGTGAAAAAGTCTCTGTCTTTGTTGATTTGAAAATTTCTTTATTCAATCGTTGGTTTTGAAACATAGTTTTACTAACTATAAAATTCTGGATCGACAGGGCTTTTTGGCACTACTTTAAATATACCATTTCCGTTGTCTTCTGGCTTCTATTGTTTTGCATACGAAGTTGGCAGTCATTTTTATTATTGTTTCTCTATATGTAATCTGCCATTATACTCAGCCTGCTTTCAGTCTTGGGAGGCTATTTAGGCAATATTTTCCTTGCTGTCTTACATCCTATTGGTTTCAGCGAATGTGGAGACCTAGCAGGAGATCAGAGGTTGGAAAGAGGATGAAGTCAGAATATTTATCACCCTAACTTTCTCCCTAGAGTGTTCTTATGCTGACTACATCCCTTTGTTGAAGATCACAACTCATTTCAAGGAAACGAAGTGTGACTATCCTATCAGAATTCTGATAACCACTTCCTCCACTTCCTCCTTCTGGCCTAAAGGTAGTAATAGCCTTCACTGTTACTAGTCCCAGAGTACTGTATCCTATATGGTTTCCCTGTATCTTGCACACATCTTTATGAAATAGACCCTTTTTGAAATCCTCCACAAATTATCTTAATTTGACTGTTCAATCTGTTTCTTTCAGGGATCCTTAGAATTCAGGTCATTTAGAATTTAAAATAAGCCCTGAGTGCTCCAGAAAAATAGTTAGTTTTTACTAAGTCTGGCCTTGTGAGAGAGGCCTGTAATGTTTTCCTAAAAGAAGCAAAATCCAAACTGAGTCTGGAAGCTTGCATTAGCTACATACAAGCAAGGGAAAGATCCAGGGAGGCTTGGTGGTCTAAGTACTGCACACAGTTCAGTCTGACTTGGAGTAAATGAGAGCCTAAGAGTAATACATGAGGGAAAGCATGGAGAGATAAATGGCAGCCTGGTTGTGAAGGGCCTTGTGTACTATGGTAATTGGTTGTAACTTGAAACTCAAGGAGCGTGATTGATATATAATGCTTGGTTTCAAAATATATTGCAATTGATAACATTTCCAGGAGCCTTGGAAGCTTTTGTGTAACTTAAAGGCATCAAGAGCATACAAACCTTATCTTATCAGGAGATCCTAAGGATTAACAAATTACTGTCTAACAGGGCAGCAGCAAGATGCCCTAAAGTAATTAATGCCCCCAGGATATTGTACTGCATTTGCATTTTTTTACCCTGTTGTCAGACCAAGGTTTATTAGGCACTGGGGAGCCACCACTGCCCTTTCCTTGTAAGATTTGTGTGTGACATCTCTTTCTCTGGCTCCTGTATATGCCTAATTCCTTAGTGTTTGGGCTGCCAAACTCTTTCTGTACCACCATGACAAGGTAAGAACCTAAAACTTGAATTATGTTCTTGATTTTCCTTCCATTTTATATAAAAACAATGCCTGCATCCGCTTGTTTTGGCAGTTGAAAGAACCACAGACTGGCTTTGCGCCCAGTCCTAAGTAGCTCAGTGTGAAAGTGACAGAGAACAGTGTCTCCCACATACACCCATGTCACCTAGCAAGGAGCCCCTGTGGTTGGACACACCAGTAAGATGTAGTTCAAAGAATATCAAGTATTAGTCTGTTATCAGTTTATCAAATGAGTAAAAAGAGGAACAGAAGGAAGATGGCCGAATAGGAATAGCTCTGGTCTGCAGCTCCCAGCATGATCGATGCAGAAGACGGGTGACTTATGCATTTTCAACTGAGGTACCTGGTTCATCTCACTGGGATTGGTTGGACAGTGGATGTAGCCCTCAGAGGCTGAGCCAAAGCAGGGCTGGGCATCTCCTCACCCAGGAAGTGCAAGGGGTCAGGGGATTTCCCTTTCCTAGCCAAGGGAAGTCGTGACAGATGGTACCTGGAAAATCGGGACACTCCTGCCTTAATACTGCACTTTTCCAATGGTCTTAGCAAACGGAACACCAGGAGATTATATCCCGAGCATGGCTCAGCAGGTCCCACGCCCACGGAACCTTGCTCACTGCTAGCGCAGCAGTCCGACATCAATCTGCAAGGTGGCAGCCTGGGCTGGGGGAGGGGCGTCTGCCATTGCTGAGGCTTGACTAGGTAAACAAAGCAGGCTGGAAGCTCGAACTAGGTGGATCCCACTGCAGCTCGAGGAGGCCTGCCTGCCTCTGTAGACTCCACCTCTGGGGGCAGGGCATAGCTGAACAAAAGGCAGCAACAACTTCTGCAGACTTAAATGTCCCAGTCTGACAGCTCTGAAGGGAGCAGTGGTTCTCCCAGCATGGAGTTTGAGCTCTGAGAACGGACAGACTGCCTCCTTAAGTGGGTCCCTGAACCCCACGTAGCCTAACTGGGAGACATCTGCCAGTAGGGGCCAAATGACACCTCACACAACCAGGTGCCCCTCTGAGACGAAGCTTCCAGAGGAAGCATCAGGCAACAATATTTGCTGTTCTGCAGCCTCCGCTGGTGATACCCAGGAAAACAGGGTCTGGAGTGGACCTCCAGCAAACTCCAACAGACCTGCAGCTGAGGGTCCTGACTGTTAGAAGGAAAACTAACAAATAGAAAGGAATAGCATCAACATCAACAAAAAGGACATCCACACCAAAACCCCATCTGTAGGTCACCATCATCAAAGACCAAAGGTAGATAAAACCACAAAGATGGGGAGAAACCAGAGCAAAAAAGCTGAAAATTCTAAAAACCAGAGTGCCCCTTCTCCTCCAAAGGATCATAGCTCCTCGCCAGCAATGGAACAAAGCTGGACAGAGAATGGCTTTGACAAGTTGACAGAAGTAGGCTTCAGAAGGTCGGTAATAACAAACTTCTCTGAGCTAAAAGAGGATGTTCGAACCCATTGCAAGGAAGCTAAAAACCTTGAAAAAAGATTAGATGAATGGCTAACTAGAATAAACAGTGTAGAGAAGACCTTAAATGACTTGATGGAGCTGAAAACCATGGCACAAGAACTACATGACACATGCAGAAGCTTCAGTAGCCAATTTGATCAAGTGGAAGAAAGGGTATCAGTGATTGAAGATCAAATGAATGAAATGAAGCGAGAAGAGAGGTTTAGAGAAAAAGAGTGAAAGGAAATGAACAAAGCCTCCAAGAAACATGGGACTATGTGAAAAGACCAAATCTACATTTGATTGGTGTACCTGAAAGTGACAGGGTGAATGGAACTAAGTTGAAAAACACTCTTCAGGATATTATCCAGGAGAACTTCCCCAACCCAGAAAGGCAGGCCAACATTCAAATTCAGGAAATACAGAGAACACCACAAAGATATTCCTCGAGAAGAGCAACCCCAAGACACATAATTGTCAGATTCACCAAGGTTGAAATGAAGGAAAAAATGTTAAGGACAGCCAGAGAGAAAGGTCAGGTTACCCACAAAGAGAAGCCCATCAGACTAACAGCGGATTTCTTGGCAGAAACTCTATAAGCCAGAAGAGAGTGGGGGCCAATATTCAACATTCTTAAAGAAAATAATTTTCAACCTAGAATTTCATATCCAGCCAAACTAAGCCTCATGAATGAAGGAGAAATAAAATGCCTTACAGACAAGCAAATGCTGAGAGATTTTGTCACCACCAGACCTGCCTTACAAGAGCTCCTGAAGGAAGCACTAAACATGAAAAGGAATGACCGGTATCAGCCACTGCAAAAACATGCCAAATTGTAAAGACCATCGATACTAGGAAGAAACTGCATGAACTAATGAGCAAAATAACCAGCTAATATCATAATGACAGGATCAAATTCACAAATAACAATATTAACCTTAAATGTAAATGGGCTAAATGCTCCAATTAAAAGACACAGACTGGCAAATTGGATAAAGAGTCAACACCCATCAGTGTGCTGTATTCAGGAGACCCATCTCACATGCAGAGACACACATAGGCTCAAAATAAAGGGATGGAGGAATATCTACCAAGCAAATGGGAAACAAAAAAGAAGCATGGGTTGCAATCCTAGTCTCTGATAAAACAGACTTTAAACCAACAAAGATCAAAAGAGACAAAGAAGGCCATTACATAATGGTAAAGGGATCAATTCAACAAGAAGAGCTAACTATCCTAAATATATATGCACCCAATACAGGAGCACCTAGATTCATAAGGCAAGTCCTTAGAGACCTACAACAAGACTTAGACTCCCACACAATAATAATGGGAGACTTTAACACCCCACTGTCAATATTAGACAGATCAATGAGACAGAAAGTTAACAAGGATATCCAGGACTTGAACTCAGCTCTGCACCAAGCGGACCCAATAGACATCTACAGAACTCTCCACCCCAAATCAACAGAATATACATTCTTCTCAGCATCACATTGCACTTATTCCAAAATTGACCACATAGTTGGAAGTAAAACACTCCTCAGCAAATGTAAAAGAACAGAAATCACAACAAACTGTCTCTCAGAACACAGTGCGATCAAATTAGAACTCAGGATTAAGAAACTCACTCAAAACCACACAACTACATGGAAACTGAACAACCTGCTCCTGAATGACTACTGGGTAAATAATAAAATGAAGGCAGAAATAAAGATGTTCTTTGAAACCAATGAGAACAAAGACACAATATATCAGAATCTCTGGGACACATTTAAAGCAGTGTGTAGAGGGAAATTTATAGCACTAAATGCCCACAGGAGAAAGCAGGAAAGATCTAAAATCGACACCCTAACATCACAATTAAAAGAACTAGAGAAGCAAGAGCAAACACATTCAAAAGCTAGCAGAAGGCAAGAAATAACTAAGATCAGAGCAGAACTGAAGGAGTTAGAGACACAAAAAAACCTTCAAAAAATCAATGAATCTAGGAGCTGGTTTTTTTGAAAAGATCAACAAAATTGATAGACCACTAGCAAGACTAATAAAGAAGAAAACAGAAGAATCAAATAGACGCAATAAAAAATGATAAAGGGGATATCACCATCGATCCCACAGAAATACAAACTACCATCAGAGAATACTATAAACACCTCTATGCAAATAAACCAGAAAATCTAGAAGAAATGGATAAATTCCTCAACACATACACCCTTCCAAGACTAAACCTAGAAGAAGCTGAATCTCTGAATAGACCAATAACAGGAGCTGAAATTGAGGCAATAATTGATAGCCTAGCAACCAAAAAAAGTCCAGGACCAGACAGATTCAAAGCAGAATTCTACCAGAGGTACAAAGAGCAGCTGGTACCATTCCTTCTGAAACTATTCCAATCAATAGAAAAAGAGGGAATCCTCCCTAACTCATTTTATGAGGCCAGCATCATCCTGAGACCAAAGCATGGCAGAGACACAACAAAAAAAGAGAATTTTAGACCAATATCCCTGATGAACATTGATGCGAAAATCCTCAATAAAATACCGACAAATCGAATCCAGAAGCAATCAAAAAGCTTATCCACCACAATCAAGTTGGCTTCATCCCTGGGATGCAAGGCTGGTTGAACATATGCAAATCAATAAATGTAATCCATCACATAAACAGAACCAAAGACAAAAACCACATGATTATCTCAATAGATGCAGAGACGGGCTTCAACAAAATTCAACAGCCTTTAATGCTAAAAATTCTCAATAAATTAGGTATTGATGGGACATATCTCAAAATAATAAGAGCTGTTTATGACAAACCCACAGCCAATATCATACTGAATGGGCAAACACTAGAAGCATTCCCTTTGAAAACTAGCACAAGACAGGGATGCCCTCTCTTGCCACTCCTATTCAACACAGTGTTGGAAGTTCGGCCCGGGCAATCAGGCAGGAGAAAGAAATAAAGGGTATTCAATTAGGAAAACAGGAAGTCAAATTGTCCCTTTTTGCAGATGACATGATTGTATATTTAGAAAACCCCATTGTCTCAACCCCAAATCTCCTTAAGCTGATAAGCAACTTCAGCAAAGCCTGAGGATACAAAATCAATGAGCAAAAATCGCAAGCATTCCTATACACCAACAACAGACAAACAGAGAGCCAAATCATGAGTGAACTCCCATTCACAATTGCTTCAAAGAGAATAAAATACCTAGGAATCCAACTTACAAGGGATGTGAAGGACCTCTTCAGGGAGAACTACAAACCACTGCTCAATGAAGTAAAAGAGGACACAAACAAATAGAAGAACATTCCATGCTCATGGATAGGAAGAATCAATATCGTGAAAATGGCCATACTGCCCAAGATAATTTATAGATTCAATACCATCCCCATCAAGCTAACAATGACTTTCTTCACAGAATTGGAAAAAACTACTTTAAAGTTCATATGGAACCAAAAAAGAGCCCGCATTGCCAAGACAATCCTAAGCAAAAATAACAAATCTGGAGGCACCACACTACCTGACTTCAAACTATACTACAAGGCTACAGTAACCAATACAGCATGGTACTGGTACTAAAACATTATGGTTTTGATTCACATTTCTCTGATGACCAGTGATGATGATTATTTTTTCACGTGTCTGTTGGCTGCATAAATGTCTTCTTTTGAGAAGTGTCTGTTCATATCCTTTGCCCACTTTTTGATGGGGTTGTTTGATTTTTTCTTGTAAATTTGCTTAAGTTCTTTGTAGATTCTGGATGTTAGCCCTTTGTTAGACGGGTAGATTGCAAAAATTTTCTCCCATTCTGTAGGTTGCCTGTTCACCCTGATGGTAGTTTCTTTTGCTGTGCAGAAGCTCTTTCGTTTAATTAGATCCCGTTTGTCTATTTTGGCTTTTGTTGCCATTGCTTTTGGTGTTTTAGTCATGAAGTCCATGCCCATGCCTATGTCCTGGATGGTATTGCCTAGGTTTTCTTCTAGGGTTTTTATAGTTTTAGGTCTAACATTTAAGTCTTTAATCCATCTTGAATTAATTTTTGTGTAAGGTGTAAGGAAGGGATGCTGTTTCATCAGTGACAGACTGGATTAAGAAAATGTGGCATGTGTACACCATGGAATACTATGCAGCCATAAAAAGGATGAGTTCTTGTCCTTTGTAGGGACATGGATGAGGCTGGAAACCATCATTCTGAGCAAACTATCGCAAGGACAGAAAACCAAACACTGCATGTTCTCACTCATAGGTGGGAATTGAACAATGAGAACACTTGGACACAGGGCGGGGAACATCACACACTGGGGCCTGTGGTGGGGTAGGGGGAGGGGGGAGGGACAGCATTAAGAGAAATACCTAATGTAAATGACGAGTTAATGGGTCCAGCACACCAACATGGCACATGTTTACATATGTAACAAACCTGCATGTTGTACACATGTACCCTAGGACTTAAAGTATAATAAAATTAATAAATAAATTAATTAATTTTTAAAATCTCCAAAAAAGGACTCTAAAAAAATGTATTACTAAATACTTTTTGAAGTATTTTAAGGGTTTTAAAATACTTTAAAAAAGTATTTTAAAGGTTACTAAAACTAGTAACCATCATTTTGTTAATATCAAATATCCAATGTTCAAAATCTCATAAATGTCATTGTTGATTTTTATGGATATTTTATATGAATCAGGCTCAAAATAAAGACCACTTATTGCTATTGGCAAAAACAAAAACCACAAAACAACAGAAGGAAAAGACCCCCTCCTCCTCTCTATAGCCAAAAGTGGAAAAATGAAGCAAGAAAGTCTTCTGTGTTAATTAAGAAGATGACGCTAGAAAACATCTAGTTTTAGTATTTCTTCTATCCGTGAGATTCTGTGTTTCTCAGAGTTACTTCCTCGTAGGCAGCTGCAGGCATTTTTGGCTGTGGCATGCATTTCTGCCACGTAGAAAGATAAAGCATATGTGTCTGATGAAGAAAATTCAAGTGGGTTCATTGATAATTTGGGAAGCTGGAGTTAGGAGAAGGCTAGAACCCCTTCTAGGGTGGTTGCTTGAATTGGCATTACTGAATTTTAATTCACTTCTCTATAGTAGAAGTTTCCCCTAAATGTATTTTATTCACATACACTCACAAAGTTTTATTCAGTGGAGAAACATTTGTAATATAAACCTGCAAATTTTTCTAGATTTCTTAGAGTCAGTCATCTGCTTGTCAGCATTTCAGGCTAGAAGGCACTACAAATTAACCTGAGATAACTGAAGCAAAATCTCTGTGCTTGGCATAATTGTTAGGAAAAATCAATTTCTTTTGAAAGGTAAACACAGGCCCTGTGAACAGCTGATGGGCCAGCTGAAGTCACTTTTCACTGGATTTGTGATAACTTTCAGATTCATAGGCTAGAAGAAAGCTCAAAGAAAATGGATGGAAAGGTTGGGAAGGCTAAAATAAATTCCTGGTATAGCTAATTTCTATAAAAACAAGTGTTTTTCAGTAAATAGATTCAATCTGCAACAAAATGAGACATTGGTTTGCTAATTTCTTACTGTATCATACTGCAATGGTTTGATCTTTACAAATTGCATTTCCTTTTCATCCACATCCAGCTACATTTGTAGGCCTCACCTTACCTATCCACCCCTGCTGTGATATTTTTGGACTAAGAAGTAACCACCTACTCTCAATCTGAAAGTTTCTTGGTGAAGAAAAACAAAACACAGAAATCCTAAAAGAGAAGTGCCATCACTTTCCCAATGGCAGTTGGACTCACTGTTTAAGTAATATGTAAATGGAAACCGAAACTGTGGGGATGCTGCCTTTAAAACTGCCCAAGAGTGCCCCTTTCCCCATCACTAGCCCACAATGCCTGCATCATGCACATTATGAAGAAGTATGGCAAATGGAGAACAGCTGTGGGAAGATATAAACATAATCCACAAATGGCTCAGAAGAGAAGGTACCAGACAATTGGTCCTGTGATATGTTCTACGGTGCCGATTCTCAGAGGACATTTTTAGAGAATGATTTTGCTTTCTAGCTTGGGCTCACTCATAACAGCCATAAATATACCCAAACTTTGTCTTCATTCAGTCATTGATTCAGTAGATTATTGGAATCATGAGGCCAAAAAGTTTTGTTTTGTTTCATTTTAGTTCTTTAATGGTTCTCAAAGTAGCATCATAAAGAAGCTGCTTTTTTGGACCCTAGCAATGTCTGGAAGAAGCAGTAGCTCTCTTTGACAAATGAAGGAGCTGAGGCCCTGTGAGACAGAACAACTGCTTGGAGTCAACTCTGAAGACAGACAGAGGTCCCCCAGCTCTGAGGACACAGCTGTCCTTGGATTCCAAGATCCCTAACTTGTCGGCCAGCTCTGATTCCTACACACCGCTACTGAGCCACTTAAGTCTCTCTCAGCCTCAGTTTCCAGATCATTGCTTTGTCTACCACACAGGGCCTGAGAGAGATCAGATGAAATTAGATGAGAGAGGGCTCTGGACACTGGTGAAGCCACACATGGGTAAAATGACCTTGAAGGGAGCCCCACGTGCTCACAGGGTGGCCCTTGAGCCACATCAAAGGCTTGCACTTCCTGAGTCATTGTTTGTGTGTTTATGGATGAGTTCCTGTAGCGGTCACCCAGCCCCAGTGCCCTGATAGCTCTGAAGCATGCGCTCCAGGGTGGGGCCAGCATCACGAGACACCGAGGGGAGATGGGAGGGTTGTGGGGGTGGGAGGAAAAGCCTTGTTTACTCCCAGAGAGCTTGCCTGCCAGGCTTGGGGCCAGGATATCTATGCACCTTAGGTCAGGTGTTGCACCCAGAAAAGGCTGCAGAGGGCAGCACCTCGGGAAGAAATCCAGGCACTTGCCTTCTAGCCTAACCCTTCCCCATTCCCATTCCACACCTTCACTGTGCTTCAGCTGTTCTTCTTCTAAGTGAGCCTGTAATGCAGAGAAAAGAGCACCGATAGGTTCTAGTCCCTGTGTTTATCCACTGACTTACTGTCATGTCCCTTACCTTCCCTGGGACTCAGTTTCCTCATCTGCAAAATTGGGATACTACTTCATCTATATACTGCCACTGAAATTTTGTGAGGGTCAGTTCAGACCAAACTCATGTATGTGTATCTCTCTGTGTGTGCATGACTGTGCATGCAAGTGCACAGGTGAGAGACAAACAGAGACAGAAAGAAACTGAGAGAATGAGAGTGAGAGAGGCCAGGCACAGTGGCTCATGCCTGTAATCCCAGCACTTCAGCAGGCTGATGCGGGAGGATTGCTTCAGTGCAGGAGATCAAGAACAGCCTGGGCAACATAGCGAGATGCTGCCTCTACAAAATAAATAAAATAAAATAAGAGAGTGAGAGAAAACCTTGAGAAGTGTAACACCCTATGCAAATACAAAGTATTTTTTTTCTTTTTCTTCCTTTTTTTAAATTTATTTATTTATTTATTTTTTTATTATTATACTTTAAGTTTTAGGGTACATGTGCACCTTGTGCAGGTTGGTTACATATGTATACATGTGCCATGCTGGTACATTGCACCCACTAACTCGTCATCTAGCATTAGGTATATCTCCCAATGCTATCCCTCCCCCCTCCCCCCACCCCACCACAGTCCCCAGAGTATGATATTCCCCTTCCTGTGTCCATGTGATCTCAATGTTCAATTCCCACCTATGAGTGAGAATATGCGGTGTTTGGTTTTTTGTTCTTGCGATAGTTTACTGAGAATGATGATTTCCAATTTCATCCATCCAGCCATGAACTCATCGTTTTTTATGGCTGCATAGTATTCCATGGTGTATATGTGCCACATTTTCTTAATCCAGTCTATCATTGTTGGACATTTGGGTTGGTTCCAAGTCTTTGCTATTGTGAATAATGCCGCAATAAACATACGTGTGCATGTGTCTTTATAGCAGCATGATTTATAGTCATTTGGGTATATACCCAGTAATGGGATGGCTGGGTCAAATGGTATTTCTAGTTCTAGATCCCTGAGGAAACGCCACACTGACTTCCACAATGGTTGAATTTTTTTTTTTTTAGACAGAGTCTCACTCTGTTGCTGAGGCTGGAATGGAGTGATGCATTCTCAGCTCCCTGCAACCTCTTCCTCCCAGCTTCAAGCGATTTTCATGCCTCAGCCTCCCGAGTAGCTGGAACTACAGGCATGCACCACCACACCCAGCTAATTTTTGTATTTCTAGCAGAGAAATACAGTTTCGCCATGTTGGCCAGGCCGGTCTGAAGCTCATGGCCTCAAATGATCTGCCCGCATCAGCCTCTCAAAGTTCTGGGATTATAGGCATGAGTCACTGTGCCTGGCTGCAAAGTATTTTCTTTAAAGCTGACATTATCTGAGCTTTGGAAAATTCAGAGACCCCAATGGATATAATGTGATATTTTTTGTTCCAAGGTTCCCTGAGCTCAGTAGAGATCTTGCCTGAGTTGTCCTTCGGATATTCTAGGATACCCATTTTACAGATGTGTGGAGGGAGATAGAGGTAGGACCAAGGAGATTGGCAGGATGTGTACTCATTTTCCAAACCACTTCCAAACGATGGCCAAGAAGAAATGCAATGAAGGAATGCACTCTGATTGATCCCTGGCATAGTTAAACAATGGCTCTTAATGCAGTCTGGATGGGGGCAGTGTGGGGTGGGGGTGGATTGAGTGCTTACTACATGCTAGGTGCTCACCATCCTGTTGACAACTGCTGATGAGTATAAATTGCCTTCCTCAGAACAGGCAGGCTTTCTTGTCCTGTCAAATGGGATAGTTTAGCAAAGTGAGCCAGAACTCAAAACTGGAAAAAATATCAAGCTTGTTTTCTAAAGTTTGAATCAAACCATATATTTTTTTTCCCTTGAGTTACAAAGGAAAGCTAAGTTACAGCTTCTCACTTATCCCCAACATCCGCTAATAGATCCATTCCAATATGAATCAACTTATTCCTTTTTTCACAATAACTAGTGTACTATAAAAAAATCTAAATTCCATCATATTATCTGAACTGACTGGATTTGGTCTGAGGCCAAGGTTGTGCCACAGAAGAAAAGGCCACACCCAATTAGGACATCACCAGAGTTTCAAGGTCTTTGTCTGAGCCCAGTCAGGAGAAGCAACCAGAAAGCTTCTGGCCCACATCTGGAGCAACTCACAATACTGATGCTTCTTTAGGGGAGGAAGAGAAAAGGACAGCTTTCTGGGACATACACTAATAATACCTAACCACTTACAACCCAGATAGGATTGGCATGTCTGATGGAGTCAGGACATCCCAACCAGGGCCACATTATACAGATTAAACAGGATTAGGAAGTGCCACAGCCAGCATGCCAGCATCCTGCTTCACCCACTTTGCCCCTTAGTGGGCCTGTGGGTGAGCCAGCGTGGGCTGAGAGACCTGGTTAGCTCGGGTCATTCATGGCAGCATCTCAATTAATTTTGTCATTGAAGTCACCCTTTGGTCATCAGCTTGGAGGCAGCAATGGCTGACAGTGAAAAGAGACCTTGGTACTTGTTATGGGTTTAACGTCTTTTGTCCCCCTGGCTCCTAAAAGATATGTTGAAGTCTTAACCCCCCAGTACCTCAAAATGTGATCTTATTTGGAAAGAGCCAAGAACGCCAAAGATTGCCTTCAAACCCAGAAGCTGGAAGAGGTGACAAAAGTTCCCCTGAAGGTTTCAGAGGGAACATGGCCCTGCTGACACCTTGATTTCAGACTTAGGGTTTCCAGAACTGTGGAATGATACATTTCTGTTGTTTTAAGACACCAGCTTGAAGTACTTGAGGTAACAGTCTTAGAAAACCAATACAGCACTTTATGTGAACATACTGTTTCCAAAGATAGAGCTGAACAAGCTTCAGCAACAACCTTCAGATCCTCAGCCCTCTACTGCAGAAGCACATGCAACTGGGCAGTGTGCACGTTAGAAGGATGCTTTCCCAGTCGCTCCTGACTATCCAGCACAACATCGGGTCAGACCCTGAATGCCGAGTCAGACAGTCAACAAAGTAGGTTGGTGCCGGCACTGTGCTAGCAGCTAGGGGTATATGGTGAGTAAGACGATGAACAAAGTCTTGGCATTGGTGAGAGCAGAGAGAAGCCTGAAGAATGAAAAGGTGGGGCAGAAATCAGCACCTTGTTCTTGGTCAAAACCTTCACCAGAGGTAAAAGGTCATGAGCTATCCATTCTGCTGGGTAGTCTAAGTTCTTGATCATGGAGCACTTGTCATTCACTGGATACTTAGGATAAAATCTAGAGTCCTCATCCTGGCCCTTGGCCTCCCTCAGGTCAGGGCCCTGACTGTCTTTCCAGAAGCTTCTCTCACTCTTTCCTCTCCTCACAACCTTCACTCTAGCCATACTGGTCCCCTAATGCCTCCATCATTTACAGGCTGGTCCCTCTGCCTACAGATGTTTTTCTCTTCCTCTTTGCTTGGAGAATGCCACTTCTCAGGTCTTAGTCCCAACAAATCTGACCCCACAGACCAGGTCAGATCCCCTGGTACATGTTCTAATTGCACCCAGGAATTCTAGTCACAGGCCACATTCTACATGTCATTAATTAACATCTTTGTTCTCTTATCACCTATATGCTTCTAAGGGCCAAGACCAGGTCTGGCCCAAGGAGAAATGCCAACTCCAGCCTCAGCTCACAGAAACTGCTGCTGCCCCCCAAAATGGTGAAGGTCTTTATTTCATGACACACCTTTCTCCTCTGGCAGCACAAAACAAAACAAAACAAGACAAAAACAGAACCCTGCTAGGCAATTTGAGTCTGTGCCCAGCCTCTAGCCCATATGTGGCTTGTAAAACTGGAGAAAGTGCCTGTTGCTAAGGCCTCCCAGGGTTTCATCTGGCTACCCTGGGAGGCTAGGTTTCCCAGCCCACTCTGGAACCCAATCAATGTATAGAGGCCCCAGATTCTGGGCTGGGTCCCTGCAAGAACTCACGGTGTGTCCTGGGTCACTCAGAGTGTGCTGAGCTGGGCCAGCCCTGGTCTGGCTTCCTGGCCTTCTGTTGATGAAAAAGCCAAATTCTGTAAAACATTTGAAGAGATTTATTTTGAGCCAAATGTGAGGACCATGACCCATAACACAGCCTCAGAAGTTCCTGAGAACATGTACCCAAGGCAGTTGGGTTACAGCTTGGTTTTACACATTTTAGGGAATCATAAAATGTCAATCAATACATCTAAGGTATGCATGGGTTCAGTCTGGGTGGGGAAAAGGGAGGTTTACAGGTTATAGGTGGATTCAAAGATTTTCTGATTGGCAATTGGTTGAAAGAGTTAAGGTAATATCTAAAGACCTGGAATCAATAGAAAGGAGTGTCTAGATTAAGATAAGGGGTTGTGGAAACCAAGGTTCTTATTATGTAGATGAAGTCTCGAGGTGGCCATTCTTAAAGGAATAGATGGCAAATGTTTCCTATTCAGACTTTTAAAAGGTGCTAAACCTCAACTAATCTCTTCAGGATCAGAAAAAGACCTGGAAAGGGAAGAGAATTCTCTACACAATGTAAATTTCCCCCATAAGAGACAACTTTGCAGGGCCATTTCAAAATATGTCAAAGAATATATTTTGGAGTGCAATACTTTATTTTCTTTAAGGGCCTGCTATTTGTCATGTGATGCTATACTAGATGTCTGACTAGAGTCAGGTTGGAATTCAGTATCTCGTTGCTACAGAGTATGTGTTGTTAATGTTAAGATCTCTGTTTTCATGTTAATGCTGGTCAGTTGTGCCTGAATTCCAAAGGGAGGAGGGTATAATTGTTATAGTAGATAGTCAGACATAAACAGGATAGGAAATGGCTATCCCCGTCCCCACAAAGGAATGTCACGTGACCATCAGGTGATGGTCAGGTGGTTGTTAAACTGACTCTCTAAAATAATATTTGGTCACAGCTGGTGCCAGGGAAAGGCTGTCTCCCAGTAGATAGAAAACATCTGAAGCTGGTGATTAGCAGCTTCCGATAAGATCTCAGGAGTTGGGTGAGGGGAACCAAGCATGCACACTAAGAGGCAAAATGGCAGAGTTTACCTGGTATATGACCTTATAGGAACCCTCGACTAGTAAGGGAAGAGAGCCCCAAGTGAGCATGTGCACAACTTAAGTAAACTCACAGCATGCAACCCTTCCCAAGCACTGGCATGCTACTGTGCATGCAGACAGCCCGCTCCAAGGGAAGAATCAGGGGAGATGCAACCCCCAGAAGCATGCCAATGTATAAAGCCCAAATCAAAGGTTGGACCACATAGTTGAATCTCTCAAGTAGCCCTCTTAGCCCTCTTCCAGGTGTACTTTACTTCCTATCGTTCCTGTCTAAAACCTTTTAATACATTTTCACTTCTGTTCTAAAACTTGCCTTGGTCTCTCACTTTGCTTTATGCCCCTCAGTCAGATTCTTTTTTCTGAGGAGGAAAGAATTGAGGTTGCTGCAGACTCATACAGACTCACCACTGCTAACATACTTTGGTGTTGCATGACTTGGATATGTTTCCTGGTGGTAAGATACCTCTATGCCTCGCCTTCTTCAGCTGGAGCATGCACAGTAAGAGACAAAATGGTGAAGTTCACTTGGTATATGACCTTCCTCTAGGAATACTCAACTGGTAAGGGAAGACCGCCTCAAGTGATCATGTGCACAACTTCAGTAAACACACATGCATGTGGACAGGCCACCCCAAAGAAAGAATCCGGGAAGAAGAGATGCAACCCTTCCTACCTGGAAGCATGCCCATTCATAAAACCCAAGTCAAAGGTCAAACCATGCACTTGAATCTCTCAAGTTGCCCATACATGTCTGGAGGCATTCAACCCTGTATACAGTTTCCTTCTCCCCATTCACTCTCCTGCTTACTAACCAACCCCCAGAATGATTCCTCTCGACCCCAGTGGCTCTGCTTCCTCCAGCTTATTTCTCAGCTCACTCTGACAGGTGGCTCATGAGGGTGGGAATGACCTTGGAATCTGCACCAAGTAGACCTGAGACTCTAATGGCCCTCCTGTGCAGGAGGCTCATGAAAATGGCAGAGCTAAAGCCTAAAACTGTTCAATGTCTGGGATTTCCTCTGCTTTTTCAGCTGAAATCAGTTCTTTCCCAAAAACCTGCCTTGCCTATTCTCTTGGTTTCTCTGTATGTATTCCAAAATGGCCTTGCACACCCACCAGACTGTCCACCTAAGGGGCAAGTCTGCCTTTTCTGCTTTCACTTGGCATGCTGCGTGACTTCCTTCTCTGCCCTGAAAACACTCCCTGTTATGCATGCACTCATGGCTTTTGCTGCATTTGCATGGCAGCAAAGACATGGTCTCCCTTGCAGATATCCCCTGAGATTTGTGCTGTTTTTACCCTACCAGCTCAGATGACCTCCAACCCTTCACCTGTCTGCTGGAATATTGCTGGGACAGACACTCATCAGAAGCCCAGCTCTGCCAGCTCCTTATGACTTACCATATGCTTTTGGTTCCTGTTACACATCAGGGCTAAGTTCTCCTGTGGCTTTTGAAGCAGTTTGTCTGACTGAATAGGGCCTCACTCTGGGACCCTTTGAAGACCCCCATCTGGATTTTTTGAGTTAGCACCCACTCCTTTGGGAGGAGAAGATATTCTTCCTTTGCCATTTGTGAGCCCTTATCCCAGGGCCCAAGTCCTCTGGAGATTCCTCTTGATGTCAACAGGGTAAATAAATGTCACCCTCTGGAATCCAAGGGCTGCTGTTTTTATAAGTATATGAAGGCTTTTCATGAACATTCCTCTTGCTTCCTCCCACTTCCTCCTGTAGCCTCTATTTCTCTAATCACTTCCACACCCTTCTCAGTATGTATCAAGACCTTCAAGATCATATTCAAAGGGAGGGAAGTCCATCCCTCTTGCAGCAGTTAGCTGAGAAACAGGCTTCTTGTTTACCTAAAGAACATGGGAAATGGGAATCTGAGAAAAGAGATAATCATTTTGTTGTGAGAATGCTCCATGTGAGAGTCACTATAATGTCATGAAGACAAGGATATAGGCTGGCCCAAGGCTTCAGGTACAAGAGACCTATAGGACAGAGATGAAGTTTGGTCCCAGGCTAACAGATTACCATTAGAACAGAGATGAAGGCAAGATTAGGGGTATATGGCAATACCAGTTCATTCCAGAACCCCAATGATGAATAGGGGCCCTCCTGTTCACTCCAGTACCTATTCTGTTCTCAGGTGGGTAATTGTGATGAGATGGGACCTAGGTTAAGGGTACATGGTAAGAGCAGTTCATTCTGTAACCCTAAGGATGAATGGGGGATGCCCTGTTCAGGGTAATAGGAAAGTAAGAGGTGATGTCATCTTTTTCCTTTTTCCTTTTTTTCTCCTCTGTTCTCTTTTTTGCAGATGGATAATCATGTCTCCCTACCATAGGACATTCCCCTTGGGTGCATCCTGAAGAACTGGGAAAAGTTTGATCCCCAAAATCTTAAAACAAAACCTAGGCTCCTTTGTAATACTGTCTGGCCTAAAAATTAACTGGGATAAAATTATAAAAGTCAGCCTTAGAATTTAGTGTCCTTATGCAGGAAATCCTCAAATTAGCCTCCTCAGTCTTTTATAATCAAGATCAGGATGAGGACAGGGCTAAGAAAAAGGATAAATGCAGGAACAAGAGGCAGGCTCAACTATTGGCTTTTCTGCAAGCCTACCAATCCCCTCCACATTGGCCTCAGAATACCCTCCCAGGTAACTGCCATCAGTGCAGGAAGCCAGGCCACTGGAACGCAAACTGCCCCAATGGGATAAATGAAAGGCCCACATGGCTTGCCCCCTCTGCCACAAGCTTGGACACCGGAATCAGTACTGTCCTGAAGGCTGAATGTTCCCCAGGACAGAATCCCAACCCCTGGTGGCTTTGAGCTGAAGGGGCTCTCCACTCCAGCAGGCTTCCAAATCAGACATTGTCATCAACAGGACAAGGGAAGCTCTGGAGGCAGAAAGTAAAATGATAAATCTCCATTTTGGTCTCAAGCACTGCCTACTCTTTGCTAATCTCCTTCTCTAAGCAACTGTCCTCCAAATTCTGTTGGGTAATGGGGGCAAATGCCATACCCTCCCTTCAAAAAAAAGATTCACACCCCCTTTATATTACTTAAAGGACCAATTAACATTCTCCCACCAGTTCTTGGTAAAGTCTATATACTCCACGTCTCTTTGGGGCAAAAATATACTTTCAAGATGGATACCTACTTAATATTTACCCAACATTTGAATTCATCTTTCCTATTTGTCCGGGGAAAGCTACCTAAATCTTTAATCAATAACTTCAGCCTAGACAATCCTACCTCAAGGGTTTAGAAATAGCCCACGCTTATTCATACAAGCTCTAGCAAAACTAACTGAACAATCTTTTGAGGGGGGATAACTTCCACAGTATATACATAACCTCCTCATCTGCACCTCCTTCACAGGACTCACACAGCAACGTGCAATACAAATCTTGACTTTCTAACAGAAGGAAAATGACTTGTCTAATCCAGAGGTTATAAAGGTAAAGGGGTAGTGTTGGTAAGGAAGGTTATAAAGAAAATAGATATTATATTAAAATGATACATTCTTGTCCTAAACTAAAAATGACTGTTTTTTTTAAAAAAAGAGAGATGTTTAGAATAAGTCAGAAAGTCCAAGTATGTCATAGATAGTAATAAAAAGATTTGTGAAAAGGAATTTATAAAATAAATGTTATACAGTTTTAAAGGTTATTAGTTCTACTAACTGATTTAAGGTCATAAACTGCTACTATGACCCTTAACTGTACAACTTGCCTGCTTTAAAACTAGGTAAGACCTAAGAACATAGAGTTAGCCATGCCCCCTAGCTATGCTGGAAAGAGTCAGACCTTATCTGCACTTTATCTGGTGTCCTTGGCTCCAAACCTAGTACATAATTAGAATCATTTACTTAGCAGGTTTTTCACCAAAAGTTAAATTGGCTAAGAGTTAACAGTGTATCATGTACTTGAGGCTACTGGAAAAACAGTTTTACATGCAAGGCATGTAAGGAAAGTAGAATGTGCTTTTGGCAAAAGATAATAAAAAGGCATGGGAATATAAATTTTTGGGCTAGTTTAGAGAGTTAAAGGATTGTTTTAAGTTAGATAGGATAAAGCTGAAGATTTGAGGAAGTTGTGGAAGATTTATAAAAGATTAATCTTCTAAAAGAAATTATGTGTGTGAATATATTAGCTAAAATTAAAGGAGTATTATGTAGTCTATCCATATATTGAACATTGAAATAAAAGCACAACCTGATTTTTCTTAAAGCATTATTCTGCACTTCAACAGAAAATTGTAAGAGGCTTATGAACTTATGGTCAAACTGGTTAAGATTGGATAGATTTGTCTACTAGATTTTTATTAAGAACTGGGTTTGACATCAATAGTACACTAATGCAAAGGCACAATTTGGCTTTCTTTGGATTGTACTGGTATAAATGTGTTATTGGCATGCATTCCAAAATTATGCAAAACTCCTATAATTCTGATATGATTTAGTATACAAGTAATAATTATAATTATTAATGTTAAATTATTGTGTGATACCAAGGTAACAAATTTCCTTGTCAATTGTATCTTTGACTATGGCTACCCTAAGACTTTTTGTCATCCATGAACAATTGTTATGTTGTTTTAATCATCTTTAAAAGCTGGTTTTCTAATCAGGTATAGGACTCTAACAGGTACTTTTAAATGCAGGTTTCTGATAATTTTGGAGACTGTGACATTAGAATAGGAGAAAAACTTTCAGGACTCTCATGGAGAGCTGAAATGTTTATGAATATCAAGCAGAATAAGAGTTAACTGCACGGACTGAACTAATAGAAGACTAAAATAATACTTTTATGAACTTTTGGTTAAAACGTTGCTAATCCTTTGGTTTTCAAAACCAAGAAAACTTTTCTTTTGAGCTATTTCCAGCTTTTAACAATAGAGTAAAGTGTACTCCTATAAACAAAATTTGGAGAAATTTCTCCAAAATTTGGAAACTATGAGTATTCTTAACTTATGGAAATATAGTTATTTGTATAAGTGCAATAAGAATCTGTTTTCTTTTGTAGCAGGACACAATTGGAGTCACTGGTTATTTTACCAAGGCTTTAACTGGAATGACATGCTTTCCATTAAGGAATCAAATTTGACTTATAGTTTTCCCTTGGGAAAACTGGCCTCATACCTTGCCTATACACTCCCTGTACAGAATTCCTGACTCGTGGTAAGTAAAGAATGTCAGTTTTTTACAGGCCCAGGAGGCCAAGTTATCTTGGGACCTCAAGAGGAGAGAAATTTACCCAATTTATACAGGCATTTGATGGCACAGTCCCATGGCTGGACTGAAGGCTTTAAAAAATCTTACCTAAGATGTCTTATGAAATGAAGTTCCATCAAAGCCAATTTAAAAAGGAACCTATATGGCAAATAACTATTCTTGCTGTGCTTTATGCAAATAATTGGGCAAGTATAACAAGACAAAAGCTATTTTGCAAACAAATTAGTCCTATCATAATTTGTTTTTAATAAAAATGAGGACTGGAGAGAGAAAAATTATTTTTTAAAGACCATGGTATGCCTGTTATTAGATTCTAGTCTAATCAGTTGTTTTTGAGTTTTTGTCTGTAATTTAGACTAACCCTGCTTATTCCTGGAACCAACCAGTGACTCTGGCTGCAGCTCAGATGAAACAAGGTGGATCAATATTCTAATTATGGGCATATATTGGAATTGGCTAGCAACCCCATGCACCCAAGTCTTAGCAGGCATGATTATAGCCACCAGCCACCTGGGCATGTGGGCAGCCTCAGGATTTTTTGGAGCTGTACTCAACCCCTTATTTTATTTTGCCTCTCACCTTCAGACCATCAAGCTCCAGATGATCCTCAGTGAGGGATGCCATACTCTCAATATTCAAGAGTCACTCTTCTACAGAGAATTCCTAGGCTGCCCATCAGAGGAACATGACAAAGGTGAAATCCTGCCCCTGTCTCTCTTGGACCTGGATGGATACCACTTCCATCAACCCATAGAGCCACCCTGCCCTGACATCTAGCAAGAGGCCAAGACCCGCAAAACAACCACCACTATCCCTCTATCACCAGGAAGCAACTACAAAAAAGTGATCCTTATCCATTTTCCCCAAAGAACTGGGGTCTTGGACTCTTGAAGAGGGAAATGTTACAGTAGGTAGGTAGTCAGACATAAGCAGGGCAAGAGAGTCCTCTCCCCACCAGGAATGTCAGGTGATCATCAGGTGATAGTCAGGTGATTGTTAAACTGTTTCTCTAGAATAACAATTGGTTGCAGCTGGAGCCAGGGAAAGGCAGTTTCCCAATAGACAGAAAATACATGAAGCTGGTGATCGGCAGCTTCTGATAAGATCTCAGGAGTTGGACAAGTGGACTCAAGCATGCACACTAAAAGGCAAAATTGCAGAGTTAATCTGATATATGACCTTCCTGTAGGAACACTCAACTTGTAAAGGAAGAACGCCTCAAGTGAGCATGCACACAAGTTCATTAAAAGCACTGTGCATGTGGTCCCTCCCAAGTGCTGGCAGGCCAGACTGCCCAGGCCAGAGGAAGAATCAGGGGAGAAAAGATGCGACCCCCTGGAAGCATGCCAATGTATAAAACCCCAAGTCAAAGGTCAAACCACGCACTTGAATCTCTCAAGTTGCCTGTGTGGCCCTCTTACAAGTGTACTTTATTTCCTATTGTTCTTGCTCTAACACCCTTTAATAAACTTTCACTTCTGCTTTAAAACTTGCCTTGGTCTCTTACTTTGCTTTATGCCCCTCAGTTGAATTCTTTCTTCTGAGGAGGCAAGAATTGAGGTTGCTGCAGGCCCGTACAGATTCACTGCTGCTAACATAATCAAACATGCCTGACCCTTGCCTTCCCGTCATGGCCCGAACTAGTTTTTCAGATTTACTTGGGAATCTCCTTGGCCAAGAGGCAGGGGGGCTCCATTTAGTAGTTTGGTAGGCTTAGAATTTTATTTTTGGTTTACACTCCAAACACCAGGTTTGCCTGATGTTTGTACAGTGATGTACAATGTCCCTTCCTGAGTGGTGTCACTCTGGAGTTTATTTCTGCTTCGTCCAGGACACCATAAATGTGAACACACATTGAGACTCTACAGTCCTTTAAGGGTAACAATAACAATGATTTTATCAGATTATATAATCTTCTGTTTCACGTGTGTAGATCTGAGATCACACTGCCTGCAGGGGCTCTGCTTTTTCTTCTTTCCTGTGGGAAAGATGCTAAAGCATGAAAAGATGCAAACACATAAAAACAACAAAAAAAGTATGCTAAGGGAGCCCAGGGAAGTGAAGGTCCACACCACAACACCACGCACTCAGAGAAAGGGACATCAAAGCTGATCCTGCAGGATGGATATTCCTTTATCAGACAATGGGGTGGGCAGTGGGGTACGGTTGTGGAGGTGGGGAAGGGTGCCCTAGGTGGAGAGAATGGCATGTGCAAAGACGAGTAGGGCAGGGAACAGCAGGCAACACTCCCACAGGTAGGAGTTCAGGTGGATGGCCAGCAATGGCTAAGGAGGTTGGTGGGAATGGAGAATCCTGGGTGTTCATATAGAGGCAAAGTGATAGTCCCTTCCCACACAGTGATAGCCCTTTCCACCATCATCAGGTCAGTGCTGGTGCAAAGAGATGGAAGTGTCCAGGGCAGGGATTACAAACTCTCAAACATCACAGAGGCTGGTCAGAAACATAACGCAGGTAGGAAGTAAGGAGCCTGAGGCCCACCAGAAGAGCTTGTGCCCTCTCCAAAACTCAAGAGTGGCCAGACAGCCGGGCACAGTGACTCACGCCTGTAATCTCAGCACTTTGGGAGGTGGAGGTGGGCAGATCATTTGAGGTCAGGAGTTCGAGACCAGCCTGATCAACATGACAAAATCTTGTGTCTACTAAAATTACAAAATTAGCCAGGTGTGGTAGCACACCCCTGTAATCCCAACTACTTTGGAGCCCGAGGCAGGAGAGTCACTTGAACTGGGGGGGCAGAGGTTGCAGTAAGCCAAGATTGCACTATTGCACTCCAGCCTGGGAGACCCTGTCAAACACACACACACACACACACACACACACACACACACACATACACACAAGAGTGGTCAGACAGAGCTCCTGATGCTTTATGAGAAGCCAGAATTGCAGGGGTTTTATGTGAAATTTCCTGGATTGCAAAGCACTGGGTGTACCAAATAAACACCACTGGGGGCTGTAGCTGGCCCACAAGGCACTGGCTGGTGGTGACTCCTGCTAATAAAGGTAACTCCTTCCATGATCCGCCTTGAACATTGGGCTCTGCAATGCCACAGCTGCCCTAGTGACCCTTGGCAGGCACCTTCTTGAGTGATTCCAAATAGTTATGACCTGTCCTTGGTGAGAGAGGAGGGGCAGGTCTCTTGAGGGTAGTGAAGCAGTACAAATGTTTGCATTTCTCAGGGATGCAATCGATGTAAACCAGATAAATGAAACCACAGAAAGTCAGTAGCTGAGGCAGGGATGAAATGTGTCCCCGTGGCCTCTTAAGCAATTAGCTTTGATGTCCCTGGCAGCTGCTGAATTCCAAAGGCAATTCCAGGGGCTTTGATTTGAAGCCAGTCTCTTAAGACCCACTTAAAGGCAGGGGGTACCCAGAGAAGAGCAAACCCAGGGTGGGTGGTGGTGATGGGGGTGGGGAGAGGGAGTGGTTGTTCCTGTCCTCAATGTCTGCAGAGTTGCTATGTAGAAGGGTGAGTACAAACTTCTTTTGTGTAGATCTAGGAGCTAAACCCAGGGCCAGCTGGTGGAAGCTACAGGGAGGCAGATCTTGACCTAAAGAACTCCCTAACAATGAGAGATGTCTGAAGGTGGAATCAGTTGCGTTTGGAAGTAGCAAACACTTCGTCATGGGAGGCCTTCAAGCACATGGGAAATGGCCACTCTTAGGGCTACAATGGTAAAGAGAAGTGTTGTTTTGGATAAACTCTGAAGTCCTTTCTATCCTAGAGATTTTGTGATTTATCTTATTAGCAATATTTCATGGTGTTCAACTGACCCGTTTATTTGGGGTCTTGACTTTTTATTTTAAGAAAATGTGCAGAAACTTCAGAACTCTCTTTCTACTCCGGAAATGAGACTCTCTGCACGTAAAATATAACAAGTGGCAGGTAATCCAGAACCATGATACTTTAGAGGCACAGGTAATAGGGAGTGACTGGCAGTGGCTTCATCTGTGTCTGCCTGGGAAGAGTTAAAGTATTATATAAGCCAGACTTCTGAAAAACGGGAAGGGGAATGGACAGATGGGATACGGGAGACTGGAATTAATAAGAAGTCAAATGGCTGAGTCATTGAACTAATTTCAAAGTCTGAAGGTAACAGGAAAACAGAAAATCAGACAATTGGAAAGTAATGAAGGTTTTGTAAAGACCCCAGGTGGCCAAAACAACAGGAGAAGTCAGGAAAACGTAATTACAACACTGATGTGAGCCCTCTGAGCCAGACCATCCTGTCTCTGGCCCTCCCCTCTCACCCGAGTCCTGCCTGGTCAGTAGCAGCTCCCCACTGCAGGACACAGTTAGAGGGGTGGGGGGCTCACCATTCACTCAAAGCACTCTCGGGTAATGCCGCCAGTGATAGTGTCTGTAAGTCCACCATGGCCAGTCACTCCCTCTTGGTAAGAATCTGTCTCCCCGTGACAAAGAAAGTCAGAACAGATGTGAATGCTAGGAATTGTTTCACCCATTACACAGAGGGAAAAACTGTGGCCCGAAGAGTGGATCGTGTGTAAAGTGCAATGGGGAGGATTGAGGTATATGAGACTCAATTCATTTCTACCTCCTGAATTAACAGAAAAGGCCCATACTGGCAAAGTTAGAGCTTTAGCTTGTGCTTCTGCTTTAAAAAGCATCATCTCTGGGGATGAATGTAGACAGTCTCTCAAACTCAATAACTGGCTTTTGAGGAACAGAGATTTCTCATGTTCCACATTCTAAAAAGCCACCTTTTTGTTGACAGGGTGAGGTTTGAGGACGTACTTAAGAACCATCAAAATCTGTGCTCTCTCCTGTTCACAGACTGATGAAGAGAGCCAGCGGCCTTTGAAGCTGCTCGTGTTTGTCTGATTTTAAGAGGCAGAGAAAGGCCCAAAGATGGTTTCCCAGCAGGATGGGACAAGTCAGCAAGTTTCCTGAGCCAGGGCAATCGTATCTCTAACGAACTAGAGAGAGAATGTTCATTTAGTCTTTAAATTTATTTCTTTATATTTTTTTTTAGAATCAGAAAATGTCCCCAGATGGTCCTTGTGTGATGGACTTTAGAAAGTCATTACAAACACTTTTGTTTTCTGGCCAATCTTTCTCCTCCTGCCTGGGAGAAGAGCCTCAACTCTTCTCACACTCTCCCCTCCTGGGTGGCTCCAGGGCCTCCTGACCAGTCCCTGCTTCACCCCTGCCCACCGCTCTACACACGGCAGTGGGACAGACCCTTTAAAATACAAACTTGATCACACTACCGAGCTATGAAGTCTTCAGTGGCTTTCCCACTGTCTTGAGAGTAAAAGCCATCCTCCTTACAGTGGCCAAAAGGTGGCTTAAAATCAGGTCACTGACACTTCTTCATTCACTCTCATCTGCCCTTGCTCACAACTTGGGTGGCACTGCCCTTCTTTCTCGGCTCAGGGCGCCTTCCTCCAACCCTTACCAGTCCTTTTGAACCTGGTGCTGCCTCTTCCTAACTCACTCCTCCCTGGCTCTCTGCAGGGCTGAGCTCAACTCAAGAGAACTTGAAGAGGACATTTCTGAGCACCTGGCCACAGATCCTTCCCAGACAATCGGAGTCTAACTCACCACTCTGGGGACTTGTCAATATCTATCCACATCTTACTTATTTCCTTGTTTATTTGTTTCTAGACTTTTCTCCTGGCTTGACTTTAAGCAGGAATCTCATCTGTATTATTTACCACTATAGCCCTGGCTCATAGAATTGTTCCTGATACATAGGGATGACTCAAGAAATGCTTTTGAGAGGGAAGGAAGGAAGGGAGAGAAGGAGGGAAGAAAGAAGATAGGAAGGAGGGAGGAAGGGAAGGAGAGAAAAAGAAAGATTGGAGGGAGAGAGGAAATCTCTCTCTCTCTCTCTCTCTCTCTTTTTTTTTTTTAACATATTCTAGTTGGTTTTTAGCCAGAGAAGGGTGATACTTAAAACAAGAGACTTAACCATGGACTTTATGGCCTAAGAACAACAATGTTTGGGACAAGGTAAGAATAGCTGGGGACTCCTCAAGTCTCACCTTGCAAGCAGCCAGCTGTGTTGCCTAGGGGTGGGACAGACAGATGCTAGGGAAGGCAAAGGGAGCCACCAGTTGGGGCAGAAGGGAATCAGTGGAGGACCTGGGAAATCTTAGCCCTTATAGGTTTGCAGGACCTCTTCCTGCTTGGGAGACTCCAGCATCTGCCTTTCAATGAATAGCATCAGGACTAGCATTGCCCCCAAGGAACCTGGAATCAATGAGAGGGTTGGTGGAGTGTAAATGTTTGGGCCAGAGAAAGTGAGCACCTTGGAGACGGAGCTCCGAAGTTCTGCAAATGCAATATCTTCATTTAAAGACTGGTCTGTAAGTGGCACTCCGCACACAGTTGTGCAATTTATAGATGATGGCATGGGGTTCTGGAGGCTGGCTCCAGGGAGATGAGGTTGCATGGACCTTAGGCATTGCAGACCACAAGACTCCTATGGATGGAAATAAAAGCAGCTACAGCCACCAGCAGAGAAATCTCTTCTTGTTTGTTTGTTTGTTTGTTTTGTTTTGTTTTGAGACAGAGTTTCATTTTTGTTGCCCAGGCTGGGGTGCAAAGGCATGGTCTTGGCTCACTGCAACCTCTTCCTCCTGGGTTCAAGCGATTCTCCTGTCTCAGCCTCCCAAGTAGCTGGGATTACAGGCACCCGCCACCATGCCTGGCTAATTTTTTTGTATTTTTAGTAGAGATGGGGTTTCACCATGTTGGCCAGGCTGGTCTCGAACTCCTGACCTCAGATGATCCACTCACCATGGTCTCCCAAAGTGCTGGGATAGAGAAATCTCTTCTAAGCAAGAGAGTTGTGCACACAGCACTGGACAATTTGCCGGGTGGGGCATGAGCTGGCTAAGGCATTGGGAAGGGGCTGGTGAGGATGGTGGTCAGAGGCGCCTGGCAAACCTCAGATTCTATAACATTCAGACCAGGTCCATTTCCTGCTGATGACCAAGTGGACTCTCAGAAGCCATCAGGAGGGTGCTCGGCTCATCAGGGGAAAGTCAATTCCCTGGGGCTTTCACTTATAACTTTGTTTGCAGATAGCAAGCCTTTTCCGCCCGGCTTCTCATCCTGAGCCTTTCTGCCTGTAACAATCACATTATTTAATTTAGATGAGTGAAGTTACCCTAGATCAATTATACTTATTTTTCCTGTGTAATTTCCAAAGCTTAATATCTCCATTCGGGCCCAGCCTGGGGGACAGGTTGTCTAGCAGAGTCCTAAACGATTTCAGCCTTTAATTCAATTGTACTTTTACCATAGCCCAGCAGCGAGCATAATTCTTTTATCCCTAAGATGTCTCATTAGCAATAATCTAATAGCACATATTAAAATATAGGTCACTGAGGTGGGCTGCCAAGTGGAAGGCTTGTCATAACTTTGAAGGTTGGACAGCTGCCTTGGTGGGACTTGGTCCCCCAATAACACACCACCCTGACTCTAGGCTTAATTCTAAAATGATCAATAAAACACAACAAAAACAGCTTACTTTCTGCAGTTCAAGGTTAAGAACCGACGTTGGCTAGGAAATAGAGCTGTGGGGTAGGGTAAGGCAGAGGGGAATGTTCTTGCCAACATGACGTAGTAGGAAAGATCTCCGACCTCAGGAACTTGGGCTGGAACCTCATCCCAGTTGTGCCGTGAACATGCAGACTGACCTGCAGTACAGCTGTTATGGCCCTTGACCTTGGTGTGCACACCTGTAAAAGGGGAAGATACTGGGCTTAAAGCCAATGTTTCCTGAATTCTGGCACTCCCTGATCAACTTGTCCTAGTATGCATTTGATGTTTTCCTTTAAATCAACTCATTCTTCTTAATTAAACACATTTGTTTTAAAAAGGAAGCTCAAGTATCAACATGGAAAAACCTCAAGAATATTTGCAGGAGGATTCATGCGGAATAAGGCCAACTGTATAAACTTTAAACATGCACAAAAGTGATGCGTAAAAATGGTTTAGACAGGCAAAATAAATCTAGGGGGTTCAAGGTCCAGATAGCAGTTACCTTTGGGGAGGAGGGAGATGTTGACAGGGAGGGGCAACCAGGGGGACTCCTCAGATTCTGGTCATTTTTTTAATGGCCTGGATGTAGTTTCATGAGCGTTTTTACTATGTAAAAAGTGCAGTTATAATTACTTCAATTTTCTGTGTGTTAAGCCTCATACAAATATATATATGTTTTATATATAAAAATTTATATATATGTTTTCATATATAGTTTATATGTATAAAATTTTAGGAATATACGCAACATTTTAGGTATATGTAAATGTACGTGTGTAATTTTAAGTAATAATATATACATATCGTGTATACATAGGTACATATGCAGTATATGTATATATTGAGTATGTGTGCATGTGTGTATATAGTATGTATATTGATTATTCTTAATAATATATATTTATATTTAATAATAAATACATATTGTTATATAATTATGCATTATATGTATGTATACCATACATTTAATATGTGCTATTAGGTATGTATTATGTATGTATTTAGTGAGGATTATTCCCAAATGTGTATCTAAGCTTTCACTATCTGGCACCTATGAACACTAGAGAGCAGGTATCTAGTGAGAGCAGAAATACTCTATAGTGACAGTGTAGATACATGCTTGGGAATTATCCACATTTTTTAAGTTAACAGTAAGAAATAATGAAAGAAATTTTATACTGTCATCATGTAATAAATAAAAAACCAAAATCACATGCCATAAATAGATAACTAAAAATAAAGCAACGAAAAGAAAGCACTGATAGGAGATTCTAGTTTCATGCGGTTTGGGCCTGAAAGTTCTGACCCAAAGCCTGGCTTCCTTCTGTTGAACTGGGGATTAGTAAGTTAGAGTCATTACAGACACATGAACACCAGATTGAGACTCACTCCTTCCGTAATCAGGGCTAAAAAAGCATGAAAAGCAGTGGAACTTTCTCCCTCTGTGATTCAAAGTAATTCAAATCAGGGCCTGCATAGCCCTGAGCCATTGCCCCTTTTCCTTGGGGCTGTACTTCTCTACTTCAGGAGAGATCTGCAAGGTCCCTCCAAGCTCCAACTATCCTAGCTTCTAAGGGATGCGGGCATGGCGAAAGGTCTTGTTACAGGTGGGCTGGAGGATAGGGAGAAAAAAATGGGAGAGACGCTATTAGCAAAATTGGAAAATTTTGAAACAAAGCCCCATTCCTTTCTCCAGCTCCCCGGACTGGTTCTCACAAAGCCTGAGCCAGAGGCAGGGGTGGGCAGGCACACACTCCTTGGAGGGCAGCCCCCAGCCTTCCCAGACACAGCCGTTCCACCTGCCTCCTGGGCTACACTGAGCTGGAGCCTGACTCCTTGAAGTGCGTGTTTGTGGCTCTGGGCCTGCTCTTGGGCCACACGGAATATATGTGCAGCACCCCCTGGTGACTGCATGTCCACTCCTGAGGCCAGCAGGTCTGTCCCTCAGTCTTCTCCTAAGGCCTAAGTCTCTCCACCAACTGCCTGACCTGACTCTCCCCAGGACATGCACTTCAGCTTTAGCTTCATGGCCCACATCCACACGTGGGCAGTGTAGACCAGCTGCCAGTCCCCTTACAAGAGAACTGCGTGTGCTGGAGGGCTCAGTGAGGATTCCTGTGGCCCTTGGAACAGGCAGGGTGGCCTCATGATGACCTCTCCCCACCTTTGTTATCACCAAGGATCCTTCCCAGCCTGGATCCTCCCCTCACTGCTGCCCCAACCTGGACCCCCAAGTCTTCCCAGCCTCCTCATCAAAACCTATCTTTCGTGCACCTCCTTCCTTCAGAGTGATGCCAGGGCAATGTTCAACTATCTGCTCTGAGAAATGTTCCAAAGAGAGGACGTAGGTGTGGGAAGACCCTGGGACCACGTGTCGGAGCCGGTTCTGATCTCTTGCTCTGCTACTACCCTGTGTAATTTTGGGAGTGGAAGTGAGGCAGGGAGGTACAAAGTGGGGCAAAGAAGTGGAGGGTTCTTCTGCCAGCTACCTGGGAGGAAGGGCAAACCTCATGACACACAGCATTGAGGGGAGACTGGCAGTGGATGCTGAAGACCTGGAAGATGCGCAGGACAAAGGCAAAGGGGGCAGAGAAGAAAAATAGAAGAGAAACAAAATGGGCCTTGGGGCAGATCCCAGAACTGGTGGGAGGGGTGGATCTAAGGGCTTGAGGTGGGAGGTGAGCCTTGAAGAGGGAAGGACTCTAGCTCCTTGAGGGGAAAGGGCCAGAGGAGATGGTGGCTGACAAACCACAATGTCTGGGTTCAGAAATGCATCAGCCATGGCCTCAAGTTTCCCAGCCAAAAAGAGTGAGCAGCCCTACTGAGAATAGGGAGCTCGAGCAGAGAGATGGAGTGAGGCAAATGAGGCCCAAACTGGCAACCGCTGAGCCATGGAGATAGAACAGGGGTGAAGAGCGTAAGCCCTGGAGCCTGCCAGGATCTGGGCTCAAACCCTACCCTCTGTCCCTCTCTAGCCATGAAGTCCAGGACAGGACGTCTAACCACTTTCAGCATGGTCTTCAATCTGTAAAATGAGAATAATGATTGTCTTGTATGAAATGATACTTAGCATAGTGCCCACACCCAGTTTGCTAAGTGAATAGAACTGCCAAGTGTATAGCAAATGTCTATCGTGTTTATAGTACGTGCTAATCACTGCTGATGCACTTTGCAGTCGCTGATGCATTTAAGCCCTCCAACTCCCCCAACAGATAGATACTATCATAAGCCCAATTTTATTATCATTATTATTATTGCCCAGGCTGGAGTGCAGTGGCATGATCATGCCTCACTGCAGCCTTGACCTCCTAGGCTCAAGCGATCCTCTCATGTCAGCCTTCCTGAGTAGCTGGTACTATAGGTGTGCACCACCACGCCCGGCTAATTTTTGTAATTTTTGTATTTTTTTTGTAGAGTCAGGGTCTTGCCACGTTGCTTAGGCTGGTCTCAAACTTCTGGGCCCAGGCAATCCACCTGCCTCGGCCTCCCAAAGTGCTGGGATTACAGGCGAGAACTACCACACCCGGCCCTAAGACCCATTTTATAAGTGAGAAAACTGAGCCACGCATCAGCTCGAGGTAGCAAAGCTTGTAAGTGAAAGTCAGGATTTGAACTCCCAGGCAGTACAGAAGTTGAGTGCCACTACTCCTGCTGATCACATTAAGGGAGCCAGAGATCAAGGGCCTCCTAAGAAACTAGGAAGGGAGGGTGGTGGTATTACCAGAAAGAGGGGTAGCAAATCATTACCCTGCACCCTACCTCCTAGTTCCCCTGTCCTTACCCAAAGACCACCCAGCTTTCATTTTGAGGGCTGAGAATACAAAGGAGGCAAACTTCTGAAGAACATGTTTCAGGTAGGTGTTCTCTGTATGTAGTCCACAGAGGGTGAACTACTGCGTGTACCACCATCACTAAACAACTTAGTAGGTTCAGGATCCTGGGCACGAATGCAGAGCAGGACCAGCCCAGACTAGGTGCATCCCCCAGGCCTTGGCTTCATTGCAGACAACCTTGAGCCAAGGCCTCATGATTCCCTTGAAGAGGGTGCAATTCACACCTCTGTCCCTTCACTCTTCCACGCCTCTGTTCTGGGGTATTGATGGATGCTCCTGCTACCTCCTAGATGGTACCCTAGACAGTGAACGTGAAGCAGCTTTTCTCCCTTCCATGTCTCAGAAGGGACCCATTCATGACTTCATGGAATAGACAGCCCAGGCAGGAAATGGCTATGTTTTTTGCCAAGCAGTCAGAGCAAAAGGAGGACACACCAGTTTGAGGGGAGAAAGGCATTCAAATTGGGCAAAGCTGAATTGCCCACAAATTGCCACAGCCACTCTCAACTTGGGACAAAGGTTATGAAACACGTCACTAATACTGGAGTTGTTATTTTTTTAAAGAGCAACAATTATTTATTTTACTCATGAGACTTCATTTGGGGCAGGGTTTAAAGGGAATGACTTGTTGATGTTCCATGATGTCAAGGGTCTCAGCTGGGATAACTTGGTTGGCTGAAGCTAAAATGGCTGGGGGACGGCTGGACATTTCTTTCTCTTCCTGTGGTCTCAGAGCCTCTCTCTCTGCGATCTCTCCAGCATGGCAACCTCAGGGAAGTTGGACTTCACACATGGAGACTGAAGGTTCCAAGAGAGAGTCATGGGCAGAGCTGCAAGGCTTCTTTTACTTACCTCACTTGGAAAGTCCCAGAGCATTATTCCTACCACATTCCACTGCTCACACAGAGCCATCCCTGACATGGTGTGGGAGGGCATTCCACAGGGGCCTGAGTATTGGGAAGTGCAGATCACTGGGAAGCCATCGTGGGTGCTGGCTATATGATTTCTTTGCTTTGGGCATTACCTTACTGAATAGATTCTGTTGTGATTTCACGTTTACCATTTTATTATAGAGGCTATTGCAAAGGTTATAGATGAAGAGATAAGTAGGGTGGCTTTTGGGGGAAGGGGATTGGAGCTTCATGCTCTCCCTGGTGCACAACCCTCCAGGAACCTCCCCGTGTTCAACTATCTGAAAGCTCAAGTTATTTTTTTTTAAACAAGAATATACATGCCACAAACATGCAGATTCCTGGCTCCCACTGCAGACCCACTGAATTCAAATTTCTGGGTTGGGGCCCAGGAATCTGCACTTTTAACAAATCTGCCAGAGGCGTGAGCTGTAAAAGTGGAAAAGAGGCAAAAGGCCACTAGGAAGAAAGAGTGACTTTGAGGACTCAACTGCCACTGCATTGTAGAGGCTAAAGAAATGTGACCCTTCATACAGTGCTACCCGCTAATTATCTTCACAGGTGTTGTCATCCCCATTTTATAGTTGGGAACGCTAAGGCTTAGAAGCCAAAAGTCACCCAGCCAGCAAGTAATGAAGCTAGGCTTTCAACCCAGCTTTTATTTTTTAAGTCCAAAGGCCACAGTTGTAATAGTTATGCCAACCCATATTTGCTATTTTATCCCAGTCTTGTAATTTGAAGTCAGATAAATCTAAATTAAAATTCTGGAGAAGATCCCTGCCTCCCACAGACATAGAGAAATTAAATGTTTTGATAACGACAACAATAAGAAGTAACATGTATGTGATACCAGGCATTGTCTAGGTGCTTTACATGTATTTACTCATTCAATTCTCTCAGCAATTCTATGAGCTAAGTGCCCTTATCCTCCTCATCATCTTATCCATTTCACAGATGAAGAAACTGAGGCCAGGTCTGGTGGCTCATGCCAGTAATCCAAGCATTTCAAGAGGCTGAGATGGGTGGATTGCTTGAACCCAGGAGTATGAGACCAGCCTGGGCAATATAACAAGACCCCATCTATACCAAAAGGAAGGAAAGAAGGAAAAAAGGAAAGAAGGAAGGAAGGAAGGAAGGAAGGAAGGAGGAAGTGAGGGAGGGAGGGAAGGGAGGGAGGGAGGGAAGGAGGGAAGGAGGGAAGACGGAGCGAGAGAGAGAGGGAGAGAGAAGGTAGGGTAGAGGGAGGGAGAGAGAGAGAAAGAAAAAGAAAGAAAGAGAGAGAGAAAGAACGAGAGAGAGAGAAAGGAAGAAGAAGAAACGGAGGGAGGGAGGGAGACAGAGAGAGAAAGAAAAAAGAGAAAGAAATAAAGGAAAGAGAGAAAGGAGAGAGAGAGAAAGAAAGAAAAAAGAAAGAGAAGGAAGGAAGGAAGGAAAGAAAGAAGGAAAAGAAACTGAGACACAGAGAAGTAGGGGAACTTGGCCAGGATTTCACAGATAGTCCACAGTGGAGTCAGGATTAAAATTCAGGTTAGTGGCTCCTAAGTTCATGCTTTTAGCCTGGATACCATTCTGCCTCTCCAGGCTCCACAAAAGCTTAATTTGCTGTTTCCCAAGAATAGACATCAGAAGGCCAGTGAGACAAGTAAGAAAGAAGTGGGAAGATAGCTGTAAGAATCACTTTGGTCCAAATATATTCCTGGTGAAGCCATTGGAAAGTGTTTTCTGAGCAAAAAGAAAAGAGCTCAGACACTAGAGGGCAATCATTTTAAGAGACTCTGAGATGGATTTCATGCAGGAGTTTGCAAATTCTCCCCAAACTCTATTTAAAATGCTGTGTACATTAGAGAAGACAAATACATGGAAACATGTACTGTGTTCTTGGATGGGAAGACTAAACACTGTGATGATGTCAGTTCTCCCTCAAATTGATCTGTAGATTTAATGCAATAACAATTGAAATTCCAGTGGTGTTTTTCATGGAACGCTGCAAGATGGTTCAGAAATTTGTAGGGAAGAGCATGGCCAAGATATTTCCAAAGAAAAGGAGCTCGAGAATCTTGCTCCACCAGATAGGAAAGTGTATTATAAAACAATGTTAATTAAGACTGTGTGGTAATTCTTGGGCACAGATAAATAGACCAACAGAACAGAAGAGAGAGTCCAGAAAAAAACCCAACTGTACAAGGAAACTTGGTTTATGATAGAGAATTCTCTGATGATTAGAGCAGAGAAGGTGTAACTACTTAAGGACTGGGGCAGGACAATTTGTTATCTGTTATTCAAATGAAAAATAATGAAGTGGAATCCCTACCTCATACCTTATACAAAAATCAACTCCAGGTGGACATCAATATGAAGGACAAAACTGTCAAATTTTAAAATATAACTTTGGAAAATATCAGCTAGGGACAGATTTCTTAAACCAGACATAAATATAGAAACCAAAAGAAAAAATTGCTACATTAAATTACATTGAAGCTAATAACCTCTACTTACCAAAGTCACCCAACAGAGCAAAAAGATTTACAATGCAGCCAAGAAAAGATGTTGGCAACATTTCAAAGATTAGTACCCAGGATATATTATTAAGTACTGTGAATTAATAAGAAAAACATTAATAAGCCAATAGAAAATTGCTCAAACAATATGTATCATCATCTCATAGAAGAAAAAGAAACACAAATGACCCATATGTATTTGTGAGAAGATGTTGAACATCATTAGAAGTCAGGGAGGTGCAAATGAAAACTACAGTGAGATACCATTTCACACCCAAAAGTTTGGCAAAAGTTAAAAGCCTAGGTAATACCAAGGGTTAGGGAGGATGTGGAGAAATTAGATGTGAAGAACTGACACGGTGCTAGAGGGAGTTTCAATTGGTACAAACACTTTAGAGAATGGTTTGGCATTGCTTGATAAAGCTAAATAAATACATACTCTACAAACCAGCAATTCACTCCTAAGAATAAACCCTAGGAAAACTCTTGCACATTTGTGTAGGTGACATCCTAAAGCGTTTATAGACAGCATTGTTCAAAATCCAAAAAGAAAAAAAAACTGGAAACAATCCAAATGTCCTTCACAGTTGGATGAATAAATAAATTGTTATTATTCATACAATAGAATTACTATAAACAACACTGAAAACAAGTGAACTGCAGCCAACCCCATCAGCAAGGATGAATCTCAGAAACATATTGGGCCAAATAAGTCACAGAACAATATCTGTAGTGTGATTCCTTTTACATAAAATTTGAAGAAGAATAAACTAACAATGTATTGTTTAGAAATATATTCATAGATAGTAATATTATAAAGAAAAAACAAAGAAGTGGTGTTTGCCAAACTCAGGATAGTGTTTATTTTAGAGCAGGGAACAGGGGTGAATGTGCTTAGGGGGCGTGGGGTGCATGTGGGCTTGTCAGGTATGGGATATTCTATTTCTTAACCCGGAAGGGTAGGTGGGTTCTTGTACGTTCATATTATTATTATTATTTGAACTGTGAAAAAGATAATACATGTTTTATTTTAAGAGATTCCGAGATGAATTTCATGCAGGATTTGCAAATCTGCCCCAAACTCTATTTAAAATGCTGTGTACATTAAAGAAGACAAATACATGGAAAGATGTACTGTGTACACTTTTTTCTTAAGTACGAGAAATTTCACACTAAATTTTAAAATGCTGTGTGTGTGTGTGTGCGCATATTTCTGGGAGGAAATTCCATGTCTCATCAGATTATCTAAGGAATACCTGGTGTTCTAACAGAGTGACAACTGGATGTAAGGTTTCTGAGATTCTGTCCAGATATTCTCGGGTGGATAGAGCCCCTGTGCAGGCTGGCAGCCCGGTCAACTGGCCAAACCTCCCTCTGTCTTAGAGAGGAACCTAAACCAGCTGTGAGTCTTCTCCCTCCATAACTCACATGACTATCTTAAGGCCAAAGGATGTATCTGGGGTCTCGTGTAGGGGAGGGCAAGTTCCTCTTTTTCTCCTGGGAGACTGAGTCCCTTTGCCCTGGGCACCTCCTTCCCTTTCTCCTTCCCTGGCTCTTCGACATGTGCTCTGCCTCTTTCTTCTTTCTATGGTCCACCTGCATATTGCTAATGGACTTGGCCATTACTGCACAGCCTGAGAACAGCAAAGCCTGAGTCAGGACCCATGGTGCTGTCTCACAGCCCAGTGCTTTTCTGCCATGCCACTGGTCACTCCTATTCTCTTCTCCCCCAACACCTCTGTCTCTGTCAGATCTGGCTTCCCATGGGGACTGCAGGGCTCAGCTGGGCTTGCATTGGCAAGTCCACCAAAGAATGCATTTATCCATTCATCCCTGTCACCCACGGAAGGACTTTGGGTTTTGTTTGCTTTTGAGACAAGGTCTCACTCTGTCACTTAGGCTGGAGTACAGTAGCATGACCACAGCCCACTGCAGCCTCCACCTCCTGGATTCAAGCAATCCTCCCACCTCACCCTCCTGAGTAGCTGGGACTACAGGTGCACCCCACCATCCTCGGCTAATATTTTTTAAAAAAATTTTGTAGAGACAGGGTCTCACTATGTTGCCCAGGCTGGTTTCGAACACCTGGGTTCAAGCACTCCTCCCACCTCAGCCTTCCAAAGTGCTGAGATTAGACTTCGGATTTTATTCTGAAGGAGATAAAAGCCATTGGGGAGAGACAGTGATAGGCTCTGAACTTGTTTCCAAAAGGTGTTTCTAGCTGCTATGTGGAACTTAAACTTCATGGAATAAGGGGAGAAGTCAGGAAGCCCATTCGGAGGCTATGACATTAATCCAGGCAAGAGGTGACATGGCTTGGAACAGGGACACCACCATGAGGTGGGGAGGTGTGATGTGATTTGGAACCAGTCATTTGCAGTAGGATTGGATGATGGTCAAGAGAAAGAGGAGTCCAGGCTGACTCCAAGGTTTGTGGCCCAAGGAACTAGAAGGAAGAAGATGCCATCACCTTGGTAGGGAGACTGTGGGGAAGCAGGTGTGGTGTGGGTCAGGAAGGGGAGGCCAAGGATCTTACTTTGGACATAGTGACTTCCAGGTGCCTTTGATTATCCAGGTAGTGATGTCCAGTCTGCAGTTTGATAAAGGCACATGAAGTTCAGGGGAGCAGCCCAGGGAGAGGATGTGAATGTGAAGTCAGCAGGCAACAGATGCTCTTTAATGCCAGTGCCTGAATATGGTCAGCTGGGCTAGGAATTAAGAGAAAAATCTAAGGACTGAGCCACACCGCACAGATCGGAAGTCTCAGGTATCCCAAGGGCACTTTAGTGGGTGGTGTCCTGAAGGAGGCGGATTTCAGTTCATGGAGGTCTTATGCTATTCGTAAATCCAGCACAACTTATGCCAATGATGAATGAATTCAGGGCAGGTCAGCTGCAGTGTAATATATGCCTATTGTCCCCTGATCAAGACAGAAAGACAGAATGAAAAGGAAGAAGGAAGGAAGGAAGGGAGGGAGGGAGGGAAAAAAGAGGAAGGAAAGAAATCAGGGAGAGAAAGAAGGAAAGGATGGAAGGAAGGTGGGAAAGGAGAGAGAAAGAAAGGGACTAAGGGAGAAAGAAAAAAGGAAGAAAGGAAAGAAAAGAGAAAGAAAAAGAAAGAAAGAAAAAAGAAAAGAAAAGAAAGAAGGAAGGAAGGGAGGGAGGGAGGGAGGAAGAGGAAGGAAAGAAGTGAGGGAGGGAAAGAAGCAAAGGAAGGAAGGTAGGAAAGGAGAGAGAAAGAAAGGGAGGAAAGGAGAAAGAAAAAAAGGAAGAAAGAAAAGAGAAAGAGAAAGAAAAGAAAGAAGGAAGGAAGGAAGGAAAGAAAAGAGGGATGGAGGAAACAAATATGTAGGCAAACCTCTCCTCCTTTTTTTCCTTAGTCTCCTCATTGGTGCCATGGAGGTGTAGGTTCTGATAGCGTCCTCAGCGGACACAGGCCCTTGGATTCTAAATGTGTCCCAGCCCAGCTGTTGTGTGTCAGGGCCCCAGTGTCTGTGGGGAGATGGCCAGAGATGGACTCACAGCATCAGCCATTGCCTTTTACCCCATGGCCTGTGTCACCAAGTGCCATGGTAAGTGGAAGTGATGGCTCCCCAGAGATCACATTAGCTCTGATAATGCTCCAGCCTCCCATGCACAACTTGCCCTCAGGCCACCTGGCTGGGCAGGAAGAAGGGCTCCCAGAGAAGCCACATGGCCCCATGGCGGTGAGTCTGGGCGAGAGATGGAGAGAGACGCCTTCCCTTTTAGCCCAGTCCCAGCCTAGTGTCCTCACTGCTGACCCCCGGTAGTCTCTGAAACCACAGATGGAGCTCCCAGACTTGCTGATTGGCCCCCGTGATGGCGTGCGCATTAGGAGGAAATGCCTCCCTCCACCCTTGTAGCAAACACTTCCAGCTCCATGCCCACACCCCTTATCATCCACTGTTCCTGCCAGTGCAGACCCAACCCAATGGCTTCCTGCTGCCAGTACCTGGGGCTCTGCTGTTAGCCTTTCTCTGGCAGCAGGACAGGCTCATCCCTCTTATCAGACAGGCTGGACTTGCTGGGAAGTTGACACTCTGGGGGCGGCCTTCATGGATAAATACTCTAGTTTTCTTGCCCCTCAAGTGAGACAACCCCAAGGCGTGCTCTGTGCAGTCTCCCGAGGCCCCCACCAGGGCTGAGCACCTGTTTCCCCAGCAGCAAGTGCTCCTTAATCTACTTTCTCCTGGTTTCCTTCCCTTTGCTGTCTCACTTCTCCTCTCCCCAACGATTGCTTCCAGGATTATCTCCTAAATAAATTACTTGTATTCTAATCTTTGTTTCCAGTTGTTTCTTGAGGAATCCAATACAAAACGAAACCAATCAAAGACACCAAACCCAACAAAAGAAAGAGAACTCTTCTGGTTCTGTATTGTACATGTTTCTGGAGCACCATTTAAGTAACAGAATACATCACGCACTGTCTTTGACGCTGGTAGGGAGGTCTCACAAATAACTGTACAGGCAAATAAACAGCAGTATAAAAGAGGAGTTTGACTCTGTTGTAGGAGGTGGTTATCAGGGAAGGCTTCACAGTGAGGGTGACTGGAGGTTTTGGAGGATGGGTAGGAGTTCTCCAGGTAGAAAAAAGAATGATGGAAACAGCATATTAAAAAACCCAGAAGTGTAAAAAAGCACAAGGTACTCAGGGAACCACTAGTAGTTTAGTATCTCTCATACTACTGGAGAATAAAGCATATTTTGGAAGTGATAAAGGATTTGTAGGAAAAATGAGGAGAGAATTAGAATAGCAGGAGGTGTGGTTAAATAGCCAGAGTCTTGTCTATACTCCTCAAAGTGTTTAGGCATTATCTTGGAAAGGTTGGAGGATTTTTTAAAATTGTGGGTTATCTTTTTCTGATTGCATAAATATCAAATGCTCATTGTGGAAAAGTTGGCATATACAGAGAAGTATAGAGAAGAAAATAAAATTACCTCAAATCCAGAGTTAATTAAATCACATTTATGTGTTGGTGTGTTTCAGAGGAGTTTCAGGCAGAGGAGTGAGGTGGTCGCACTTGAGTTCTAGGTAGAGCTCTGGCAGCTGGTGACGATCATGCAGCTGGAAAGATACTGAACGTGGGGTGACCAGCTAGGAGGCTGCTGCAGTGAGGGGTGATGAGGGTCCTCTGTTGTGGCTTTGCAGGGTGTTTCAGAGGTGGGATTCTCAGCACTTGAAAACTAGTTGGATGGGGTGTGGGGTAGAGGAGAGAAGGGGACCATGACTACTAGAGAGATTCTGAGTGTCTCCACCATGACTTGGTGGAGGGAGCAGAGGCTGGAGGCCAGGAGACTTGGGTTCTCATTTCCACTCTGTGACTTCCAATCTGTGGGACCTTGGACAAGTCCCTTTAGTCCACAGAGCCACAGTTTCCTGACCTGATACGTGGAAAGATGATTCTCTTCCTGCTTTCCTTACAGGATTGTCATGATCGTCCAATAGATCAAAGGAGATAAACACCTTTCATGTGTGGAAACCTACAGTTCTGAGCTCTTGTCCTCAAACCTCTGCTCAATCTTTTCCCTCACCTGCCTTCTGTCATCTTCCCCAGAAGCCAGGGGAACCCATACCCCTCTAGGTTTCCCTTCCTCTCCCCTCTGCATCCTGCCCAGAGGACATTTGTCACGATTGTCCCTCTGGTACAGATGCTCTAAACACCGCCACACACCACCATTCTTTCATTCATTAACTCATTCACTTCATAGGCTGGTTGATGCTCTAGTACGTTCCAGGTGCCAGAACACGTGCTGTAAAAGACAGACAAGGTCCCTGTGCTCATGGAGCTCACATACCACCCAAGGGGGGACATAAAGTTAAACAACTAGGACAAATTCGGATAGCGATGTAACAAATGAATAAATAGGGTGATAGGATAGAGTGAGCGTGTATTTTCGATTTGAGTCGTCGGGAAGGGACCTCTGGACTGAGACCTGAACAACTCAGGCAGAGAAAACAGCAAGTGTAAAGGTCTTGGGGTGGGTTTGAGCTTAGGATGTTTACAGAATGGAAAGGTCAGTGTGGCTGGGCTGATCCAAGCCCCACCCAACCCACTTAGCACGGCCACCTCTCTGAAGCCTCCTTGGATCAACAGGATGCTTCCCTTGCTGATTCAGCTCCACCCTACTTCCACACATCTGTGGTCACAACACATCCTGACCACACTGGGTTGTGATAGACTCTATACACTGGTCTGGGAGCTCCTTGAAGGCAGGGGCTATCTCCTCTCTAGCCAGCACTGTTCACGCACACAGCAGATGATCAGCATCTGCTAAAGGGATTAATACATTAATCAATAGATGAGTGAATGAATGAGAAAACGACTCTCAGGTCCAAATGGCTCACTCCTTTACTTGTCTAATTGTTACCTTCTCAAATTCCCTGACCCCGTATGCAAACTGCAGCCCCACTGTCCCCCCATTCCCTCACCCATCATATAACGTGTGTATTTATTATGTTTCCCGTTTCCTCTGTCTCCGCCAGCAGAATGTAAACTCCATGAGGTCAGGAATCTCCGAGTTATGTTGCGCCAGTGTAATCCAAGAGCCCGGAACAGTGCCTGGCACACAGCGGGCATATGGAAGAACAAATGTGTGAAGGTGTGAATGAATGAATAATTGAAAGAATAAATAGTAGTTCTCAGCCTCACAGAACACGGGTCACAACCTCAAATGACCTGCTACCCTGCCCATAAATAACAGAGATGCAGGAGTAAGTGCTGGGCTGTGACCTGTCAACATGCTAAGCCGCTCAAACAAAACTGCCCAACAGCCCGCTGGCCGCCTATTTGCAGCACTGGGCCCTGAGCCGCACATTCCCATTTCGTTGATAAAGAAACTGACCAGATAGTTTAAGTGGCCTGCTGCGGAAGACAGAGCTGGTGCTGCACCGGTCGCTGCTTCCCCAGTCCTTTTTTGGCCTCCTTTCTGACGCGACGCAGACCCCAGTTCTGGAGAGTCTGTCACTCGCTCCCCGTGGTGGGAGATCAGAGGCCTGGTGTCCTTGGGAGCGGCGAGCGGTGCTCGGCGCAGGATAGAAAGGGAGTGCGCGCCCGAGTCCCCCAGATCCCTGGGAACCCGCGCCACCCTCCCGCCCCTGCCCATCCCCGGCCGCGCTGTCAGTCTCCATTAGCGCTAACAGGCTCCAGACGGAGCGGGCCGGGCGCTGGGTTAATGCAATCGGCGCGTTACCTGGGGCGCAGGCTACATTACCAGCCCGGCCCCCGCCAGGCACGGCCAGAACCAGTCAGCCCGCGCCCTGCCGGCCGCCCCGCGCCTCCAGCTCTTCCCCGGCCCCGCCCGAACGCCACACGGCGGAGCCCAGCCCCAGCCCGCGCCCTAGAGCCTGCCAAGGCGCCGCCGGTCGGGGGCCGGCAGGGCGCAAGGCACCAGGGATCCCCTCGCCGCCGGACACGTGAGTGCGCCCTGAGCGCGGGACAGGGCTAGGTCTGCCTGGGAGGCCCGGGCCGAGACGCGCCAGCAGAGGGCTAGCGAGTTTGTAGTGCAGTGACGTTAAGTGTCCGAGAAGGCTCCTGTGGCTGTTGAAGTGTCGCGGACCTGAGCTGGGGAGGGGGTCGGCACGCTGCCCTCAGCCTCGGTGAGTTCAATCCCAGCCATTTGGGGCAGGCGAGAGTGGGTGAACGAGGAAAAGTGCTGCAGGGTCTTCAGCCGCCCCCAGAGGGCTGTCAGAAGTCTCCAACTCTTGAGTTCCGGCGTGCCCCAACCTCTGTTTCCAAATTTTTCCAGCGGACGCGCGCCCTTTTCTGGGAACCCTGCGTCCGCTCAGCGCGCGCTCATCCCAGTGTCTAAGGCGCTCCCGGGTGGTCTTGGGAGTTGCAAGTAGGGAGGAACGGCCGGGTAACCACCTCTTTTCCCTTTATCCAAGCAGAGCCTCGGCGTGCCCCCAGGACCGGTAAAGTTCCTCTCGCCAGCCGCATCCATGCTTCTGGCGCGGATGAACCCGCAGGTGCAGCCCGAGAACAACGGGGCGGACACGGGTCCAGAGCAGCCCCTTCGGGCGCGCAAAACTGCGGAGCTGCTGGTGGTGAAGGAGCGCAACGGCGTCCAGTGCCTGCTGGCGCCCCGCGACGGCGACGCGCAGCCCCGGGAGACCTGGGGCAAGAAGATCGACTTCCTGCTGTCCGTAGTCGGCTTCGCAGTGGACCTGGCCAACGTGTGGCGCTTCCCCTACCTCTGCTACAAGAACGGCGGCGGTGAGCGTGGGGTCGGGCTGGGAATTTGAATCTGGGAGGTCCACTGTCTGCAGCGGTGGCTGGGACAGGAGCTGGAATACACACGGAAGGGAGGCGAGGAGACAGGGGCAAATCTGGGGCGCAGAAAGAACTGGACAGGGCTAACGGGAAAAAAAAAGATTGGAGTCCTCTGGAAGGTCATTTTCCCAGGCTCTTTGCAGAGTACCTCGAGCTCATTCCAGCGGAAGTGTCAGGATTGGGCACCCTGGAAGCAAAACAGCAGAAGAGTGAAATCGAGTCATGACCCTAAAGTCATGGTAGGGGTATGGATGGAAAGGACAGAATCTGGGGTGCCAGGTTGGGTGGGGGAGCCTGACCTTTTGATGGTCTGCTGGAAGGGAGGTGGAGATTCCAAGAGCTCTTGAAGGGGCACCAGAAGTGGGTGGGATTTGACAACCAGGCCCACAGTGACCCTAAATCTAGCACTCTGAGCCTGGGGGCAGGAACCTTTGGGCCAGAAGCAGTGGGAATACTTCGGTTTTCTGAAGGCACCTGGGGAGGCCCTGTGGTCTTGGGGATAGAAACACACAAGAAGAAGCCAGTATCAGAAATAATGCCATTCTCAGGGAGCACAGCCCAGGTGGAATCAGGCCAGTAGGTGCCAAGAACTGGCCTGGTCCTCAAGGCAGGAGGCCCAGATGATTGGGGTGAAACCTCTACCTCCTCAAGTTCTAGCCGCATTGCAGGGAGGAGTGGGAGAGGGGCCTGAAGAAGACTCCAGTGGAACAGCCACACTCTCTCCCCCTTCTGCTGGATGGTCCAACTGGCCACCTGCCTGAAAATGAGAGCCTAGAGATCACCTACAGCCAATCCAGGAAGAATAACATAGAACCCCGGGCCAGGGAAGCGGTCTGGAAGTCAGGGTGCTGGCCCCCACCCCCTAGCTCCTTCCTGAGGGGCTTTGCTCCTGCCACTTTTGCTGGGATGAGCTCAGAGGTACCCTGCAAAGAGTGTGGGAAAATAGACCTTTTGAGGAAGAAATTGGAGAAGGGGGACCCAGCTCTGAAAGCCTCTCTCTCTCCACTGGGCTGCATTGCTTGGCGGTAGCTGTGACTCTGGACTTAAGGGAGGTCAGAGGGAGGAAGGGCAAGAATTTGGAGCTGGGTAGAGGGAAAGCTCATGACCTGTTCACAGGCTCTAGGACTTACAACTCTGCTTCTATGTGTACTCTGGACACTTGCTTTGGGACGGGCAATACTTGGTGTTTGCAAAAAAGGAGTGGGGCCGGGCATGGTGGCTCATGCCTATAATCCTAGCACTTTGGAAGGACAAAGTGGGCAGATTGCCTGAGCTCAGGAGTTCGAGACCAGCCTGGGCAACATGGTGAGACCTCGTCTCTACTAAAAATACAAAAACTTAGCTGGGCGTAGTGGTGCACGCCTGTAATCCCAGCTACGCAGGAGGCTGAGGCAGGAGAATCACTTGAACCCGGGATGTGGAGGTTGCAGTGAGCCAAGATCACGCCACTGCACTCCAGCCTGGACCATGGGTGACAGAGCAAGACTCTGTCTCAAAAAAAAAAGGAGTGGGATCACCATAGAGCACAGGTGGCTCTGAGCAGAGGATCTTGAGTAAGAAAGCAGTTAGCTCTTCCAACGAGAAAGTTAACCCAAGGTTGGAGCTGACAGATGGAGGTTTGCGTCCATGGTCTCCCTGACACCTCCTGAGATGGGTCTGTCATTGTCAGATACTCTGAGACCAGATAGCTGGAACAGCAGTCCTGAGCTTCAGGGGCATCTGAGGTCTGGGGCCTGATCCGTGGGGAAACAACTTGTGACTCTGCGGGCTCAATGTTTGTGTCTGGCCCTGGGATGGTCATGGGCAGAGAGAGAAAGGTGAGAAAAGGAGAAGCTAATCCAGAGGTGAAACTTTCCCACCTTTGGCGGCTGCAGCCTCTCAAGCGTTACTGGGCAGGTTTAAGCATGGCTGTTTGGGCCCAGGAAGGGAGAAAATGCAGATTCTCTGTATCTTTTAAGAGGCAGGGAGATGATGAATGAGAGACCTTAAGACCCGCCATCCCGCCTGTCCTCAGTGACCGCCCCAGACTGCTTGTCTCTAGACAGTGGAAGGCTCTGTCATTAATCAGTAATATTTTTCTGGTTCCTCTTGGCGTGAGGCACAATGCTAGGCTCTGCAGGGGTCACGGTCACCAAGAGGCATGAACCACCACTTCTGCCTGCCAGGAGCTTTAATCACCCGAGTCTTTATTGTCATGCTGCTAGAAGTTCTTCCCATTGCTCTATGTGTTTGTTGAAACTAAAAGCATCCAGATGGCCAATTTGACAAGTCAGCTAGATGGATATTCCAGGGCTTTCATTGACACTGTGTGCTCTTTAGTCATTGCCAGCAAAATAAAGAGCACCTGTTGTATGCAGTGTACTATAAACCAGGTTCTTAGGATGCAAAATGGAGCAAACTTGTCACGAGTTCCAGTCTTTAGGTGAAGCTGACCGAGGGCACTTTCTCCCGGGCTTGCTATCTCAAAACACAGCTCACTCCAAGTTGTTTGGTGGTTTGTCTCTTTGTGGGTCTGTCTCCCAAACAGGAAAAGGCACAATGAGGGCAGAGACTGTGACTTTTTAATCTCTGTGTTTCTAATGCCCAAGATAAGTCCTAGATCACAGGAATGTGGTAGAAGGTGCCCAAGAAACTGCTGTTGAATAAGCTAATGAAATGCTCCAAGCCCTCAAAGACCTCCAACCGTATTCAGAAACAACAACAGAAACACTCAGTGGTAACTAATAAAGTGAAGCCACATACAACAGTGGGGCAGGGGCAGCCTATTCATTAGTGGTCTTAGCTGTGGAGTCCTGGGTTCCAGTTTCTAGCTGTAAGGCTTTGGCAAGTCTCCAAGCCTCAGTTTCCTCACTTGTCAAATGGAAATAATGGTGCTCAGCTCAGAACATTGTTGTGGGGACCAAACATAATAACTCATGGAGAGCCTGGCATGGATTGTGGCCTTAGGAAAGGTGGCTGCTGATTTTTGTTAATGTCATTATGATGATGTATGAAATGGATGGAGAGACAAGTGCTTTAGACAAATGCTCTAAAGGCCTGAGGAAGGGCTGCTTAGGAAGGGCTGGGAGGAGGTGGGCTGTGGTTGAAGCTCAGCTGCTCTGGATGGGGAAGGTGCAGACAAGCGGTGAGAAGGGAGGAGATCTCCAGCTGTGCACCTGGGGCAGGAATGTACATGGAATCATCTCAGAGAACAGGAGTGCAGGCTGGCTGCAGGGCAAGCCAGGAGAGATAAGGGTGCAGGGGCAAGTTGGGGCCAGGCTGCAGAGGCCTTGAAAGCCAGGCTAAGGGGTGGGGATATTATACCAGTGAATTTCCATTTCTGGTTAGGATGTTCACAGTTGGTGTTAGGGAGCAGTGCAGCCCTCCATCTCAGACTATGAGGTAACTCCTTCTCTCACTTACCCCTCATCCCTTCAGACATGCTCAGCTAGCTCCCTCTGGGCTTTATCTCTGCGGAGGCCTCCTGGCTTCTCTGTCTTTTTGTGGATCAATTCTCATCCAGTAATTCCCAAATTAGCCCCAGAGATGAGAGTGAGTGGTCAGGAAGGTGGGTCTTTGCAGTTGCAGAAGCAGCCGTTTAAGACTGGAGTTTGAGTCTGAGCTCTGCCTCTCAGTGTGTGATCTCGGGCATAGTACAGCCCCTCTCTGAGCCTCAAGTTCCCAGCCATAGGTGAACATGACCTGAGATAACACCACAAGATTTATTCCTTTCCAATGCCCTGGCTCAGGGTTACACTGAAGCCAGGACTCACCCGGTCTGTTATTTAACAGCCCTCAGTGTGCTCTTCTGGTGCCAGTATTAACACTGTAACCTCTGCAATTCTGACTGTTCATGCTGGCCCAGAATGGAGGATATTTTGAAATGATGAAGGTGGCAATGGTTTAGGCCCCTGGCTAATGTTTTCTGAATGAATTACTGGAAAAGATCAGCCTGTCTGAACATCTTCCCCATGGCCAGCTGCTGGGATGCACGGGCTGCAGGAGGCTCTGGGAGGGGAAAGCCACTCTCAGAAATTCCGGAGCTTTGTTCAGAACCTTCTCAAATAGCTGGTCTCCATGAGGAGGCAGTATCAGGCAGTGATTCTAGAGTTTCCCTTTGCACCTGTGATCCTGGTCTGTGCTGATCCCTGGGGAAGAGCAGGAAGATTGACTGGGTGCTCATTTTTGCCTTTCTTCCAGGGAAGTGGCCACTGTGAATTAACCTTTGCACATGGCTGCTTCTGTTTGAGTCCTGTCCTGAGGCCAGCTTAGAGCTGTGCATTGTAGAGAAATATAGTCTTTAGGTTCAGGGTCTGAGTCTAACTTTTGCTAGAAAGGTAACGATAGACAAATCACTCACCTTTGCTGATCTGAGCTTCAGTTTCCTTACACAGAAGAGGAGAATAACCACAGCACCTTCTTGCAGGGTGAGATGGCATCAGAGACAATATATGTAAACTCCTTGAAATGATGTCACATAATAGGGGCTCCATAAATGTAGTCATTAGTATTTTGTTATTGTTCAATGATATTAACTGCATGCTAGACTTAGGAGTGGGGCAGGATCCTGATTTTGGAAGTAGCAGAATTCATCCTAAGATGAAATTGATAAAAGGAAATAAGGCTGGAAAATAGTCCCACTTGGGTCTGGAGCCCAAGCATGATAGACTCAGGAATCAGGGGATGGGCTTTGCTCCATTTCCTAACAGCCTAACCTTATCTCAAAATAGATTCATCACCTGGTAAATGGGGTTTATAATTCCTGCATGGGGTCCCATGACCTTCTGTGATTCTGCGTCCCCAGTGGACTCTCTCCTCTCCCCAAGGAAGCTCAGAGTCTTAGGGACCCCCAGCCCTTTGGGAGCCCTTGTGGCCAAAATATCTGGGATCCTTAATACTGAGTATGAAGCAGTAGCTGCTACAGAGGTCAGGAGTCTGCAAACTCAGTGCTCTTATATCTGGCCTGGCTGCAGGGGGCTATCTACACCCTGGGCTTGCCAAGCCAGACACTGATTGTCAGCTCAGATGCACAATGAGCCAGCCAGCTGGTGTGGCACTCAGCTGACAAGTCTGTACATCCCTTGGCAGAAATGTGGTGCTCATCTGGGACCCTGATCTGAGGTCACTGGCATGGTTTGGCTTGTTACTCCAAGCTTGTCAAAAGGATCTGAAAGGGGCTGTTCCTGACAAGATTGGGATTTAATAGGGATAAATGTTATATCCTGCCCTGCAGTCCCAAACCTAACTGCCTAAGTAAGGATTAGGCCACAGCACAAGTGGAGAAAGGCCCCAGGGCTTTCATTAGCTGCATCCTTCATGTGAGTCACTGCTGAGATCCATTATTTAGCCAAAAAAAATTTACTAAATGCCTATCATATGCCAGGAATATGGAGATGAGCAAAAGAAAATCCTTGCCTTTAAGGGGCTCATGATATGCTGCAGATCTCCTAAAAGTTTGTCATTTTTGATTCCAATATTGGAGGTATTAATCCCAAATGGGGGAGGTGAGGTCCTGCTCTGTTATTTGTGGGTCATATTTCCCTCTGTGATGTAGTTCTGAGCAACCCTCTGATGTGTTTCTCTTAAAGAGACTAAGATGGAGGAAATGGAAACCAGAATCTTCACAGAGATTTTACTAAAGCCACAGCTTTATTAGGAAAAATCAAGTCCAGATCCTCCAAAGTGACGAGCAGATGGAGAATTACCACATGAGGAGGGGTAGCCCGGCGCCAGTTTCCCTGAATTCCACCCCCATTTTTCTACTTAGAGCAGCTGGGTTTAATCCATCAGGGGAGTGGGTGTGTTCCCTCAGTGGGCCTGTTTCCAGGTCTTTCACTCAACAACAACAATCAACACAGAAGACGTCTGTGACCACATGTTTGGGGGTTTCTCCCAGCACATCAGGCAAGTAATCAAGTCTGCAGCAGACACCAGCTGAGTGCCTCCGATTCAATTCAATTCTGGTGCTGTCTACCTGGAGATAGCATCAGATCCCACAGGTTGAGGCATTCCCACAAGAATGCCCCTCACTTTGTGTTCCTATAATGAGCCCCAGGTTGTTTTACTGTGCTTCTGACCCACTGTCTATAAATCAGGGTTCCCCCCACCCCTTGCTTGGGTTTGATTAATTTGCTAGAGTGGCTCACAGAACTCAGAGGAACACTTTATTACATTTTCTGCTATGGTTTAGATATGGTTTGTTTGTCTCCACTAAAACTCCTGTTGAAGTTTGAACCCCAGTGTGGGAGTGTTGGGAGGAGGGGCCTAGTGAGAGGTGTTTGGGTCATGAGAGTGGATCCCTTATAAATGGATTAATGTCCTTTGGAGAGGGTAAGTGAGTTCTCACGCCACTCTCTTGGTTCCCCTCTTGCCATGTGATCTCTGTACCCCTGATCCCCTTTCCTTTTCTGCCATGAGTGGAAGCAGCCAGAGGCCCCCACCAGATACAGCTGCCCAACCTTGAACTTTCCAGTCACCAGAATCATGAGACATATAAACCTCTTTTCTTTATAGATTCCCTAGCCTCAGGTATTCTGTTATAGCAATGCTAAACAGACCAAGGCACTCCCTCACCTTCACCTTGGGTCCCTCCAGCTGAGGTCTTACCATAGCTCTGTGTACTACTATGAAACCTATCTGTCTATCTATCTATCCATCTGTCTATCTATTGTTCTATTGTTCCTGGCTCAAAATACCAATAGCCCTTGTTGTAACATTGGGGCACGTTAGGCCTCAGAAAACAGAACCTCTCTCTCTTTGACCTTCTCCTGCCCTCCTTCCATCTGCTCCCTTATCTCTCCAAGGTAGGATTTTTCCCTGGCTTTTCTTTCTTGGAGCTGGCAGTAACAAAATTCTCTGACCCACTTTCTAATTGTGAGTCATAAAACCCCCATTTCAGAAGGAGTCCTGCCCCAGGCCCTGGGGGAAGGAATGCTGCACAGGGAGACCGAGAAGAATCTGAACAGACAGGCCTTGCTGGGCTTTCCCACTCAGCTTATTAGTATTACATCATACTCCATTCAATCATGGTGGCCAAACATGCCTATCCAATGACATCTCCATAGAAGGCCCAAGAGGACAGGGTTCAGGAGCTTCAGGAGAGGCAAACACGTGGAGGTTCCTGAGTAGGAAATGTCTGAGGGGCCATCTCAGCTTCAGAACTCTTCTAGGGTCAGCTAAGGTTTGGCCTGGCGTATCCTGTCCCCCGCTCTGGCCGGTGCTTCCATTCCCTAAATCTCTTCACTGCATGCATCCCCCTCCCACTACCTTCATGCCATCCTTCATGCAGCACTACAGGGCATTCTTTCTAGGTAATGGGGCTGGCTGTGGCCTGGGGGCATCCTTTGTCCTGCATTTGCTCATGGTCAGCACTCTTGTTTGCACACAAGAGTAGAGTAGCCAGCCCCACTTGGGACAGGGACTTGGGGATCCCAGAGCACTGCCGCAGAGTCCTGTGTGTGGCCTCCAGCTGGCGTTCATGCTGTGCTCCACAAAGGGCCCAGCCACCCTCCACCACACAAGACAGCCTTTACTTCCTGTTTCCAGTGGACAGAGCTGCTGCACATCTGCTCTTGAGTATAATGACAAGACATGGGTCCCATTTACGGAGCACCCACTAAGTGCCTGGCACTTCACCTCTGTCATCTCTGATTATCACAGCAAACCAGTGACACAGGTATTATTATCGCATTTACAAAGGGGGAGCTAAGGCTCAGAGAAGGCACATTTAGACAAGTCACATAGCTACACATAGCAGGGCTGAGGGACAGGATTATCTTTAGGTCCAGGCATGAAGGCCTGCCCTACCTCCATGCTTCAGAGAGCACAACTCTGCCCCCTTTCCATCTCATGGGAGCCAAGTGTGCCTGCCCACCCAGCACACTCCCCATACGAATACCCCACCACCCTCCAATACCCGGACGGTGGAATTCCCTGCCCAAACAGCCTCAGGCACCCTTCTGGGTCTACATGAACATCTTGCTGGGTTCCCTCTTTTGTGGTGTGGGCTGTGCTGCGGGAGGTGGGGGTGTCTGCAAGGCGGGTGGACATAGCTTGGACACCTATGTGCAAGAGCCCTGACATGGCTAGATTGAGCTGGGAGGAAGTAGGGGCAGGGCAAACGGGTCTTCCCCTGTACCTCCACATTCCAGCCTGGAGCTCCAAGAGCTGAGAATTCCAACCTTGAACTTTATAATAGAACTACTACAAAGGTCTCTTTGTCAAAGTAGGAAGACAGAACATGTTTTATTTAACAGTTGTTGATTTGTCACCTTTAAATGTGTCGAAGTGTGAGCAGCCTTGTCTCCTGACTAAAGTTTCACCTTCTCCTGATGCCTACTGTGCTGTTAGGGCACCCTTGGGGTGTTGGGGAAGGGGGACAAATCTAGCTTCCCTAAGTGTGGACCAAGGTTTTCTTGGGGGCTCTGGTGCATGACACCAGCAGCGACAGCCTGTAGCTGAGCTGTGTGTATCAAGGGAACTATTCTGTGGATTGGCACTTCTTGCATATATCAAGGTGTGGCCAGAATTCACAGTTCGAGGAATCCTGTCCTCAACAAACTAGGTGTCAGGGGAGCCTCTCTCCTTCCTGAAGCTCCTCTTTGACCACACTACCTCCACCTCCCCCGAGATCCTCAGCAGGTCTTGGCCACTGCACCCCTCACTGAACCCTTCCTCCAGGCTTTCCAGCCCTCTACCTGGGGTCCTCCTCACCTGCTGGGGGCTGCTCCAGCACATCCCACTCTAAACCTAATGACCCCGGGCTTCCCTTCCTGGGTACTTGGCATTTGCACAGAGGCTTCCAGAGCCCTTCTGTACCCAGAAGAGTTTCTCTCTAACAGTGGGATGGGAGGCAGTGTGGTTGGGCCAGAGGTGATGGGACTAATGCTTTTCTTACTAAATTCATCCAAAGGCCACTGTTCAGAGTTTCTTTCATGGTCGACAGTTCTTTTTCTCATGTGGTTGTGTGAGTGCGTTGACATGCAAAAGTGTGTGTCCATTTTGCATGAGTATGCACAGGTGTGCATTTGTGTGCATGCATATGGTTTTTGGAGACTCCCAGGCACTGGGCACTGAGCTCCTCATGAGGCATGCCCTGCCTGTGTTTTTCCAGGTCTGCCCTCACCAGCCCAGCACCCATGCAGCCAGGGCATTCCAAGATAAGATTCTGGCCTTGCAGTTCTGAGACTCTCGGACCCTGTGTGAGGCTGGTTGCAGCTGGCACTGCCACACATGGAGATGGAGCAGGACCACACAAGTATGGCAGTTACAAGCCTTGCAGAGCAGTACTTTTTAGGGGGTTTGCAACCAGCCTCGGTTTCCAGAGAACCACTGCAGAGCTGTTTATAAAAGAGGCAACTTCAGTTGACTTCACTCATCCCTGGAGCTCCTTCCTGACTCTTCAACCTGAAGAGTTTACTTCTGCAAGAGGAGAAGGAAACTCTCCCAGGTTTCCTTCTGCAAGAGTCCTTGGGCAAGCTAGCTGTCCTCTTTTAGAATAAGGCACTGGCCGCGGGTAGCTGGCTGTTTTTTCATTCCTACTTAGCCATTTCACCACTCTTTGGTCTTCTTAATCTGTTTCCACCTGAATGAAGCTTTGGCTGGCCCACATCAAATGCACTCACAGAGAAGAGCCGCAGGCACATGCAGACCCATCATCTTCCCTCCTTTTCTCATGTTACTGTGCCTCCCAGCCAGCAGAGGAAGAATAACTCCAAACTGGGCAGTTTACCTATGTGTTGGCAGTGTCACCCAGAGGTTTAGAGTTGAGGAAACTGGCCAAAGTGAGATGCCTGGTTAACTGGCTGATGCTGCTTTTCCCCTTCCTTGGCCATGCAGCAGAGTATTGAGTCGCTGGGGGCAACCCACAGTGGCGAGGTCGGAGCAGCGACTCCTAGCTTTTTCCTTCCCCACGTTCCCTTGGGCCACTGACTTCCATCTTCAGGCCTATCAAAGATTTTTTGTTTATTTGTTTGTTTTGTTTTCTTCTCTCTTTTTCTCTCTCTCTAAATTTTTTTTTTTTGAGTCAGCATCTCACTCTGTCACCCAGGCTGCAGGGCAGTGGCATGATCATAGCTCACTGAGCCTCAAACTCTGATGCCCAGGCTGTTCTTGAGTTCCTGGGCTCAAGTAAGCCTCCTGCCTTGGCCTCCCTAAATGCTGGGACTACAGGCATGAGCCACTGTGCCTGGCCCTATTAAACAGTTTAATACAGCTATCTAACTGCCCCTTGCCCTGGCTCTAGATCCTCAAGGGGAGTAGCAGTTGGCCACAAGGCAGAGTGGGGCTGCGCCAGATCCAGGTTTGAAGCCAAGCTTCATACTTGCTAGTTGGACAAGCAACTTAACCTTTCTAAGCCTCAGTTTCCTCATCTGTAAAAGGGATTGTGGTAATTCTCTCTCAGGGGTGGTTTTAAATAAATAATTATGTAAAAACTTGTGTGCAGCTTGGCATATAACAGGTGCTCAACAAACGGTACTTGTTACTTTCAGCAACCCCACTGCCTACCTCCATCTACATCAGCACACCAGCACCACCATTACTGTCAGCAATGTGCATAGGGACATGGGTCAGGTGGCAAACCAGCCCTTTCTATGTGGGAGAGGGAGAAAGGAAGAGAATGAAAGGAAGAAATGAGGAAGGGGAGAAATAGCACATGGCCACTCCAGAGACTTCCAGCCTGGAGCAGTGGCTGTAGCATTGGGCCAGCCTATGACCAATAGACCACATGGCTTAGCTGGTCCCAGATCCCCCATTTCAGAACAACCTACCCTCTGATCCTATTCAGACTCATGTCCTTCATCTAGGCTGGAATGTTCCAGAATCTGTGGGGCATGTTGGAAACAGCTCTGGAGCTCTTGAGCCAGGCAGACCTGGACCCAAATCCTAGATCCACAACTTATCAGCAGGATAAGGTCGGTCAGGTCATTTAATTTCTCCAACCCTCAGTTTCCTCATCTGAAAAATGGGTATAGCAGTTGCTATGTCAGAGGGTTTCTGGGTAGTGTAAGTGGGATCAAGCCCAGGTCCTGCTTGATACACAGGAGATGTTCATTTCCCAGTAGTTTTACCTTTTCCCCCTTTCTGCCCTGCCCCCCACCACTGATCCATCTTCTACTCACAAGGGACTAGGTCTCTCAGCATTAGGGCCAACACTTCATGCTTCCTACTTAGGAGAGGCACCCTGAGAAACAAGTGGAGACTGATAGTCTGAGTAGCTGAGTGAGTTTGACCCTAGGTATCATGTGACTTTGCCACAGTTCTTTGCTATCTTGAAACCTTAGTTTCCATATCTGTAAAATGGAAATAATAATGATCTTTGATCTTTGTGGTGAGGATTGAATGAAAGTGCTTGGAGCTCAGAAGGGGACGAGCAAGTGTGAGCTGCTGGTATCCATTGTTAATATTGCTAATGTTACCATTGTTAAAGTATTTCCTGTTTTCTTGATGTGGGTAGGTCAGAGAGTATTTGGTTTCCAGGGTTACAACACCTTAGCTAAAGGCCAGTGGTAACAGGAGTTTGGATCTGGCCTGGCCACCTCCAGCTGTGCGTGGAAAGGAGCTGGTGTGTTGCTTTGGGCACACTTGCAAGCTGGGGCTCATATGACATGTGTCCCAGTGAGTCACCTCGCAGAGTCAGAATCCACTAAGCACATCCCGGACTGCCAGGGTGTACTGAGAATTGTCTCTGCAACTCAGACACGTCTAAGTCCACCAGGAATTCTCCCAGGAATTAATTGCTGCCTGGTGCCCAGGGACCCCATGAAGTTTCTGTGATGTTCTGGGTGGGTAACTTCCCTGGTCAGAGACTTGAACCTCTGCCCCTTTGCTTCAGCCACCTGTAACAGTGGGGACCTAGTGGGTCACAAGGCCGGAATGTGAATCCGGCTTCCATCACCTACCAGCAGCACCAAAAGGAGCCATTAGACTCCCTTCTCTGCCCCTCAGTTTGCCCTGGGGGTACGTAATGACCCTGACTGGTTATTATGTTTGCAGGCTGTTGTGAAACTCTAAGAAGAATCCAGTGAGATCATGCTTGGGAAAGCAAGCCACATATACCCCTATGTGATAGGATGCCAGCAAAATTAGAAACTCCGTCATGTAAATTTAGGCACTGTCTCTTTTTCTCTGGTTTCAATTTTCTTGCCTGTAAAAGGAAGGGTTTGGGTTAGATTGGCATTCCCAGAGTGATGATTCATAAAAGAAAAAGTTCAGTGTTTAAATAAATCTGGTAAAGGCTACACCTGTGATCCCCCTCCTGGCACATCACAGCATGCACTTGTGTATCAAAGGCTAGGAGAAGCCTGCAAGAAGCAAACCTATTTTGCTTTGCTTAACCTAGATTTTACTAATTTGACCACAGAACCTCACTATTATGGTTATGATTATTACTACCACAAATATTCTTACTCTTATGATAATTAGTATTGATTGCTGCGCGTCGCCTTTGGAAACAGCCAGCTGAGCAGACGCCCAGGATCTTTGCAGCTCTTGCAGACACGGATCCAAGACTGGGAGGGGCAGGGGTCTGTCAGGTCACACTCTGCCCCTGTGTCCTCCAGGTGCCTTCTTGATCCCGTACACACTGTTCCTTATCATCGCGGGGATGCCCCTGTTCTACATGGAGCTGGCTCTGGGACAGTACAACCGGGAGGGGGCTGCCACCGTTTGGAAAATCTGCCCATTCTTCAAAGGTAAAGAAGGGGTGGGAGAAAGTCACGGTTGTTCATAAAGGCTTCCCTGTTGCCCTTGGGGAATCTGCTCCAGTGGTGAGATCTAAGGTAGACCTCCTGTCATGTGGGATTCACAGGTATTGACAAGGTCAACAGTGTCCCCCATTCCAAGTTACGTGGAGAGCATTCAGTGTGTTGGGAATAGCATTAGCATAGAAATTCTGGAAACCTGGGTTCTAATCCAGCTTACCTGCTGAGTACCCAGAGAATCTATTTCCTGTATGGGAAATTTTTACGTAAGTATCAGAAGTACCCAGCACATACACCACTACTCTCTCCTTTTGCTCCCATGGCAGGCGTTAGAAGTTGATCATGGATCTTTTTGAGCCCAGCCGGAAAGCTGATTCAAAATCCTTAGTACAATAGCCACAACTAGTTGATTGCAGCTGAAATATAACATGAAGCCTACTTGCATTTGGGACTAAGAACACATCTGCAGAAAGTAGGCAGAGCAACTGCTATTTCTTGGCCCCTATACAGCTGGGAGAAGGGCATGGAGGAAGAGTTAGTCTCTCCCAAGCACTGGTTGGAGAACTGGGCACAGATGGCAACGAGGGCCAGTGTGACTCCCATGAGCCTCTTCTCCGCTGGCACGTGCCTCCTGAGTACCTCTTGTGTACTCAGTCCTGTGGGAGATACAGCTGGTGCAAGAGTCTTATAAGACATGTGCATTCGTTACTTTTTTTGTTGTTAATTGTCAGAAATTCAACTCAAACTGGCTTCAGTATAAAAGAGAATTGACTTCTGTTACAGTAAAGTCCGGGGATTGGCTTCAGGTATAGATAGATCCAGATGCCCAAATAATGTTGTCTGGAATCTATCGCTCTTCTTGTGTTTCAGATCTGTTGTTTTCTGTTAGCATCAGTCTCAGGTAAATTCTTCTCAAGTACCTGCAAAGATGGCCATCAGCAACCCCGGGCTTAAATTTTACCAAGTTTAAATTTTACCAAAAGCAAACAAGTAAACAAACAAAAACCCTTATAGAGTCATAGTTTCCTTAAAGGTCCCAGAGAAGATTCTCATTGGTTTAACTTGAGTCATATGCCCATCTACTAACCAATCACTGTGGCTGTCAGGAAGCAGTGCTCTGATTGGCCAGGCATACATCTTGCGATGGAGGAAGAGTGGGGAGTAGCCTCGCCAACACCTCACAGGCTAATCATAGCTTAAGGCTAATTCCTTGAAAAGCAATGTTGGGCAGGTAAACAATACATCTACCCTAGAAAAAAGCTATAGAACTACCCCTAAAGGAGCTTGTGATACATTGAGGAACACGATACTGGCACCCGAAGCAGGTGGCTGAGAGTAGGACCCAGAAAGCACACAGGGCTGAAGTTCCAATCAGGGAGTGCTTGCTTGGGTTTCCCCAGAAGCAGTTCGGAGACAAGGATATAAGTGTAAAGAGTTAGTGCGGGAAGTGATCCTTAGGGAGCAGCAACTGGGGATAGGGAAGGGGAGGCAGCCATAAAGGGTGTGCACCAAGTCAATGCCACTCTGGGCAGGGAGCTCAGTCCCATCAGGGGAGAATGTGAACACCTGTCAGTGTTATCCTGCCCAGGGGGCGAGGGAGCTGGATACTCACGATCCAGCTCCTAACGTGGCTGCCCACTGGGGGCAAGCAGGTGGTGAGTGGGCAGGGGAGCTCCAGTGGAAAGAGAGAGCTCTCGGGCAAAGAGATGGCAGGGGCCTATGGACTCTGGCAATCTGCTATAGCACGTTTCCTCAATCCCCGGGCCACGGACCAATAACCGGCCTGTTAGGAACCGGGCCACACAGCAGGAGGTGAGCAGCGGGTAAGTGAAGCTTCATCTGTATTTACAGCTGCTCCCCATCGCTCGCATGACCGCCTGAGCTCCGCCTCCTGTCAGATCAGCCGCTGCACTAGATTCTCATAGGAGCGCAACCCCTACTGTGAACTGCGCATGCGAGGGATCTAGGTTGTGTGCTCCTTATGAGAATCTAACTAACGCCTGATGACCTGAGGTGGAACGGTTTCATCTTGAAACTACCCCCACCCCAAAATCTGTGGAAAAATTGTCTTCCATGCGACAGGTCACTGGTGCTGAAAAGGTTGGGGACCGCTGTTCTGCAGGAAACGAGAGACAGAGGGAATGGGAGTGCAGTGGTGGAGCCACACCCAAGGAGAGGTGGCTGTGGGGCTGGGCCTGGGAGACTCCTACCTTACCCCCTGTCCCTGCCCAGGCGTTGGCTATGCTGTCATCCTGATCGCCCTGTACGTTGGCTTCTACTACAACGTCATCATCGCCTGGTCACTCTACTACCTCTTCTCCTCCTTCACCCTCAACCTGCCCTGGACCGACTGTGGCCACACCTGGAACAGCCCCAACTGTACCGACCCCAAGCTCCTCAATGGCTCCGTGCTTGGCAACCACACCAAGTACTCCAAGTACAAGTTCACGCCGGCAGCCGAGTTTTATGAGTAAGTCACAGACCCCTTGTGCTGGGCCTGTTGAGGCCAGTGCTTGGTATGACCTGAGCCAAACACTAAGGAAAGTCACAGACCAAGGAGACGCATGCCGTCAGGATATTAATGTTTACTGAGCAGCCACTGGCCTGATGCTGGGTGAGAGGCTGAGGACACGCCACGGTCGAGGTAGTTGGAGAAGCTTGCGTTCTGGGGCAGGGAAGTGGAGGCGGGCAAGATAATACACAAATAAACAGGTAAGGGAGTGAGAATGTTTTAGAGTGTGTGCACTTCAGGGAATGCAACACTTTCTGGGGTATGTAACTGCTCTTAAAGAACTGAAACCAGGTATGTGGGAAAAATCAATCATGGAGGGAAAAGAACGGTTGCGTGGGTAGTCAGGAAAGGCCTCTCTGAGGAGGTGACATAGGAACTGATGATGTCAGAGAAGGGAAGAGCTGGGGCTCCAGGGCAGGCGATGAGCTGCAGGTTGAACCCGAGTTGATTTGACCCTGAAGCTGTAGTCTGACTCACCCTGGGCTGCTGTCCTTCTGGAGTTCCCATGGGGGAACATAATCAGAGCTTGGAGAAAATTCAAGAAGCGGGAAGCAGGCCAGCTGTATGCAGCTCTGAGAAATTATTTGGACCATGTGTGCACGAGAAGCACTGGCCATTGGTGCAAGACAGAATATCATTTTAAAAAAGAAACTTTTATGTTGAAATACCGTTATACATTAAAAGTAGTAAAAATAGTGCATATACCCATCACCCAGTTTCCCCTAATGTTGACAACTTACATAACCATGGTCTGAGTTTGAAACCGGAAAATTAACATTGATACACTGTTAGCTAACAAGCTGCAGACCTTACTTGAATTTCACCAATTTTCCCACTCATGTTCTTTTCAGGTATTTAGTTGCCATGTTTCTTTAATCTTCTCCAATCTTTGCTCTTCCTTGATTTTCATGACCTTGACACTTGAAAAGTACGGTCAGTTACTTTGTGAAATATTGATTTGAGTTTGTTTGTTGTTTTCTCATAATTAAACTGTGGTTATGCATTTTGGCGTGATTACCCTAGGAATGATGCTGTGCCCTCCTCAGTGCATTCCATCAGGGGGTGGGGAGACATGCTGTCAATATCTTGTTACTTGTGATGTTAACCTTGCACACTTGGTTAAGGTGGAGACTGCCAGCCTCCTCCTGTGTAGAGAGAGTTATTTTCCTTTTTTAAGTAATGTGTCTTTTAAGGACATACACTGAATTTATGCAAATGTCTTGATTCTCATCATACTTTTGTCCACATTTCTTAGCATTTGTTGATGATTCTTGCAAGTAAGGACTATTACCATGATGTTTATCTAGTTATAATTTCCTATTTCCATCATTTCTTCTATTTTATTTTATTTTTTTGTTTTTTGAGACAGAGTCTCGGTCTGTTGCCCACGCTGGAGTGCAGTGGCACCATCTCAGCTCACTGCAACTTCCACTTCCCACATTTAAGTGATTCTCCTGCCTCAGCCTCCTGAGTAGCCGGGATTACAAGTGTGCACCACCATGCCTGGCTAATTTTTGTATTTTTAATAGAGATGGGGTTTCACCATGTTGGCCAGGCTGGTCTCAAACTCCTGGCCTCAGGTGATCCACCCATTTTGGCCTCCCAAAGTGCTGGGATTACAGGCGTGAGCCACCACCCCAGCTTATCATTCCTTCTAGATTAATTGGAATTCTTCTTTAAGGAAGAATTGTCCCTTCTCCCCTGTTTATTTATTTTTTCAGTTATTCATTTATATCAGTATGGGCTCCTGGATATTTATTTTATTCCGTAGTCTTAATTCATAACTATTATTGTTGTTGTTATTATTATTATTTATTTCAACTTTCATTTTAGATTTGGGGGTACACAAGTAGGTTGTTACATGGGTACATTGCATGATGCTGAGGTTTGGGGTGTGATTGAACCTGCCACCCAGGTAATGAGCATAGTACCCAATAGGTACTTTTTCGACTCTTGTCCCCCTCCCTCCCTCACTCCTCACTCTTGTTGTCCCCATTGTCTACTGTTCCTTTCTTTATGTCCATGTGTACTCAATATTTAGCTTCCACTTATAAGTAAGAACGTGCAGTATTTGGTTTTCTGTTCCTGGATTAATTTACTTAGGATAATGGCCTCCAGCTACATCCATGTCCCTGCAAAGGACATGATTTTGTCCTTTTTGTGGCTGCATATTATTCCATGGTATATATGTACCACATTTTCTTTTTCTTTTTCTTTTTTTTTTTGAGACCGAGTCTCTCTCTGTCACTCAGGCTGGAGTGCAGTGGTGTGATCTCGGCTCACTGCAACCTCTGTGTCCCAGGTTCAAGTGATTCTCCTGCCTCAGCCTCCTGAGTAGCTGGGATTACAGGCACCCACCACAACGCCTGGCTAATTTTTGAATTTTTAGTAGAGACAGGGTTTCACCATGTTGGCTAGGCTGGTCTCAAACTCCTGACCTCAGGTGATCCACCTGCCTTGGCCTCCCAAAGTGCTGGGATTACAGGCATGAGCCATTGCACCCGGCCACCACATTTTCTTTATCCAATCCATCATTGATGGGCACCTAGGTTGATGACATGTCTTTGCTATTTTGAGTAGGGCTGCAATGAACATCCACGCGCAGGTGTCTTTTTGGTAGAATGATTCATCTTCCTTTGGGTAGATGCCCAGTAGTGGGATTGCTGGGTCGAATGGTGGTTCTATTTTTAGTTCTTAGAGAAATCTCCAAACTGCTTTCCACATTGGCTTAACTAATTTACATTCCCACCAACAGTGTATAAGCATTCCCTTTTCTCGGCAGCCTTGCCAGCATCTGTTATTTTTTTGATTTTTTAAATAATAGCCATTCTGTTGGGTGTGAGCTTATAACCATCATTATTTAATTTGTGGCTTCCCTGAATCCTCTCAGCCTCTACTTCATCCATTTATGTCCTTGAGGAGGGCGATGACTGACTTGTTTTCAGCCACCTGATTTAAAATGTTTGCATAGCACTCTGTTCACAATGTAGCATCCATTGTCTTCATCCCTCAGGCGTGGGTCAATTCCATTTTATCAATCCCTACACAAACATGCTAGCAGGTAAGCAGAAAGTACCTGATACAACTTGTGGGGCAGACAGGATAGATTCCACCAGAACTCCACCCTCAGGGCATTCATGGTCTAGAGCAGAGGTCCCCAAACTTTTCTGCTTAAGATCATAGAGTAAATATTGCAGAATTTGCAGGCCACATATGTTCCTGTTGCATGTTCTTTGTTTTATTTTACCTCTGGAAAGTAAAACCATTCTTAGCTCACAGGTCGTACCTAAACAGTCCATAGCTCAGATTTGGCCTGGGGGCCGTGGTGTGCTGATTCCTGGCCTAGTGCAAGATTTCCCAATAAAACTTCCCGCCATGATAGAAATGGTCTATATCTGTGCAATCCACCAGAGTACCCACTTGCCACAGGTGGTTACCGAGCAGTTGAAATGTGGCTAGTGTGACTGATGAGATATATTTCTAATTTAATTTTAATTTATTTACCTTTAAATAGACATGTGTGGCCAGTTGCTACTGTATTGGGCAGTGCAAAAAAGTGTGGAAAAAAAAAACATATTCACAAACAACAAAACTTTAGGGCTCCTCTCCTTCAGTCCTATGGATTCCCCAAGCCCAGAACCTGGGAATGAGTCCAGATTATCTGGAGATTGGGGTTATCCTGGGACCAACTCTTTCCCTGCCATCTTGGTGCAGCAGGGCCAGGGGGATTTAGTTTGGTTGAAAGAGACCTCTGGAAAGTCTACTGCCTCCTGGGGCTCAGGGGAGTCAGTGTTCTCAGGATCCAGGAAATACCCTCAATGGTTCACTGCAGAGAATTTGCTAAGGGTCCTGTACCTGCATCCACCTGTCTCCATCCATGATTCCCATGGACTTCTAACAGGCATATGTAAAAATTATGTGTTTTAGAATTTTTCTTGGAGAGGGTCTGCAGTTGTCGTCAAATTCTCAAATACCTCTGCAGCCCTCCCAGAGGATCTGAATCACTGCTGTCACTGAACATCAGCATCTGCTGTAAGAAACCTGTCTTCCTCACCATCACATTAATAGCTAACCTCTTACCATGTGTATGAGGTTTTCTGCTAACTTCCTCCTATGTATTATTTTGATTTAAGCCTCACCCACCTAATGAGGTTTTTGTAACTCTTATCCTCATCACACTCTTGGGGAGGCTTCATTTCACAGTTGAGACAATACAGTCCACAACCACACAACTATTACTGCACAGAGCCAAGATTTGGACCCAGCCAGTGTGCATTTGCAAAACCCTGAGAGTGCGCATCTCCCATTTTGCACCGTAGGAGCTTACTTCTCCTCACTCTAACCCCAGCCCTGTCTGGCAGGGAAACTTCACAGCATGCACCCTTAACCTCTGTGTTATGTTGGCCTCTACCCATTATACATGTTTGTTATTATGCAGAAATATTGTCATGGTCACACATCACATTTACCCAGCTTGGATTGTATTCCAGCCATAGTTCAAAGCACCCTTTCTATACTACATTTTAATCCTGACCACTGTGGTATAAGATTATTTTTATGAATGGGAAAACAGGCACAAATCAGTAAGTGACTTGTCTGAGGTCATAGAGTTTATAAGTGGCATTAAAAGTCTATTTGGATCCAGGCAGTCTATCTCCAAAGCCCAAGCTCTTAGCCCAGGGTTCAAAACCTTGACTGCACATCAGAATCACCTGGAGAGCATGGATGCCTGGATTCTACATCCAGAGATTCTGATTTCATTGGTCCGGGTACAACCAGGGCATAGAAATTTCCATCAGTAGCTCCCCCTGCAATTCTAACATCCAGCCAACGTTGGAAGCCCTTGTTTACACACTGCGCTCTTCTGTCTTGGAGTAGGACTCCTACTGGAATCAGGCTGACATCTCTATAGACTCATGTCATGGAAAATCTAGGGCCTCCTTCACTCTTCTGAGGAGGAGTATGGCCTCAGAAAATTCCCGAACCATCAGAGAGCTTGCAGGTGGGGGTTTTAGGCCTTTCTGTCTTATGAACATGGTTTGGAGGGGAAGGTGGTAAAGATAGTGGAGCAGAGTGCTGCCGACACATGTGATTGGTTGCACCCTCTCCCCCTCATCCTCCCATAAAGGAAAAAGCATGATTTTTCTTTTTGCTCTCGGCAACCCTTGTTTTACAAATTAAAATGGGAAATGATAGCTTTGCCTCTAGTCCAGTTAGCATTTGATTCCTCCGCTGATGTCTTCATGGCTAGTATGTCGGCCCCAGCAGAGGCCCCAGCAGAGACACCCAGCCAGAGGGAGAGGTGAGATAGGTTTTGAGACCCTACTTACTTTAATTACAGCCCTAAGCTTCCTCCAGGCTCAGCTATAAGGAGAGTGGTGGGAAAAGATGGCATCTTCAGGCTGAAATGGTTGGGGGATGCAGGTAGAACTGAATGCAGAGTTGTTTTTTGTTTGTTTGTTTGTTTTAAAAAAGACGGGGTCTTGCTCTGTCACCCAGTGGCACAGTCTCGGCTCAATGCAGCCTTGACCTCCCAGGCTCAAGTAATCCTCCCACCTCAGCATCCCAAGTAGCTGGGACTATAAGCATGTACCACCACGCCTGGCTAGCTTTTTATATTTTTTGTAGAGATGGGGTTTCATCATGTTTCACAGGCTGGTCTTGAACTCCTGGGCTCAGGTGATCCACCCACCTCCATCTCCCAAAGTGATGGGATTACAGGTGTGAGCCACCTCACCCGGCCTACAGGGCTTATTTTAGGAGCCTTCTGCCCTACAGATCTTCCCTCTTTTTTTCCTCTCCTTAACCTTCCCTCCACTATCCATGCAAACCTTCATTGCTACCATCAGCCAAGCACTGAGGATCTCCTCACATCCAAATCCCATTTAATCTTCACAGTTCATGGAGGTAGAAATTATTCCCATTTTACAGATAAGAGAGTGTAGGCTCCGGTTTTAGGTAAGTGGCAGAGCTGGGAGTGCAGGGGCCTCTGCAAGTAGATAGGAGTTCTTCTCACGCCGCCCTTGCCCTTTCTGGCCTGGAGCCTGCCTCTGTGCTTTGTAATGCACAGCACTGTCATCAGCTGCCTCTGGACTTTTTTTTTTAATGGCGTGATGCCCTTTTGTCTAAATGTTTCTGCTTGAAAAACATCCCCTCAACTCAGTTTGGGGACCCAGTGAGTGGGACTCCTAGTGCCAACCCTGAGGAAATAGAAAATTTTTTCTCTTTCTGCCAACCTGCTGGCCAATTTTGTTACCATCCTGTACTCATTTAGGCTGATGGACTGAGCATATCATTCAAGGGAACAAAACTGCTATTCTCCCCAGGCTCCAGGCCTGAAGCCAAGCAGCCCCACAGCTAAAAGAAACTCTGCAGCTCTGTAACTTTATGTGTAAAAGGCCACCTTTGGTGAACATGTGCCTGGCAATAGAAAACTTCCACCCCATGCCGGTCCCTGGTGAGGAAGAAAAGTCTCCCTCCAGCCTAGTATTAATCATCTGTGCTAAATATCAAGTGAGAAATTGAGCTTTTTTAGTGTGTAGACTTCGGAAAGCCTGGACAGTACACTTAACGATGATTCATTTTCATTAAACTTCTGGAAAACTAAAACTGACGTAAGTTTCTTGTACTAAACCCCAAGGTTTGGGCCTGCTGGGGGAAGGAGGCTGCATTCTCATTGATTTTCTTGGGTGTAAGCTTGGGAGTCCAGATCTTTTCACTGATGAAATACCTAGACAACCTCTACAACCCTGAAAGTGGACTTTGAATGCATGGGACATCAGCTGGGCCTGTTGGGGGGCATTTCAACCATGAGATTGGACACCAGAGGCATTTTGGCAAGTTTCAGGGCAAGGATGATTGGTTCCATGCCTTTTTATTCCCATTATTTGGATAGTCAAGTCAACCAAATGACAATTGACACAATTCAACACCTGTCCCATAAAGGCACAGGAAGAAGCGGAATTAAGCATCAGATAGGGTCAGTACATGCCTCTGGTTTTCTTTTTTCTTTTTCTTTTTTTTTTTTTGAGGCAGATTCTCACTCTGTCACCCAGGCTGGAGGGCAATGGCTCAATCTTGGCTATTGCAATCTCCACCTCCCAGGTTCAAGTGATTCTCCTGCCTCAGCCTCCCAAGTAGCTGGGACTACAGGTGTGTGCCACCACACCCAGCTAATTTTTGTATTTTTAGCAGAGAGGCGGTTTCACCATGTTGACCAGACTGATGTGGAACTCCTGATCTCAAGTGATCCACCCGCCTTGGCCTCCCAACATGCTGGGATTGAAGGCGTGAGCCACCACACCCAGCCTGGTCCTCTGTCTTTTTAAATATGCGTACGCCCTGCCACCCTTTCCTCTTCTTTTTCTCTCTCTCTTAGGACATAGCAGAGGGGTCTAAGTCAGGGGATTGTTTTGAGTTAGGACTAACAGGATGAGAAGTTAGCCAGGCAGACAAATTGAGCTCGGACGTGTGTTCTGGCTGAAGGAACAGAAGGTCCCAAGGCCCAGAGCCATGGATGCACCCTATAACTGGGGACTGACAAGTAGCTTGCTGCTGCTGGGGTGAAAGGCAGGGTGTGGCAAGGCCAGGGATGAACTTGGCACGGGATGGACTGTGGAAGGCCTCAGATTCTGAGAGACTTTCATTGTTATCCTCCGGACCTCGATGCTTTCGACTTTTTCGGTTGGATGATTCTTTGTTGGGGGACAGGGGTGCACACTGTCTTGTGTATCTGTGATGTTTAGCAGCTAGCAGCATCCCTGGCCTCTACCCTCTAGATACCAGCAGCATCTCCCTCCTCTCCAGATGTAACAACCAAAAATATCTCTCTAGACATGCCAAATGCCTCTGGATGGCAGGGGCAAAGTTGCCTCCAGTGAGAACCACTGTTTTAGGTGCTAAGAAGCCTCTGAGGCTTTGGAGGCAGGAGAGTGGCAAGGTTAGAACAGCACTTTGGATGGATGGTTCTGCAGTGGCACAGACAGTGGATTTAAGGGGGCTGACAGGAGGCAGAGAGACTGGGTTTGGGAGAGGGTGGGAGTCATTTACAATAGCTCTGGAAGGACAGTGTATTAGTCAGGGTTCTCTAGAGGGACAGACTAATGATATAGATCTCATATGAGTTTATTAAGGAGTATCGACTCACACGATAACAAAGTGATGTCCCACAATAGGCTGTCTGCAAGCTGAGGAGCAAGGAAGCCAGTCCAAGTCCCAAAGCTGAAGAACTTGGAATCCGATGTTCGAGGGTAGCAAGCATCCAGCATGGGAGTAAGATGCAGGCCAGAAGACTAAACCAGTCTAGTCTTTCCATGTTCTTCTGCCTGCTTTTGTTCTGGCTTCACTGGCAGCTGACTAGATGGTGCCCACCCAGACTGAGGGTGGGCCTGCCTTTCCGAGTTCACTGACTTAAATGTTAATCTCCTTTGGCAACACACTCCCAGACACACCCAGGAACAGTACTTTGCATCCTTCAATCCAATCAAGTTGACACTCAATATTAACCATCACAGACAGAATGTGGGTCTGGCCTGGGATGTGGACAGTGGGGGTGGGGGTAGAGGGAGCAACCAAGAGACAGGATTAGCGGGGACCAGACATGGCAACTGATTGCATGGGGAAGATGATGCAGGGTGAGAGTTTAAGGCCACAACAGCTGGCCTGGGAGCTGCAGGGATGGGAGCCATTCTGGGGAGGGGGCATTGGTCTGGGTAGACCTTGATGACCCACCCAACTCTGCTCATTCATTCACGCATGCTCACATCCCCTCTCCCCATTGCTCCCTCCCCTACACCTGTGCACCTCCTGTCAGCTTTCTGGCCAGCAGAGAAGGCACCTGCCACCTTCACAGCGGAGTCTCCCCAGCCGACCCCCTCTACTGAGTTTTCTGGGTACCCTTGACTCTCTTGCTGACACCTGCTGCTCCTTGAAGCCTAGGACTCAAACATAATGATCATTATAATTACCATTTATTGAGCATTTCCTGGGTATTATTATCTGATATTCTGTAACTCAGCCCTCATCACAGCCCTTTCACTGAAAAGAGAAAGACTCAGTGATGGGAAATGCTTACACGCACTACTGTCCCCTTGCCTGTGATCCCCAGGGGGCTGGAGCCATCACCTGCTTCTCCACAGCCATGCCACCAGCCCCCGGCACACTGCCTGGCTCAGAGCAGAGGTGCAGAGAGAGTTTGTGGAATCGATGAAAGGATTCGGGTCACACAGGATCTGGTGGTAAGGGCTAGGATGGGAAGCCAGGTCTGTCTGACCCCAGAGCTCAGACAATTTCTGTGCCACATTTTTCTGTTTTCCTTCATATTCTTTCAAATAACATACATCTATTTTGAGTGGATAAATGATGAAAGAGTGAATGAAACAGCATCGCTGGTGGTCTTCAGCCTTTCTTTCACCTGCCTGGAAACAAATTTTAATTCCTACCCAAGGGTAAGCTAAGTAAGTTTCCAGACTCAGGGTATATGTTTTCCTTACAAGCCTGGAATCTTCCTGCATCATTCGGGATGATTCCAGCAAGGGCTGTCATCTGCCTCTGGCAGACAGACAATTGATCTTATCCCCTGCAGGTGTGTACAATGTTGCCATTAATGTGTGTTTTGGAATTAAAGCCACCTTCCAGGGAAGGACGATATATTAAGCTGTTTGCCTTTAACACTTTAGTGTAAATTTGTTTTGTTTTGTTTTGTTTTTGAGATGGAGTCTCGCTCTGTTGCCCAGGCTGGAGTGCAGTGACAAGATCTCCGCTCACTGCAATCTCCATCTCCCAGGTTCAAGCAATTCTCATGCTTCAGTCTCCCAAGTAGCTGGGATTACAGGCATGCACTACCACACCCAGCTAATTTTTGTATTTTTAGTAGAGACAGGGTTTCGCCATGTTGACCAGGCCGGTCTCGAACTCCTGACCTCAGGTGATCCGCCTGCCTTGGCCTCCCAAAGTGCTGGAATTATAGGCATGAGCCACCATGCCTGGCTATATAAGTCTATTAAGCAGCTGCTTTCTGAATGGACCTCTAGTTGAGCGCAAATGCCTATAGAATGAGACAGGGAAGTTTCCGTATGGGAAAATGTGTGGTGCCCTGGGCAGTATGAAAGATCTGGGCAAAAGGGTTAGAAATTTGCCACAAGTGATGGGAGGAGTTGCTAAGAGAAAGATTGAGAGTGTGTGGGAAACTGACCCTCTTTCCTTACTCGTTCTCCTTGGGGTGATCCTGGGATCTCATTTTCTATAGTTAGAGGGATTGTTGGGTTTAGCAAGAAAGGCTGGGAGCATTTATCTGTTTCTAATCCTATGATCTCTCATGAGCTAACAGGTCTAACTGCCAGTTCTGGGCTTAGCACTGGGGACCAGGAATGGTTAATTCACCTCCTCATCCTGGGAGACCCTTGTATACAGTTAGCCCTGATCTTGCAGAAACAGGCAGGCTCTCCTTGCAACTGAGTCAAGAGCCACAGGAACTGGAAGAGTTGAAAGATGCCTATCAAGGATGATTGGGGGGCCTCCCAGGAGAGGTGACACTGGATCTGGGCTTTGAAGGGTGTTGGGCAATGTGCAGCTGACTGTTGCCTCTGAGTGTGAGGCACAGAGAAGAACCCAGTGGGATCTCGTTTTGGGGGCCCCTGCAGCTCCCTTGAACCTCCCAACATGTGTCATGCTTTATTGTGAATTTGCGTGCAGTGTTGCCTCCCATGCTACGATACAAGCCCACCAAGGCAGAGTCAGGACGGTGCACGAGCAGTTCCTGTGTGTGTCCGAGGCCCAGATGGGCTGGCTCACAGCCGGCCTTCAGTGACAAATGAACGATTAGGGTGCAGAGCAAATACCACACCAAGTTGTTCCCATTTCTGCTTGCTTTGCCTTGCAAGGGTGCAGAGTGGTCAGGGGAACCCTTCTCTCCTGGGACTTGCTGTACTGTTTCAGCAGTCAGTCTTATTTGACCTTTCCTTAGCTCCTAACCAACTTTGATTAGATTCTCATTAGCAAACGGTCATTTTGTTTTCAATTCTCTTTATCATTTCTTCATTGTAGATTGTACAAGGGACCCCAATATTCTCAGACCACCTTGGATTGTTTGTTTTTCTTACTTATAAAAAACCAGGCCTGGCGCAGTGGCTCATGCCTGTAATCCCAGCACTTTGGGAGGCCAAGGCAGGTGGATAGCCTGAGGTCAGGAGTTCAAGACCAGCCTGGCGAACATGGTGAAACACTATCTCTACTAAAAATACAAAAATTTAGCCGAGTATGATGGTGGGCTTCTGTAATCCCAGGTATTCAGGAGGCTGAGGTATGAGAATCACTTGAACTTGGGAGGCGGAGGTTGCAGTGAGCCGTCATCGCACCATTGCACTCCAGCCTGGGCAACAGTAGTGAAACTCCGTCTCAAACAAACAAACAAACAAACAAACGAAACAAAACAAAACAAAAGAAAAAAAACCCAAACACTTTATTGATAGCTAACATATTACAAAGGAGTGACTATCATCAAGCGACAACTCAGCAAATGTTACCCGTTGAACGCATCCAGTAACCTCACCCAGCTCAGGAAAGAGCATGATGAATGTCCTGAAGTCCTCATCATGTCCTCTCCTAGTCAGTAACCCCCTCAACCCCATCCCAGGGTACACCTCTCCTGACTTCTAATCCTTTAGGTCAGTTTTGCCTGTTGTTGAATTTTATATGACTGGAGTCAGACGGAAGTGCTCTTCTGGCTTTGACTTCTTTCTCTCAGCAGTGTGTGCTAGAGCCATCCCTCTGGAGGTAATTGCTGTATAATACTCCACTTAGGCCAGGTGTGGTGGCTCACACCTATAATCTCAGCACTTTGAGAGGCTGGAGCAGTTGGATCACTTGAGCCCAGGAGTTCAAGAACAGTCTGGGCAACATGGCAAAACCCAGTCTCTACCAAAAGAATACAAAAATTAGCCAGGCATGGTGATGTATACCTATATTCCCAGCTACTTGGGAGGCTGAGGTGGGAGGACCACCTGAGCCTGGGGAGGCTGAGTCTTCGGTGAGCCGTGATGGTGCCACTGCACTCCAGCCTGGGCAACAGAGTGAGAGCCTGTCTCAAAAAAAAAAAAAAAAACAACAACAACAAAACTCCACTTTATAAATATATCCTAATTTATCCATTCCACTGTTGATGGATGTTTGAGTACTTTGCGATTTGGGGTTATTATGAAATAATGCTGCCATAAACATTCTAGAGCATGTCTTTTGGTGAACATGTGTACAATATTCTATTGAGTCAATACCTAGGGCACAGGATAAGCCTATCTTCAGCTTTAGTAGCTATTCCCCAATAGGAGAAATGTTCACTTTTGTCTCAGTCTCTAGACCAGGTATTCTCAGATTCAGCAATATGGACCTTTTGGGAAGGATCATTTTTTGTTATTGGAGACTGTCCTGTACATTGCAGTATGTTTAGCAGCACCCATAGTCTCTATGCCAGTAGCACCACCTCTCCTCAAGTCATGACAATCAAAAACATCTCAGATATTGCCAAATATCCTCCGGGGTGGGGGTCAGGGACAAAACAGTCTTCCCTCCTGCTGAGAACTGCTCTTTATAGTGTGAGTTCTGTGAGGACAGAAACCTTCCCTATTTATTACTCCAAGGCCAGGCGAGCAATAGGCACTTAAGAGATTTTTGTCTTTTAAAAGCAGCCATGAGCGTGGAATCTCCCCAGATGATTTGCCTCTTCTAGGACAGAGTGGTCCTGGGCACAGGCCATGGCTGATCAGGTCAGGCCCATGTGGTGCATGGCAGTGGCTAGGGTCCCTGAGTTAGGGGAGAGTGGCCAGGTCCTGTCTCCATCAGCATGCATTTGCAGGGACTGGTCTGTGGTCACGGCCTCTGTCGTCCTCCCTGACGACATTTACCCTGGTCCCCTCCCCTCTCCTCTGGGCAGGCGTGGTGTCCTGCACCTTCACGAGAGCAGCGGGATTCATGACATCGGCCTGCCCCAGTGGCAGCTCTTGCTCTGTCTGATGGTCGTCGTCATCGTCTTGTATTTTAGCCTCTGGAAAGGGGTGAAGACATCAGGAAAGGTAATATCTCTGTGTTTCTCTTTCACTTACTTGGGTGATCAACCTTGGGGGGTGTGATTATTTCTAGCAATAATTATGTAGCTGGTGGACAAAAAAGATGGAGCTGGAAGTGCAAGGCCTGGGTTCAAGCCCCTGTTCTGCCACTGACTTGGACAAATCCCTTCCCTTCCTTTCCTTTCCCTTCCCCAAATCTGTGTCTCCACCACAATAGGTTGAAGGGGTATAAGTGGATCAGAGTTCCTCATATTTTCCTGCCAAAACCTCCCTAATAGCAGAGACCAGGGACTGGGATACTGCCAAGGGCCTCACGACAAAGTCTAGAGATACTATCAACATGCCCTTGATAAATCTTGAATCTTGACCTAAATCTTCATGCAAATGTTGCATCCTACTCTGGAATATGACCATAAAATCAATAAATCCCCCCTCTGAATTTTTGAGAAAAAAGGATGCTCTAGAAGATATTCAGATGTATGCTGGATTTTGTGTTTCCTCGGATACAGAAATAAGTGCCCCCAGGGTTCCAGGTGCCTTGGAGAGAAGAGCATAGGTTTAGATGACCCATGAGGGCCAGTCCGGAGTTGGCATTCTGAACTTGGGTGACACTGTCCTCCTATAGTCAGCCTCTCATGGGTGGGAATATTCAGGAAATGGCTCCTGTTGATTTTTAGCCCAAGGAACATCATGGGAACAACAACCCCATTTGGACTCTACAGGGTCTATTTAGAAGCTTGACTATTAAAGAGGATATGGATGGGAAATTTTCTTTCCAGTGTTGTGGTGAGCTAATGCTGTGCAACAAACCACCCCAAAATGTAGTGACTCAAAATAACAACCATTCTATTGTCTCTCACAATTCTATGGGTTGATTGGGATCAGCTGGGTGGTTCTTCTGCTCCATGTGATATTCCCTGGACTACATGGCTTCACTGGGCTGGAATATTCTAGATGGTGCATACACATTGCTAGCATTTGGCACTAGCTGGGAGCTAAGTTGGAGCTGCCAACCAGAGCATCTTGGGATGTTTCCATATAGCCTTTCTATGGTGCTTGGGCTTCTCACAGCATGGCGGCTGAGTTCCAAGAACATGTCCCAAGCAGACAAGCCCCAGTGATGTACAAGTAGCTCTTCCAGTCACTGCTTGCATCATTCTTGCTATTGTCCCAGTGGCCAAAACAAGTGTTGAGGTAAAACCCACCGTCCATATGGGAGGGGATTACACACAGGTGTGAGTTCATTGGGGGCCACAGCGCAACAGTCTACCTTAATCAGGTGGGTGTCAATTTGGGAGAATCCTCATTAGGCAACTGATTTTGGAAAGGGGGGGTGCACCAGAGTTCTCTCTGATACTCTTAGAGTTCTTGGTCATGCCATTGAGAGCAAAGAAAGTAGCAGGGGAGCAGCAGCCAGTAGAGATGAAATCCATCAAGAACTGGAGAGAGAACTTCCTATCAGCATGTTGGGGACACAGTGTCTACCCTAAGAAAGCACTCAAACAAAATGCAGACCAGGGCTTGGAGAAAGTCTAGCGTTGAGCAAAACCAGGATAGGACCACTAACATTCTGATGCCTGGCACCTAGTAGGTCTTCAGTAAATATTTATTGGGTAATTGAAGGATGGGTGGGTATATAAGTTTGGGGAACTTCATTAAGTATTCTTTTGAATTTAGTTCAAAATATCAACATAGGAGACCTACTGTGTACCAGGCTTGATGCTAATACTAGTGATGCAAGAATAAGACAGGTTCCTTCTTCAATTGCTTTAGTCTATGTGTATTACAGGCAGGTTATGGATCAACCAATGTCACTAGCTTCTTGGGTCTCTATCCAGAGAACATATGTGTGTGTCCCCATTTAATAAAAACCTGTGGTCACAAACTATGTGCACTATTATATATCTTGCTATTTTCATCACATACACTTTTCAAAAATGAAAAAGTCTAGATAATAAGAGATCATTGCACAAGTAAAGTAAGAGCTGTCTCTTGGGATTTTTGTTTCAGTTACAGCAATCTCTAAGTTTATGTGTAGTTTGTCTTGATATTGAAGGCATTTCTTAGCCTGAGTTGTGGTCAAAAAGTGTGAGATGCTGCATTAGTGGAGAAAGGAAGCTCTTTCAACTGAAAGTGTCTCCAAAGACCATAGAGAAGGTGGCATTCGAGCTGGGTCTACAAAGTCAGGTGCAGGTAGAGGTGGGGTGGAAGGAAGGGATTCTTAGCAGAAGGAACTACATGAGCAAAACTGTAGAGATGTGGAAGCCCCAGGCCAGCCTTGTCTAGCACTCTCTGTGCCTTTCCTGGGTACCAGGAGCAGAGTTCTCCTGGCCTCTGCAGGCACAGACAGAGACCCTGAGGGGAGACAGGGCTCAACCCTGTGAATTGCAGAAGATATATGAGCTTTATACTGCTTCTGGCCTTGGCATAGGACCACCACAAACTTCTAACATTGCACCCCAAGATTGGGTTCCCCAATGCCATCACCAAAGAGGGTAGAGCCTGCCCCGTCTAGTTTAGCTTCTGAGTAGAGTGGAGTATATGTTGTCTGCAGGCAGGCTGATGCAAAAGAGACTGGGAGGAGTAAGGCTGAGCATGCTCAGTTCTTTCCAAAATACACCTTCAGAGAAGGTAATGAGGGGCGAACCAGAGTGTTACACTAGGAAAGCCCCCATGTAGAAACACAATGAGAGAGGAATATGAGTCCCCTCTGCATGTGTCATCCGAAACCACAGCCCACATTTTGCATAAGTCCCTCAGTGTTCTGACCACTAAGCAGGCATGCCACAGGCAGTCCATGGAGAGGAGATTTTTAGAATGGGGAGCTTCACTTAGGACATTACTGTGCTCTGTCTTTAATTGTTTTTATAAACTGGCTTATGAGAAACCAAGAGTGTTGCTTATTTCTTTCTAGACTGAACCTGGAACAGGACATTGAGCCTTTCTTAGCAGGCTTCCATAGCCTCAGAGCTGGCCTCAAATGAATTGCAAATGTTCATACCTCCGGTCTTGGCAAGTGAAGGTTGTGCTGGTCCTGGCTTGCTTTAGTGACTTGATTGGACTCAATTATAATGAACAGCATCATTCACACATGAGTGAGGCATAGACTAAAATGTTTGTAGCTTGGTGTTTTCTTCAGTAACATCAGTGCATACCCCACACCCCATAAATCTCCCTTTTTAAAATCACAAATTCTAAATCAGTAAAGGGTAAATTAATGCAGATTTATAGTGGTAAAGTGCAGACATTTATCATCTCTGTTTTCAAGTCAACCTTAGAGTAGGTCCTGGGCAGTGTTTTTCAAACTCTCATGGGTGTAAGAATCACTGAAATGGCTTGCTGAAACTCAGATTGCTGGGTCCCTCTTTGAGAGAGTCTGATTCAGTGGGGATGAGGTGAGAATTTGCATTTCTGACAAGCACCTAGGTGATGCTGATGCTGCTGGTCTATGGAGCTCACCTTGATCTAGGCAGCCATTTTCTCGATGCCTGGATTCATAGCAAGGCTTGCACAACTTCAGTGACAAGCACCTCACCACCTTCCTGGGCAGCTCTTTCCCTTGAGAGAGCTCTATCAATTTGAAAATTCCTTCTTTTATGGAGCCAAGGTCCTCATTTTGATTGTGAGCCATTGGCTTGAATTTGGTACCCTGGAACCACACAAATTATCCATAGAAATACCAGCAGGTATGGATTTAAAGTGATAGAAAGCAGTGACCTCCCTTAGGGACTAAGGACATTTGCCAAGACCAATGGGCTGCTCATTGCTTTCTTGATGTTGTGCTCAAAATTGGACCAAGTCTAGGTTCTCATGGCCAGAGCTGTGTTGCAAGTTGAAATGCTGAGAGCTGAGAAGCCTGGGGTGGAGATGACAGAGCCCAAGCCTTTCTTCTGTTTACCCATTGTGCATTCAGGGCACATTTGAGCATGAGTGAACTGTTAGCCAAAGATCCAGGAATCCTTCTTTCAACACAAGATCTTAGGCAGCTGAAGTAACACCCACTGCCAATTCTGAGAATCTTCAACAAGACTCAGATGGTTTAGCTTTGAACACATGGGCACAGACAAAACAAGTTCCCTGCTTTCTTGATGCTTGAACTATAGTCAGGGTCTCAGCTCAGTCATGGCCTGATGTATTCCTTAGGGAAACTGAATCCATGGCCAACAAACATGGCCAATGCAGGACCACCTCCAGGCCCCATGGGAGATTCCCTGAAGTCAGAGGTCAAGATACGGTTTTCTGATGGGAGGAGTGTAGTCTCACCTGATTTGCTGGGCTGGGCATTGCAGCAGGGCTGCAGCTATTGACATGAGTTTTAGGAGACCAGAGCAGTTAGGACCAGTCTCAAGGAGATGTGAGAGCTCCTTCTTGTGCCTTTTGCCAAGGGCTTACACCTATTTGTCCCAGATCAGGAGACTGAATACAAGATTGATTAACGTGAGGTCACCCAGATGCAACAGCTTCACTTTCCAGGGCATGTTTCCCTCCTTATTTGTTATGCAATTTGTCCTTCCTGTTCTTGCCTCCCTGAAAGAAAACAAGTGGAAATCCCATTTCCATAAAGACCTTCTTAGAACAAGGGAGTGATGGAGAAACAAGTGGATAACATGAAACAGAGGAGGCTTTCCTGATTCCTTCTGAGCCCAGAAGATGTGACTACCACTATGCATTTACTCGCTCCCATGCTGACCCAGTTACTCATTCATTCACTTGTTCATGCATTTATTCTTTGACTTAGTCGTCCACTAACTTTCCGATTTATCACTTACCCACTCATTCATCCATCCATCCATCCATCCATCTACTCAACCCTCCACCCACCTAATCATCTTATCCATCCTTTTAACCAGCTACCCAATCATAATCCAGCCATCCACTCATCCATCCATTTACCTAACAATCCAATCATTCATCTACACCACTGCCCAGTCCAATCATTCGTACAATAAACATTTATTTGGACTCACATGTGCCGGATTCTGGGGATTCAGGTTTGAAAAATATAGGATTTTACTTCTAAGGAGCTCATGATCTAGTGGGAAAGACAAGTAAAGAAAGAGGATAAATCCCCATCCTTAAACATAAGTTTGAGAAGCATATGGCTTTATTTTCTATATCCCCATTTTTTGTTTAGAGCCCATATCTTTTTAGCCTGGCAAAGAACTTTCGTGTTTCAAGGTTTCCACTTTCCCCTTAGGGATATGGGAAGATTCCTGGGGCTACATAGTTCCAGGGATTTGAGGGGTGGAACCATCTGGCATTTAGGTTATAGGCCTTCTCATGTTTCAGCTGAGTCCTCCTTGAGTCTGACTACCTTGACCTTAGCCTGATTTTTCACTTGGGACACAGCCTTCTTTCAGCAAGGCTACCCATGGCTGCCTCTGCCTAAAGTGGTGATTTCTCACCTTGGCTGCACAATTTTATCATCTGGGGAGCTTTAAAAAAAATACTCATTTCAGGCCTACCCCTGACCAACTAAGTCAGAAACTCCAAGAATAGGATCTGAGCTTTAACATTTTTACCTATAACTTCCCCCAGGGTATTTGAATATGTAGCCAAGGGTGAGAAGGAATAGCAAGGAAACCTATATAACACCCCCATCCCTGTCTCTACCTTTCTTTTCTGTTCCTCCAACCTGGACAAGGGGATGGGGTGTTTCTTTTTAGTTTGGAGTAATCTCTTCCTTTGTGTGTTTCTGAATAAGGTACGTTGTCTGTGTCCCACATCTGTTCCCACTAAGATAAAGAATGGTCAGAGGTTCTGCTTTCTGCCCAGCCACATCCCTTCCTAGGCAATGTGCTTAGGAAAGAAAATATGCTTAAAGGGGGGTAAAGAAAAAAAGGAAGAGATAAACATAAGGGAGAGAGTGGAGGAGAGGGAGATGAGGGAGGGGAGAGCAAGAAGAGGGAGGGAGGATGGGAAGAGAGAAAAAGAGAGGGGGGGAGGGGAGAGGGGGAGAGAGAGAGAGAGAGAGAGAGAGAGAGAGAGAGAGAGAGAGAGAGAGAGACTGAGATTTCTAAATATCCTGCCAGTCAGATAGGTGCATGCAGCAACCAGTAGCAATGGTGTGATGGACACAGGACTGATGGGGAAAGGGGAGAGCACAAAGGTGGGTGTACTTAGTTCTGTCTGGTTCATGAACCACGCCTTGATCTAGGCAATCCTTTGCCAATGCCTGTATTCATAGCAACACTCGCACAACTTCAATGACAGGTACCTCACCACCTCTCTAGGCTCTTTTCCTTTAGAGAGCTCTATATATGGGAAAGTTCTTCATTTTATGGAGTCAGGAGTCTTTCCTTGAAGGAGTCAGGAGAGGTGGCTTTGTAGATGAGGAGGCATCTGGTGCTATGAGGACCTAGTCTTTGCCCTTGGCTTTCATCATAGTGCTATCCCCACTGTGGCTGACTCTCACCCTGGGTTCTGAGCTTCTCTAGGGTGTGACCTGTGTCCGTTTGCTGGTCTAGCCCTGGATTCTGGCTCAGGGCCTTGCCTAGAGCTGGAACTTGTAGCATGTGCTTTGGGTAAAGGAAGGTGGGAAAGAGCATGACTGGCTCCCTGGGAAAGGGCTCTGTGCCCCACCAGCCCGCCACGGGATTGGGGCCAGAGCGAGGCTCTCACCTGAACTTATCCATTGCCCAGGTGGTGTGGATCACAGCCACGCTGCCTTACTTCGTGCTGTTCGTGCTCCTGGTCCATGGCGTCACGCTGCCCGGAGCCTCCAATGGCATCAATGCCTACCTGCACATCGACTTCTACCGCTTGAAAGAGGCCACGGTCAGTGCTCAGTGACCACCAAGCCTTGGGCCAGGCTTGTGGGAGGGTTTTCAGGAGAAGGTGATGATGGAAAATCTGGTCCCAGCTCTGCCACAAATGTGCAGTGTAGCCTTGGACAGGATCCTTCCCTGTCTGAGGTGCAGCTTCCCCATCTGACCAATGCGGATTTGCACCTGACAGTCTCCATAAGCCCACCCATGTCTGGAGGCCTGGGATTCTGTGGTTGCATCTGGTGGTCTTCACAGACTACTCTTTTTGAGGAGAGAAATTCCCTGTGAAGAGGACATGATGTCTTGGGACCTTGCTCTTGCCCTGTGCCCACAGCTCCCTAGTCCACCCCAGCCATTCCCTGCCCTCTTTCTACTCTTGGATCCCCAAACCTAGTCTTTGCCACCATCCTGTGATGTCAGCACAAGGATAGTCTTAGCCACCAGGGAGGCCCTGCCAACTCTCTTCCCCAACACCCTCATCCAACCACTCCCCCTGTCCAGAGGCCCCAACTATGGTGAAAGTGGGTGAATTTGGTAGTGGAGTCCAGTGCAGAGCAGTGATGGTGGGAGCAGAGACAATCACAGAGGTACTCAGTACCTTGAGCATCTTCAGATAACTGCTGAGATTACTTCTAGCCTCCTCTTGCAGGGCCCCTCAGTGAGAACACCTCAACATGCTATCTTACAATTCTCCAGGGTTTCTTTATTTGAACCCATAATAATCCTGGCAGGCCCCAGCAGCACAGGATGAAGAGGGATGCATCCCAATATACATCTCCATAGTTGTAATGCTCCAACACACTGCAATGTTATAGACCGGTAACCAAGAGAAAACCTATTTTCATAGTAACAGCCAGAAAGATAACAGAGCATAAGACATGAATCAGCCTCGTAAATTGCAAAATAAGTCAGACTTCTATTTGTTCTGTGACTGTTTATGCCAAACCTTTCAGATGTGTAGAAGCTAAGCCCTCAGTGCAGTCTCAAGGAGCAGATCTGTCTTCCCCCATCAGATCATGCTGCCCTCTGTTTGCACAGGCATCTCTGAAATCTGAATTGCAAGGCTGGGCGCGGTGGCTCACGCCTGTAATCCCAGCACTTTGGGAGGCTGAGGCGGGCGGATCACTTGAGGTCAGGAGTTCAAGACCAGCCTGGCCAACATGGGGAAACCCCGTCTCTACTAAAAGTACAAAAATTAGCGGGGCACGGTGGCACGCACTTGTAATCCCAGCCACTCAGGATGCTTGAACCCAGGGAGTGGAGGTTGCAGTGAGCCAAGATCATGCCACTGCACTCCAGCCTGGGTGACAGAGTGAGACCCTGCTTAAAAAAAAAAAATCTGAATTGCAGCTTAGTCTGAGTGTGTGAGGTATAATTATCCCCATTATACAGATGAGGAAACAGACAGAGAGAAGTGAACTTGACCAGGGCTAGAACATGAGGCAGAGAAGTTAAAAAGGAATTCAGATCTTCAGGCCTCCGGCCATGTGCCTTTATCACCCAACGGATTAAATACGTAAGCCCCATTGGCCCCCAAGGAGTCACCATTGTCTATGGCTTGTAGAAGCCTCCTAGGAATGGTCCTCGCTTTCTGAAAATGCCATCTCCGTAACTCCTAAGATGGCCATAACCCTCTGTTCTTGCCCCATTCACACTCTAGCCTAGAACTTTTCATTTTGTTAACTTTCTTTGAAAATCAGGGCATGAAATTGAGTGAATGAGTTCCTACAGGGTGAGCTCACTCACGACTACCCAAGGCTGGGAGATGCTAGAGAGGCCCAGCCTCTCTCTGCAGTTGTTTTGTACAGGATGCAGGGGAGGGAGTTGCCAGGGCTGCCCATCTCTGGTTCAGACCATGTTTCCTCTGGTCTCAGAGCATCCCCAGGGTTTCTCAGCCCTTCCGGACCAGTGAGGTGTTCCAGTGTTGTAGGAAGCAGAGGCTGATGGCTTTTGTCTGCTGGTTTCAGGTATGGATTGATGCCGCAACTCAGATATTTTTTTCCTTGGGGGCTGGATTTGGAGTATTGATTGCATTTGCCAGTTACAACAAATTTGACAACAACTGTTACAGGTAAGATTCTTCTCAGAATTCTGAGAAGCTCTAAATCCTGGGGATTGACTCTTGTTGGGTGGCAGAGAGGGCTCTGGTCTGGAAGCCAACTCTCCCTGGGCAAGCCAAATTTTCTTCTTGTGAACCATCCTGGGCATTCTATAAACTGCGACATGGCCTCTGAGGGTCCTGATGACCACATTTCATTTCAGGATGCCTCTTAAACAAATGTGAGGTGTGGAACTGGGAAAATTGAGGTTACCACCACTGAGAGATGGGTAGTTATGACAGAGGAGAACTGTGAAGATTTCAGTATGGACTCTGTCCATCAGATGCCCAGGCAGGCAGGGGTGGAATATCGCAGCTGCTGAGGGCCTGGCAGGGTCAGAAGTGAGACTGCAGGGGAGACTGAGACTCAGAAGACCATGATCTAGCTCAGTTCAGGAAGCAGTCAATGCTACCTCCTGCTGGCCCAGTGCTGTGGGGACTTCAGGCATAGGCACAAATTTGGGTCCACTTCCATTACACTCCATCCAAGGCTTAAGGCAGAATCACAGTGTCTTTGGTACATGACAGAGTCCAGTGAATTCATACCAGCGGGACAGGCTATAGGGAGGTAAGGAAATGGGGTGATCAGCCCCCTGATAGAAGACAAGCCAGTGCATGGAGGTGAATTTGAGATGAGCCTTGGAGGATAGTTAGGATTATGCTAGGCAGACGTGGAGTGGACTGCATGCACTGGGGGGAGAAGCGGGACAACACAGGCAAATGCAAGGAAGTGGTTTGTTTATGGACCAATTTATGGTTTGTTCAGAGTACACCTTGGGAGTCATGGAAGATAAATATATAAGGAAGGCTGGGTCTTCTTAGCAAAGCTCTTGAATGACAGGATGAGGAGTTGGGAGGCACTGGGGAGCAGCCATGGAAGGTTTGTTGAAGGAAGCTGGTGACTCAATTCCCTGGCAGGAGTAGACTCTGGTATCAGGCTGTTGCATCCATAAGCAGTTAGCCTACTTCCTGCACCAGTGATGGTGAGGCCCTGTATCCATGTGGCAGCAGGAGCCACTGAAGGGGGGATGGCCTTTGAGGCTGGGGCCAGGCTGCAGGTTCTATAGCCAGTCCAGCAGTCAAAACACAGGGTTGAGGGTGTCAAGGGACTTGACCTCACTGTGCTTCTTCCCCCAGGGATGCCCTGCTGACCAGCAGCATCAACTGTATCACCAGCTTCGTCTCTGGGTTCGCCATCTTCTCCATCCTTGGTTACATGGCCCATGAACACAAGGTCAACATTGAGGATGTGGCCACAGAAGGTGGGTGGGCAGCCCACCTGGGCCCCAGCCCACTGAGGCGGGAGCTGAGAAGCCCACCTTATTCTTGGCTGCATGGCTCTTCCGTGGCTGTAGGAATACTGGGTTGTCCATGGAGGTGTCCAAACCACCCATGTGATTGACTTTCCTTTGAGGTTATTAGTGGGCATTCCAGGCAGTCACAGTCCCCATGCATGTAGGAGAACCTTCCTCTGAGTCAGGGTGGAAGGAACGGATTTTGGACTGTCCTCTCTGTACCAGCCCTGGGCTAAGCACTTGACATACCTCCACTTAGTTCTCACAAGGCTGCCGGGCAAGTGTCAATAGACTCACTTTACGAATGGGAAGACTGAGATGCAAGCTAAATACATTGTCTGGCGTCACCCAGCTAGTGAGCAATTGTGCAATAGTATTCACACCCCAATCAATCCAGCTCTGGAGCTTGTGTCCTTCCCTGCAGCTTCCCATATCCTTATGGCCACAGAGAAGCTGAGACCTGGGGAAGGGCTACCTCTAATGCACTCCGAGGACCCCAAGCTTTAGTGAGTAAGAGTGGATCCCTTATAGAGTATAGTAGGTGGGGTTTGCAGCATGTAGCCTGTAGCTGTCCAGGCAGGGAACTGCTCTCCAGACTGGCTGTTGGGGGTCAACCTCTCCGATGCACAGGTGAGCTGTAAGTTCATGCTGATTTCATCTGTTATCTCTAAACCTGTGTTCTGTCCGCCCACACATGACCGAACAATTGGGCCCCCAGATACTCCCCTATCATGTGCAGCTCAGACCAATGGTTTCAGCCATTGATGAGGTCCTTGATGTTTCTTACAGGAGCTGGCCTAGTGTTCATCCTGTATCCAGAGGCCATTTCTACCCTGTCTGGATCTACATTCTGGGCTGTTGTGTTTTTCGTCATGCTCCTGGCGCTGGGCCTTGACAGCTCAGTGAGTGACCCTGCTTAGGATACCTATCCCCCATCCCACTGGGCCTGACCCCCTTCCCCAACACACAGTGCTGGGCCTGAAGTTCCCACTATTCAAACACCAGGTTAACAGTTGTTTCCAGAAGGCCCTATTTAAATGCAGACAAAAAAAGTGAGTCCTCACTCAAAAAGATAAGACTTAGGCCATAGCCAAGAACCATAGGAACCCCTTTGACATCTTGGAAATCCAAAAGAAGAGGCTTCAGATAAGCCAGCCCCACACTGTCCTCTTGCAGGTGGGGAAATGATTCAGAGGCAACACAGATAAAATCTTGTGCTCTAAACAAGCATTTTCTCATTATATTTTATTATCAATAATCAATAGGCCAGGCATGGTGGCTCACTCCTATAATCCCAGGGCTGTGGAAGGCTGAGGTGGAAGGATTGCTTGAGGCCAGGATGTCAAGACCAGACTGGGCAACATAGGGAGACCCCCGTCTCTATAAAAAATTTAAAAAATTAGCTGAGCATGGTGTTGTATGCCTGTAGCCCTAGCTACTCAGGAGGCTGAGGTGGGAGGATCACATGAGCCCAGGAGTTGGAGGCTGCAGTGAGCTATGATTATACCACTGCACTTCAACCTGGGTAGAGTGAGACCTGGTTTCTAAAAAACACCTCAAAACCCAAACGAACAAACAAAAACATTTTGAACCCAGTAGTTTCTTACATCCTTTTATTTTATCCAAATGTAAGATTGGATTTACTGACATCTTTTTAAATCTATGTCTACCCTTAGTACCTCATGCCTGGACATTTGCAAAAAATCTTATGGAAGGGCTGGCACTTGGTTTTCCTCCCACTGCCTTTTGCTTTCAGTCAGCAGATCTGCCAGGAGCAGGGAGTTGAGAAGGATTTTGAGGCTGCTTCTGGGCTTATAATGAAGAATACTGATTTTGATTAACAGTGTCTGCCAAGAGGAGGGGAGAGGAGAGGAGAGTGGTAGCTTGCATTCTTCTTGTCTGCCCTCACATTGTCCTCATAAGGAAGCAATCTGCCCATAGCAGTGGGATATGAGACCCTTTCAGACTCTAAGAGTCTGGAGTTTGAAGTGACCACTTTGCTTGATCATTAGAAAGGCAGCCAAAAATCCTTATCAAAAACTGCTGCCTGAAGTTCCCATCACTAGAAGCTCTTCTGCAGGAGTTGTTTCCAGAGACACTTATTGACATGTAAACGTATGACATGGGTTTTGGTGTTTTACTGCTTTCACTCCACTATCAGCTTATCTGTACCCACTCAGGCTGAGTGAGTGTCAGGAGACAGGTAGCTGTTGCGTAGGGGAGACAGGTGTTGACTTAACCCTCACCCTCTCCCACGTAGTTTCTGAGTTCTGAGTTTGCCTGAGAACAGGACAGAAATGTGACGAGAGGATGGGGAAGGCAGGACGTGCTGATTTCTCGAGAGAGGCAAGGCAGCCTACATGAGTCCTGGGCTGCAGGAGGCTCTAGGAACCCTGGGGCCTGAGACTGAGGTCCAGGGAGACCCTAATTCCTGCACCCCACCCCTCCTGGTTCCCTCCAGATGGGAGGCATGGAGGCTGTCATCACGGGCCTGGCAGATGACTTCCAGGTCCTGAAGCGACACCGGAAACTCTTCACATTTGGCGTCACCTTCAGCACTTTCCTTCTCGCCCTGTTCTGCATAACCAAGGTGAGTAGGGGCTGGGCTCTGGGTCACCTGGGGGCCTCTGAGGCCGCATTTCAATAAAGTCAAACATTCCTAGCCTTAGAACTGGGGCTGAGCTCAGGGAGAACAATGCAGGATCCAGCATCCTCAATTCAGCGGCCTGACCCACTAGGGTTAGGCCCAGTAGTCTTCTTCCATCTCTGATGCTGAGGATTCCATTCAGCCCTGTTAATTGCTTATTGACTTGAGGGGCAGCAAAAGTCCCTTTGGAACCCATCTAACTCTTTATTGGCTGAAACTGAGGTGACTGTAACGTCAATACAACAGCACCACAGCCCTATGCCCTGGGTTTTCAAATAGAGCTCCGAGCAAGTGGGACAGGGGGCAGGTAAGAGTTGACAGACACAACAATCAGTTCCCACGTTTGACCAAAGAGGGCCTCTTGGCTTCTTCTCTCCCTGTGCCAGGGTGGAATTTACGTCTTGACCCTCCTGGACACCTTTGCTGCGGGCACCTCCATCCTTTTTGCTGTCCTCATGGAAGCCATCGGAGTTTCCTGGTTTTATGGTATGTGAGTGTGTGGAAAAGCCTCAGCTCCCAGTCCTCCTAGAATCCTGCACCTGGAGGTGTGCAGGGAGGCCTTCCATTTCCAGGACAGCCACCTAAAATTCCAGAGTCCAGCAAGTCACTTATTGGGAACAAATCTCAATCCTCGGCTCATCTTTGGATGAACCTGCCCTTAACAGGAGGCTGCAAAGGCCCCTGGGCATCAACTCCTAAAAGAGGAACCCTTAGGAAAATGCTGACCCCCAAGTCATATAATTCATCCTACCAGGGGGTTGTCAGATTTAGCAAACACAACACGGGTTGCCTAGTTAAACTTGAATTTCAGATAAATAACAAATAATTATTTAGTATAAGTATAGCTCAAATATTGCATCGGACATACTTACCCTAATTTTTTTCATTATTTATGTGAAATTCAAACTTAACTGGGTATCTTGTATTTTTTCTGGCAAACTTATTCTGGAACAGAACTGAGAGAATATTTTACAAACCCTTAAATGTGTTAATTGTTTGTTTTTCCCCACCAAGTGTCACACCAACATGTTAGTCCTGTTCTCACTCTGCTGCCACTCAGAAAGAGATTCAATGGAAGAGTCTGGGCTCTCCTATCAGATTGAAGTCAGGGAATGTGCTGTATGCATAGTTGTTGTTATTTTCAGAGCAAGAGTAACCAAGAGGAAAGAGCTGGGCTTTGGAGTCAGGCCAACTGGCTCTGGAATTTGGGGCAAATCCCCTCACCTCTTTGAGCCCAGGTTTCCCTCTGACAGGTGAATTGGGGTGACACATGAAAGGGGATACTGTCCTAGAGTTTGTCCTCTCCCTCATTCTGCATTACAAAGGGCCCATCCCCGAGTCTCCCTAGTTCCAGGGTATCAGCATCTTGCCTCACTGCCCTGCTCTCCACCTGGGGCCAGAACCTCATGGGAGGACCTGGCCCTGGCTATCATGGGGGCCATGGTAACAGGCCTGCCCTGTGTGTGCACAGGAGTGGACAGGTTCAGCAACGACATCCAGCAGATGATGGGGTTCAGGCCGGGTCTATACTGGAGACTGTGCTGGAAGTTCGTCAGTCCTGCCTTCCTCCTGGTGTGTAGTGTCTGCAGGGAAGTCCTGCATGTGGGGAGGGGGCTGTGTCCAGGATGGAGCTGGGTGAGGATATTTGCTTCTTAGGGGAGGAGGCTCTGGGATCCAGAGGCCCTGGTCATGCAGAGGGGTCACTTGGGATGCTTGGCCCTGTGGATAACGTGGTAGACATCCACCTTACTAGGGGGTTCTCCAGCTGGGGCCAGGTCCCCGGGGGCTGTTATGCCTTCTCCAAAGTCACCTTCTGTTCTTCCTCTTTTCTTGCTCCCTGTCATATCTGCCTCCTTTTGATTATCACTTGCTTCTTGAATTCTTTCTTATTTCTCCATCTCTTTCTCTTTTCCACTCCTTCCTTATTTCCTCCCTTTGCTGTGATGCTCACTTCTCTTCATTTCTCTCCCACCTTTCTTCCACCTCCTTCTCTCTTTCCTTTCTTGTCTCTCTTCTGTCCTGTCTTCCTTTCTCTCCCTTCTCTGCCCATCTCTAGTTCGTGGTTGTGGTCAGCATCATCAACTTCAAGCCACTCACCTACGACGACTACATCTTCCCGCCCTGGGCCAACTGGGTGGGGTGGGGCATCGCCCTGTCCTCCATGGTCCTGGTGCCCATCTACGTCATCTATAAGTTCCTCAGCACGCAGGGCTCTCTTTGGGAGGTGAGCTCTGGTCCTCCCCAGGGGAACAGGGTGGGAGGGGGCTGAGGGGGAAGACGGGACGACTCTCATTCCTGTTGGGGTGGGGGAAGGGACAGAAGGACACAGACACTAGGGTCAAACGGACCCACCTCATTGGCCAGGTTATTTTCCCCCATGAGCCTCAGTTTCCACATCTGTATATTGAGGATAATATTACGTACCCCAAAACAAAAAAGAAGTACTTAGCACAGTGTCTGGCGCACAGGAGGTGTTCAGTACATGTTACTTGGGGGTGAGCTCAGCCCTGGAGTTCACTAAGGATTGATTAGACAGACTGCCTGAACCCAGCTCACTGTGATGTCTCTGTCTAAGATTTGTCATTTCCCAAGATGTCCCAGCTCTCCCCATCCAAGCCCACTGTGATCTGCTCCTTCTGGTTTTCACCTGCCTCTTTCCAGAACCTAATAATCTGATCAGCCTAAACCAGAGATTTCTGAACTATTTCTTTCTATGCATTCTGCATATATGTCAATATTTATACATATGTATATATGTACATGTGTGTGTATATACATACATGTATATATACACACACACACACATTTATATAAATATTTAGGAAACTGCCCTTTATTCTGAAATTATGTCACTCCTATTTGATTAAAATATCCTTTCTTTCATAAACTAATAGTGATAATCTTTTCCTCATATCCTTACTTTACAAAACAAAGATGATTTCATTCCTTCATTCCTTTATCCACTCACTTGGAAGGTATTTATTGGGACGCAGATATATGCTGGGTAGTATTCGAGGCACTAGACAAAAATTCCTGCCCTTATGGAGTTCACATTCTAATCAAGGGCAGGTAAACAAAATGAGGATGGAAGGCATCCTTGGGAGCCACAAGGAAACTCAAGGAAGGGAGTAACAGACAGACAGTCCCCATCCTCATTCTTTGTGATACATTTCCTGTCTGTGAAATCCCTAAGTCTGGTTCCGGGTCACTGGGAGGATCAGTGTTCAGTGACCTCATTCTAGACATGGGAACTGGGACCTGAGCCTTCTATTCTTCACACTTTGGGAGTGGAGAGGCTTCCTGCTACCAGTGATCAATTGTTGGTTCAGAACACATGGCTTGAGACCCCACAAGTGCCTCCACTGCAGGAGGGCTTTCCTGATTCCCTGCAGGGCCAGAGGCTTCCTTCCACACTCTCCCTGCTGCACTTTCTCCATTCTGGGTCTAAGATGATGTGTGTGTTTGTTCATTGCCAGTCCCTTACATGGGCGGTAAGCTCCCCCAAAGTAGAGACTGTGTGGGTCTCCTTCAAGTCTGGATCCACAGGGCCTAGCCCCATGTCTGACCACAGTAGGCAGCTCAAGAAACAGTGTCTGGATGAGTGACTCAATGGACCAGCTCCACAAACAAAGCTGGAGGTGTCTTGTACAGACCCCAAATGCTATCCATGTGGGGCTGCAGGATCAAATAGCAGGTGGCCCTCATCTGGGGGTGCAGCCAGGCTGCCAGAAGGGTGTCCCTGGGCCAAGCTGAGGCCTCCTCCCCTTCTCTTCCTTTCAGAGACTGGCCTATGGCATCACGCCAGAGAACGAGCACCACCTGGTGGCTCAGAGGGACATCAGACAGTTCCAGGTGGGTGAAGCCTAGACCCCTGGGGTGGAGATTACAAGGGCGGGCCCTGGCTGTTCCCTGCTGTGCACTGCCCAAGGCTAGACATCACATCCAGAAAACCCAGAAACCCAGTGTGAGCTGCCTTTTCCCCTTGGAAACATCGGGATGGGGGACAGGGAGGCTCACCTTGAGCCCATGGCCTCAGGCTTGCCCTGTGACTTTGGGGAGGTTCTGCTGCCCTTTCTGGGCCTCTGTGACAATTAGGGAATCAACTTGCACGTTCCCTGAGGTCCGTGAAGGAAGGGGGTGTTTTTCTGCCTTCTCTCTACCTCCTGCTGCCCCCGCCAGCTGGCCCTTGCTCCTTTCTGTCCCCACCATGTCATCAAGTCCTCGCTGTCTTTCTCTGCAGTTGCAACACTGGCTGGCCATCTGAGCCTGCCTGGAGGAGAAGGAGGAACCCCCATGCCAATGTCCAGGTCACAGGCATCCGCTGCGCTCCCACCTCGGACACCATCTTGGGATTCCTCCCCTGGAAGTTGTCCTTTCTGATCCTCTCTTCTTTTCCCATTTACAAATGATTTCGTGACTGTAGTTTTTGTTCACCTTCTGTGCATCTGGCCTGGGGGCTGTTAGCTCAGAGGAGAGGAGCAAACAGGAAAATGACTTCTGTTCTGTCCCCGCTGTTTTGGGGGAAGTCTCTCCCACTTTGGGATCCTGCTGAAGCTAGGTTCATGAGGTCGGAAATCCCCACCACATTTGCCTAGACTTTGGGCACAGGAGTTCTTAGTCCACCAAATCAGAGAGAGGATGGGCTTTTGATCAGATACCCCTCCCAAAAAAAAAAAAAACTAAAACTAAAGCAAAAATCAAACAAAATCTGGCTGAGTTTAGTGGGGTGGTTGGGGAAGGTACATAGACCCTCCTCTTGCCCACCCTAGACAGCCCTCTCATGTCTGAACCTCAGCCTGGGAGTTAGATTTATTTGTCTCTAAAATGAAGTCAGTGGATAGATGCTTTGAGGGATTTTGAGTAGAAACATTCATAGTTAATTTTCACTCTGGCCAATCTGAGTTTGATGTGTGTGTTCTGGAACATTCCTCCAGCTTTTGGTGGTCAGATGGCCCAGAGATATGGGGGACAGGAGGAAGAGGGTAAATGAACCACAGTGAGCAGGTTCTAGGAGGTACCTGCATCAGACAAGCTGGTGGAGGCCACGTGGCAAGCCACATCTACTGAGGCCTCATGCTGCTCTTGCTCTGTAAGACACGGAGCCCAGAAACCCATCTGCACTTCCTGAGACCTGCCTGGGGAAACGGGGGCAGGGACCAAGTGAGGCCTCATGTGTGTCTTCACCGTGCTGTCCTCACAAGGCCAGGTGGGTGCCCAAAGGGAGCCTGACAGGCTGTTGTGTTAATTTATTGTTCTTGCACACCTGCACAGCCTCCCTCTGGGGATCCCACCTGGAGTGGACCAGGGGTCTTGAGAAATGGAGAGTTGGCTGCAAAAACTCTCATGCACTAGATGTGGCACCTTGGAGGGCAGGGTGAGACAAGCAGCCCAGAAATACTCTCTCAAGTGGAGGGGAGAATTTTGAGAGTGGATGGAACAGTTTGGTGGTTTCAGAGAATTTCTAGGTTTCTACTTGGATCTACTTCTGATACAAACTTGCACTTGGTGCCCTCTGGTGGTGTTTAGTTTTAGTTCCGTAAGAGAAATGATTCCTAGTTTGCTAAATTGGTGGCATCTTTGGGAGGGGTTTCTGTTTATGGTTAGAGTCTCTTACACCCTTGTTGGAGGGATTCTTATTCTGACTGTGGGAGCTCCTGTTGCGGGATCTTGGGAAAAAATAAAGAAGCCGCTGCATTCGCACGTCAAGAAGGTGCTTTGCCTCAAATTGGGGTGTTGTTGAGCCTGGTGGTTCCTGCATGAAGAGGATTATGAGGGGACCAGGGTGGGGCAGGGAGATGGTTTTGTCTCCCAGGGTCCTGAGGTTTCCTTGCTGGGTCGGGGTCCTCAGGTCATTCTATAGATAAAAGAGGGAAAATCAGGAGACTTTGAATCTTTCTGTATAAAAAGGTCAGCTGAATGCCTGAGACAGCCCAGGTGGCAGGTGTCTTGGAGCCCTGTGAACAGTGAGGCTTAAGAATGGAGAACAATCAGGTCGGGGTCTGGGCCCCATTAGTGACTTTATATCCTCCCATAAAAGGTAACTTCTTCCTAGGTGTTACCATTTTTCTTTTCGTTTTTTGTTTTTGTTTTTGTTTGTTTGTTTGTTTGTTTGTAATAAAGCACTTTAATGCACATTACCTGCCATCTGCCCAGTGAGGACTGCAGGGCTATAGCTTCTATCTCCCCATTTCCCAGGTGAGAGAACCAAGGCCCAGCATTTTAGTCACTCTTGCTCAAGGTTTTTTAGCAACTAACAGATCGAGTTGGGCCTTCAATTCACATCCACTGACTCTCAGCCCAGATTATTTTGAATATTCCCTGCACAATAGGGTTCACCCCACCCAGGACTGTCATTTTTAAAAAACTCATTCAAACCGCAAAGGAAAATTTCTTAGCAAAAGAACAATGTGTTGGAGGATGGGAAGGGGCGAGAGAATGCCATTTATTTTCCTCTAGCTGGTTTCCAGAGAGGAAATTATTTAGCTGCTCTCTTTTGATGAAAATAATCACTCTTTGGAATAGTTGGATGTGAAAAGCTGAGTCTACTTGGTTGAAATGAGAGCAAACAGTCAGCAAAGCCTTTTGCATTAGAGCAGGGTCGTGCTTCCGAGAGAGCCTGCCATTTCCTCTTTGCCATCTGCATGTGGCCCCTTCTGCCTCCAGACATTTGTCCCGGGGTGAATCGGAGATGTGGTGCTAGCTGAACCAACACCAAACCAACGCAGTGGTGCTGCCTTGCGGCGGAAGTTGGCTCCTGAATCTGGGATGGGAACCTGGCTCCAAGCCTGGGTCCCCTGGGAGGGTGGGGGTACCCAGAAAGCCCTTGGAAGTTCTCGGGGAGGTGCTTGGAGATCATTTGGGTTTACCTTTCCACCCACATTTAATGGAGAGAGAGTATGGGCTTTATGTTAAGTCATCTTTGACTTCCTTTTTGTAGCTTGTTTTTAATAGCAGAGGTCACCCGGGACAAGGGTGCTGTGTACTGTATATGACACTTGACGCTTTTGATATTTTTTCAGGTTTTTAAAGAATTATTATTTTTCATGAAATGTAAAATATCAGTTTGAGAACATCACATTTACGTCTACTCAATGTCTAGTTATTTAGCACCCACCTTTTAGCTTTCATTCTAGATGAAAACGAGACAAGGGAGAAGGAGAGCTACCAACTCTTGCCAGATATCCTGCTGAACAGAAATCCCTGAAGCTGCCTTAATTCTCAAAAGGAGTTACCGCTCAGCTGGGAGCCAGTTCCTGCTATATGATCTGTTTTCTAGCCTCGCTAATGTGAGACTGAAGCATTCTTACCAAAGAAATCATTTCCTAGTAAAGAAGCCCATTGAACTCACTTTATTTGTTTATTTCCTTCGAAAGCCACCGAAGAGAGAAAAACAGAGAAGGTGTGTAGTGTGGCGGAAAAAGCACAGCATATAGTTTTACAGACTTGGGTCTGCAGCTGACTAGCTGGGTGGCCTGGGGATAGTGGCTTCATCTTTTGGGGCTTCAAGATTCTTTGTCTTTAAAATCAGGGGTTATATCAGATCATCAAAGTTCCCATTCCATTAAAGAAAACCCTGCATGTATCCATAATGATGCTCTCCTGTTAAATTTACAATGAAGGAAACACATCACTTAACTGTAAGAATTTCCCAAAATGAACTGATGACCAGTGATCTCTCTATCAGAGAAATGTCAGATTTCTAGCCTCCAGAACTTTGATTTTTCTGGACATTCAATAGTTCCTCTTTCTCAGATATTTTTCAACTGATGCCAGAAACACTTGGTATTTGTTTTTAATCCAACCCTTTTGTTTTGAGGCTTTGGAGGGTAACACATTTTCATACCCTGTGAGTCCCAGGATCCACAGCTCTGCTGTGGTCTTAGAAGCCACTGAAACATTGGTGAATGTGAAGTCACTTTTGGGGTGCCTGCCCTCATCCCTCTGTCTCTCTGCTTCCGTGTAAATAAAGACTGTTTCAATTGTGTCCTCTCTGTGTCATGGACTGTTCCAATGTCATGCAGATTTCTGTGTCTGATATGGATTTTAAAAGTTGTTCTCTTTGTGGAATATAAGTGTACAGAATAATAAATAATGTTTCCTGGGCTGTGTATCTGGTAGCAGAGTTCTGAATGCTTTCTTCCATGAAGGTGGAATGCTACAAATTATGTAAGGGAGGTGGGTGTATCTATGATCAGCTTCCAACTAGTAAAGAAGAGCGTCTGGTCATAGTGACCCACCTTTTAATCAAATAACTCTTTTTATAACCTATGGAAAAGGAGATTGGAAGGAGTTAAATCTGTAATCTTAGCTTTGAGATTAACATATATTTTTAAATAAAAAGAGGGCACCAAGTGATACCAGGTTTAGTTTAGTTTAGTTTTCATTTCTAAGGCTGTTTCAAGGAGCTCAGAACCTCCTGTTGGATTGAATTAAATACACAATTTGGTGCATGTGTGAATTTTTCTGGGGAGAGGGATACATTCACATTTAGACCTTAGAAGATCTAAGTCTTTGTTTGGGGAAGATGTAAGCTGAGTATTGTCATTGTTTGGAGAAGATGTGAACTTATAGGTAATTATTTTTAATGCAAGCCAGCAAATAGATAGTGATACCAATGTAAAAGGGGTGTTGTCAAATAACTGTTCAGTCAATGTCTTCAAATATCTAAAGGCTGTCAGAGAGTGTGTGGTGGGCCCAAGTGCTGAAATGGTGCCAATGGTAGGAAGTCCAGGAAGACAGCTTGCAAGATTCTACCAGAATAGAGAATGGGCTGTTGCTGGAAGTGGTAACTCCAGCTCTAGAGATATGCAAGCAGATAGCAGGCAGTGTCTCCTGGGGATGCAATGTCAGGTGGAATTGGGGGGAGGGAGGTTGCACAACCTCTAAGATTCCTTCCATTTGGAGTTCCTAGGGTTGTTTTTTTTCTTTTTTCTTCTTCTTTTTTTTTTTTTTTTTTTTTTGACAGTCATAAGCCTGCCTTGTACAGCAGCACTGGGAGATGCAAATACATTCATGCCAAGGACCCTGGGGTAGGAGTGGTTTGGCCTCACAAATTAGAGTTGGGAAGATATCCCAGAGAGGCTATTATCATTCTGATCATTTTGTTTCAACCCAGAATTGGAGTTGGGCTTTATTATAGTGAATCAAACAGAAGGCAGCTGCACTTCTGGCATTCCCTTGTGCCTGACGAGATCTGGTAAGCAGTGGTCTTGTGGGAGGAGGGGAGGGAGGCTGGTCCAGAGAAGGAAAGGGCAGCTGTTTTGTGGGGGTGATGGAGAATCTGGTGGCCCAGGCTTCCACCCTGTCCCCTAGGCTGACAACACAGTAGGAGAAGTCGGAGCAGCACAGATAAGCCTCACCTTAGGCACTTAGTGGGCTTCTGAATTTTCCCCAATTTAATTGCACCCCATCCTACTTCTGGAGATTGGATAGCTTCATTTTTATCTCCTCCCCAAAGGCACTGATACACGTAGTCTCTATCTGGGGCTCAATTTGTTCCTCTACAGCGGATCGGGAGTGGTCAGAACTAAGTGTTCATGAATGGGTTTCAAAATTTTTCAGAATCTTCTGAGATTAAATTCAAACTTCTGTTTGAATGAATTTGTGCTCATTTTTGGGGAAAAAGGATCCATACATTCATCAAGTTTTCAAATATTTAAAACCCACAAGTATATATTACTTTTGGGGGCCTCTCTCTTCTGATGATACATGGCATCGGTCTCTGCCCTTCACCCCAAACTAAATGAGGATGACAATAGACCTTATTTCTGAATCTCAGTCACCCCGCATTATGTTGACTTTGTTTTTTTGTCTGTTTGTTTCTGAGACAGGGTCTCACTGTGTCGCCCAGGCTGGAGTACAGTGGTGCGATGACAGCTCACAGCAGTCTTGACCTCCTGGGCTCAAAGTGATCCTCCCGCCTCAGCCTCCTGAGTAGATGGGATTATAAGTGCATGCCACCACAGTTGTCTAATTTTATTTTTGGTAGAAACAGTGACTCACTAGATTGCCCAGGCTGGTCTCAAACTCCTGACCTCAAGCAAACCTCCTGCCTTAGCTTCCTGAGTAGCTGGGATCACAGGTGCAGGCCACTGGGCCTGGCTTGACTTTTCATATCAATCATCCCACAGCAAATACCTCATTTTATCCCGTGACAATGAGCCTGCAAGATAGGCAGCAACAGGAACACCGTGCCCACTGGACAGATGAGACAACTGAGGCTGGAGCTGAGAAGTGACCCGCCTAAGGTCACGCAGCTACTGAAGGGCAAAGTCAGGTCCCCTCATGCCTGGGTCAATGCTCTTCACATTATATTCACCGCCCTATGGAAATAAGGTAGAGTGGGGACCAGACAAGTCCTGACGGGTACCACAGAACTGTGGGAAGAGACTGCAGGGCTATAAGGACTTGGTCACCTAACAGGAGCTTGTTGCAGGGTACTGGGAACATTGCTTCGTCACACAGTCTCAAACAGGACTGGAAGGATCAATGCTGTTAGGGATCAATGCTGTTAGGGATCAATGCTCTGGAAAAGTTCTGGCCCCCCAGTGTCCACTTGAGACCAACTACTCTGATGTGATGATTGAGTCATGTTGGAAAAGTCATTGCTAAGCCTTGGCTCTCCCAGCTGTGAAATGAGAATGTTGGATTGGGTGATTCTCTAAAGTCCTTTCTGTTTCTGACTCTATGAGATACACTCAGGGAGCCGGCATGAAGTTGATGGGCTAATTCATATGAAGATGTAAATGACTACTTTGTCAGGCAGACAGTGACAGATAAAGGTGGGAGTTGCTGCCTTTTGTTCATCCTATAAGTTTAGTGCGGGGCTTGGTAAACTATTTCTGTAAAGGTCTCTGTCACAACTTCTCAGCTGCTGTTGTAGCATGAAAGTAACCTTATTTATAAGTATCAGGTGGTGGGTTGGATTTGGCCTGAGGTCTGTGGTTTGCAGATCTCTGGTTAGGTGGAAAGAGTGAAGGGTCTGGAGTTGGACTAGACCTGGGTTTGAGTCTCAGCTTTACCACTGACTGCTGTGAAATCTTGGACAAGTTATGTAAAACTTCCGAAGGCTTTCTTGTTTCTGAAGAGTGAGAATAAGATTCCCACAAGAGAGTTTTCAGGAAGGTGAAACAAGGTGATGTACACTTACAGCAACTCTCTGGGGCTGCAGTACCTGGATTCAAGACCTGGTTCCATCACTCCACAGTGTGAATCCCTGGGCAAGCCACATAACTTCCCTTTGCCTCCGTTTATCATTCATAAATGGGAAAGACAGTAGTGACCCCTGCTAGGGTCATGGGGAGAATTAAATGTTAATATTGTATTCAGAATAGTACCACCTACACAGTTTATCCTTTTGTATATTTGGTTCATGTCAGCTATAGGATGAATGTATATTTCCTCCTCTCATCACCTCTGCCCATTTCAAAGGCATCCCAGCTACCACTGTGTTTTCACGAAGCCAAATCAGTGTCTGTTTCCTCGTCCTCTTGGATCCCCTCCTTAGGATGGTGCCCTCCTTAGGATGATGTCCTTGAACTTGGGTCTGGGTAGCCAAATCCAAGTTTCCCTGGGCCTGAGTGCATGCAACCACCTGGGCAGAAGTTCAAGCTTCTGGAAATCCCAGGCTCCACAGACCTTGCCTCCTGCAGGAACCGGCTTCCCTGTAAGCCCTCAGCTGTCAGCCCCCATTAGACCACTGGCATGGGAGATATTACTCTAGGCTGGCCCTGGTCTTGGCTATGACCTGGAAAGGGAGGAGACCAGAGGGAGACTCCTCGAAGAGCTGGCACTTGTCTGGGTCCTGGAGTCCTGCTTATCAGCTACCGGCTCTGCCAGCCTCAGGCCTGGGGAAAGCTGGGTCGGGCCAGACTAGCAGGGCATGAGGGTAAGGGTTGGGCTGCAGTACATCGAGGAGGACCACCCTGTCCCCAGAGAAGGCCCAGCAAGGGTCACAGCCTGGAATGCCCAGGAGCCACAAAGCCACCATCTCTGCAGCAGAGGGTAGTTGTTAGGTGGGGAGCACTCCACACACCCCTGCAGCTCCAGGCTGCAATCCAGACCCCAGCCCCGGAGGGGCAGACAGGAGTCAGAAGAAGAGAGGCCTAACACAGCAGTAGCACCTGGTCACAGTCAGCCCAGCAACAGGGCACCTGCCTGCCGTCCACCTCGAGCCATTCCCAGGACCCTGCTAAACCTCTTTTCTTGCACCACGGCAACCAAACTGCCTCCTTGTAGTCGCCTTTGACCCCTGACCCACATCTGCAGTCACTTGGTGGTAACAATCCCCTATCATGGGGAGAAGGGACAGGGTAGGGCTGGCATTCGAGGCATACCCACTCACATAAGAGCATTGCAGCTCTGGCCTGTCAAATGGACTGCAGAGCCAAACCAGGGAGTGTCAGAGACAAGATTAGGGGATCTGGGCTCCACAGTTACATTTGTGGAACCCTTGCCCTTGAGTTTTGGAATTGGAAGGACAACAAAGCACAAAGAGTGTGTGGCTTCATTAAAACAGCTGAGAGGATGAGGCCACATCCTGGCCACACAAGCCCTGGAGTTCCAGGAGGACCAAGGCTTTAGGAGCATCAGCACCTTGGACAAGGCCAATTGGCTGATCTGCCTTTAATTAGCAAACAGGTTGGTTTACCTTTTGTCAGTTACTATTCTGAGTGCTTTACAAATATCAGTCACTGAACCCTCCTAACGACTCCATGAGATAGCATGATTATTCGCATTTATAAATGGGGGAAACTGAGACACAAAGAGCTGAAATAACTAGTTGTTGGAACTGGGATTTGAACCCGGTAAGTCTGGCTCCAGTCTGTGTCTTTAACCATTGATCTGCCCCCTTCCCTGGTTCCCGGCCACATGGACATGACATGGTCAGGCTGGTGTGGACATGAGTCCTCCTCTACTTCCATCCCTTCTTCAATTGCAAATGCATAATACTAAATAAATAACTTATGTGTATACATATGTAAGTTGTACACATATATGTAATTTAACACACATATATGTGTTATACACATATATGCCTATTTTTAACAAAAATATGTAAATGTAAATATATATGTATACGTGTGTGTGTCTATACATATATATATACATATATATATACATATATACATATATATACATATATACATATATATATACATATATATATACATATATATATACATATATATATATACACATATATATATATATTTAAGTGCCTACAATGTGATAGGAAGCAAACAACTTGCTCTAGATCACATAGTAAGAGGGAATTCAGTTTGGACAGAGGCTCCCTATCTCCTAGGAAAAGTATCTATCCTGGCTTTCTCCAGAAGCCCCCCAGTCCTGTACTCTCTGGTTCTTTATGCCAAATACAGGTTTAGTCTGGGCTCACTAGCCAAAAGCAAAAAGATTAGGCACATATATGTTAGGATGCAAGTGACTGCATCTAACAGAAATGTAACTATAGTTTCTTCATAAATGGACTTTTCTTATCCTCTTGTAACAAACAGGCAATGGGTCAGGGAGAAGGTATTGAGCAGGAAGAAGATGGAGAAGTAACTTTGGTCCTAGAGAAGGACTTCAACAGGGCCCCCTGCCTGGATGTGTCCAGAAGCCCCAGATGGCTCTGGAGCTGCTTTAAAAAGTAATAAAAAAATTGGATGCCTTCCAGCTTCTTGTTCCACTATCCATAGCATGTGGTACTCATCCTCATGGAGAAAAGATAGTGAAGCCACCTGCAGATGCCTTGCCCACCTTTCAGGCAGGAGGAAGGGGGAGGGAGAGAAAAGGTAAAGGCAGAAGACAGTTGAGTCATCTCTTGTCATGCTGGAGGAGCATGGCTTCCCCAGAACCCCTCCGCAGTCTGCCTACACCCCATTGGCCAAATCTGTGCAACACAGAACCCGTGACTATAAGAGAGTCTGGAGAAGTAAGAACTTTTGCTGGGTACGTTGCTGCCCTGAACAGAATCATGGTTCTCTTAGGGAGAGGATGGGAAGGACATTGAGGAGATGCTGATCGCTGCCTCCCTCTCTGCAGCTTCCTCACCCCAGGTTCCCTCATCTGCTGAGAACAAGAGGGTCCCTGTGGAAAGCACCCTGGACAGAAAGGCCACAGATAAGGGCATCTATGTTCTATGGCCTGATATTAGTTACTCCCTTGGGCTCAAGTTGTGGGGACTCAGGACTCAGGTCTTGCAGGAGGAAGACAGACAGACCTGGGGTTGGCATTCACAGAGGCACCACTGAGCTGGCAGGTAGATATGTCCATTGAGCAGAGTATTTCTGCCCATTCTAGGTTCCCTCTCCTCTTCCCTGGCCTGACAGGTGCGTTAGTAACAACGGAGGGAGATTTCTAATTGATAATATGAGCACTACGACCACCAGGTGGCACCAACACACACTTCTGCTGCTAAGCAGAGGCTGAACCCAGACCCTTCTCAGAGCCTGTCTGAATCCTCAACACTCTCTGGAACCAGGGGAGTGAAAAGCAGTTTTGAATAAATGAAAAGATCCATCTTGTTTTGTTACTATCATATCTTGGTTGCACTCATTCGTTCATTCGTTTATTCATTGATCAGAATCATACATGGTCCCACTATGTTCCAGGAAAGAACAATGGAAAACAGAGAAGGAATATTCCTGCCCGGGAGGAGCTCTCAGTCTAATGGGGAGAGGGATTGTGTGTTGATAACGAAACATTTATTGAGCACCTATTGCATGCTCATGGAAAGCCCTTTAGTGGCTCCTCATTTCCTTCAAGGTAAATTCAAGTCTTCAGCCTCTCTGTCTTCATCTCACCCCACCTCTCTGCACCATCACCCTACACTAGCTGCACATAATCCAAGCACACCCTGTCTCCCTGAGCCTCAGCCTTAGGCTCTTCCCCCTCTTTCATCTCTCTGAACCTGAATAACTTCTGTTTGTCACTCAAGATATCAGACCCTAAAAAATGCCTTTCCTAACCTATCCATCACCACGTTTGCCACATTTATTTAAATGATCTTTCAGGGGACCAGCAAATTTTGAGACAGGAGGCAATAACTGCTTATTCATATTTGTATGCCTGGTGCTTAGACAAGGATCTGGCACATGTAAGCCTTAAGGGGATGGTTGGGTTTATAGAGATGAATGAGACAAGGTCATCTCATAACCTAGCAGAGAAATCATGCACAGAGCCCCATGTGGGGAGATCAGAGAGGGCTCCCCATAGCAGGTGGTGCTAGAGTTGCGTCTTAGGGAAATTCCAGGTCATGAGAACAGTGAAAGTGGCAGCACAGAGGCATGAATCAGTAGCAGAGAGTACAATATCTACAGAAATTTGCAGGGTCCAAGCAGAGGGGCTGTAGAAGAGCATAAAATTCAGAATATGGAGACATCCTGTGCTGAGATAAGGCAGTGGAACTTTTTCCAGAAGGCAAAAGGGAGCCAAGGGTTTTAGATGGGTGGAATGATATAATCATAATTGGGTGTAGATGGTGCATTAGTGAACGATTGTGGTGTAGCGAACTACCCCCAAACTTATAAAGACAACCATGTATTTAACTCGTAAATCTGTGGCCCATCTAGGAAGTTCTGCAGATACTGACCAAGCTCCGCATCTTGATTGGGTTTCCTCATGTGTCTGTAGCTGGCAGGCCAGTTGGAAACTGGCTGGTCTTAGATCGCCTCCCCTGGGATGTTTTCCTTCCATGCAGTGTCTCATTCCCCAGGGAAATCATGTGGGTTCAAGGGAGTGAGTGGACATGAGTAAGGCCTCTTAAGGCCTTGGCTGAGAACTGGCTCAGGCACCGTCACGTCTGCCATACATTATTTTGAAACCACATGTAAAAGCTGATATATAGAGAGGTGAAAACAATTGTGGCCATTCAGATGGCTCACTCTGCCTCTGTAGTGTGGAGAGTAGTGATAGAGAGACCAATTAGGAATCTTACACCAGCCCAGGTGGGAGGCAAAGGGTGGGTTTAAAACAAATATTTTATTTTTTTAAGTTCAAATTTAACTTTTAATTGACATATAGTATTAGGTTCTTTCAAATGTAATTGCAGTTTTTGTACTGTTGAAATGTGCTGTTTGATATTGGAATACATCCTTAAATAAATGTGGTTATGCTATACATGATTTTAATGCACATATTTCGCTTTAATTTTTTTGCTAATGACTTATTACTTGCTGTTTATTTCATATTTATTTTAGGCTATGGAAATAATGTTAGACAAAAAGCAAATTTGAATGATTTTTTTTTAGTTGAAAATGGGTTGTAAAGCAGTGGAGACAACTCACAACATCAACAACACATTTGGCCCAGGAACTGCTAATGAACATACGGTGCAGTGGTGGTTCAAGAAGTTTTGCAAAGGAGACATGAACCTTGAAGACCAGGAGTGTAGTGACCAGCCATCAGAAGTTAACACTGACCAATTGAGAACAATCATCGAAGCTGATCCTCTTACAGCTACGGGAGAAGTTGCTGAAGAACTCAACTTGACCATTCTATGATCGTTCGGCGTTTGATGCAAATTGGAAAGGTGAAAAACCTCAATAAGTGGGTTCTTAATGAGCTGAGCAAAAATTTAAAAAAAGTATTTTTGAAGTGTCATCTTCTCTTATTCTATGCAACAACAATGAACAATTTCTCAACTGGATTGTGACATGTGATGAAAAGTGGATTTTATACGGCAACTGGTGACAACTAGGTCAGTGGTTGGACTTAGAAGAAGCTCCAAAGCACTTCACAAAGCCAAACTTGCACCAAAAAACAAAAGGTCATGGTCACTGTTTGGTGATCTGCTGCCAGTCTGATCCACTACTGTTTTCTGAATCCCAGTGAAACCATTATATCTGAGAAGTATGCTCAGCAAATCGATGAGATGCACTGAAAACTGCAATGCCTGCGACCAGCATTGGTCAACAGAAAGGGTCCAATTCTCCACAACAACCAACTGCACATCGCACAACCAACACTTCAAAAGTTGAATGAATTGGGCTATGAAGTTTTGCCTCATCCGCCATATTTACCTGACCTCTAGCCAATTGTCTACCATTTCTTCAAGGATCTTGACAACTTTTTGCGGAGAAAATGCTTCCACAAACAGCAGGATGCAGAAAATGCTTTCCAAGAGTTCATCGAATCCCGAAGTATGGATTTTTACGCTACAGGAATAAACAAACTTATTTCTCATTGGCAAAAATGTATTAATTGTAATGGTTTTTATTTTGATTAATAAGTGTGTTTGAGCCTAGTTATAATGATTTAAAATTCACAATCCAAAACCACAATTACTTTTGCACCAACCTAATAATTGTACATACTTATGGGGGCACGTAGTGATGTTTCACTACACATAATGTACAGTGATCAGATCAGGGTAATTAGAATAGCTATCATCTCAAACATTTAATATTTCTTTGTGTTGGGAATATTCAGTATTCTCCTAGCTATTTGGAACTGCATAGTACATTATTGTTAACTATAGTCATTCTAAAGTGCTATAGAACATTAGAATGTATTCCTCTTATTTAACTGTAATTTTGTCTCCCTTAACAAATTTCTCACTATCTTTGCCTTTCCCTACCCTTCCCAGCCTCTAGCATCCTCTGTTCTAGTTTTTTCTTTTATGAGATCAACTTTTTAAAGCTTCTCAGGATGAGTGAGACCAAGCTTTGTTTGACTTTGTGTTCCTAAAACAAAGGTTTTAATAAAACAATACAAAAGGTTGGGCAGGCCAAAGCTACCCCAACATTAAAGGCCCCCAAAGAAGTCTGATCTATTTACCCTAAAAGCCAGAAAGGAAAGATTACAATGAGAAACCCGACCAAAAATTGCTTGGGGCTATGATTAGGCAGGTTAATCAACTGACAAAAGGGCCAAGGTCCCTTTGCTAAACACCTTGCTGGAAACCCAAGCTTTGTGCACATGAGTGGGTGAAATGGTCAGGAGTTGGAGAAGAGAAACTCCAGGGCTCCTTGATACCAAAGCCCCTATGTGCTGTGGTGAAGCCCCAGTGTGGGCTATATACAGAATTGTATACAGAATATATAATTGTAAAGGCTGATAGGGTTATGAAAGTTGGAATATTTGAACAGGCTTTATGTAAGAAAGCAGTGTCTCCTTTGCCTGAGTGTTTTGTGGGAATGGATATTGTCTGGCTGGAGAACACTTCCCTTACCTAGTATTATAAAACTGAAATCTGTTGATATAGTCCTAATGGAGACTATAGTTAGGAATAGAAGAGTTGAGGGAATTAAGGTGAACATTTGGATGAAAACTAATATGTTTGGGCAGGCTTTATGTGAAGTGCTTGCATCTCCTTTACATGATTGTATTATGGGACTAGACATTGTATCTGACTGGGGAATGTTTCCCCTACCTAGTACTGTAAAACAGAAGGCATATATATCCAACCTCCAAGCAATATTAATTGAACACACTAAATGAGAACCAGTAAGATTGTCTGAGGGCAGACAGTGTAGACTGGAAGCTGGAGCACTGGTAGGAACAAATTCTCAGCGTGATAGTCCTGGCGGGGCGGGGGCGGGGGGAGGGGACATAAACCGGGACTTATGGCAAAAGCCTGTGAGTGCCTCCCAGTGATGAACACTGGGACTTTGAACTAGAGAATTTCCACCTGAGGGTCAATTATTACCTTGTGATTGGACATTAATTGAAGCTACCTCAGTGACTGAAGGACATAAAACGATCTTAAATCCTGAAATACCCATGATATCTTGGGTGATGTCAGAGAAACACTCTACTGGGGTTAGGGGGAAGGCAGTGTTCAGAGGTATTCCATGAAAATGAGTTCAATGGAAATAGAATTCAGTGGAAATGGTTTATACAGGATCATGCTATCTAGGAGTGCAAGGAGGAGACACTCACAAACAGAGAGTCTCTTTCACCCTAGGACTGATTCCAGAGCTGTGTGAGGAGCTTCTGAATTATATTAGTTGTACAGTGCCCTATAAACCATTCTTAACTGAGCACTAAGAGCTGCTTGTTCTGTGGACAGCAATTCCAAGGTGAACGAACATCCTGTTTGGAAGGCCACCACTTTGTTTGAAGAAAGCAAAAACAAATCAGCTCAATGGGTTGAATTGCATGCTGTTTACCTAGCATGATGGAAGAATTGAACAGTGGGAAAAGCCCCCATGTTGGGGCCAGTGGCCTGGCTACACACTCAGGCAAGAGGGTAATGGAAACCTGGCCTAGTAAAAGGTTGCTCACAGGGGGCACAGTCCTACGGGAATTTGAGGGGTGCATTAAAGTAGGACATGTCAATGCCCTTCAGAAGAATCGCTTTCCAGATTTGAAAGGTAGTTGGAATTGGCAAATAGATGTCCCTGTGTGCTTGCTTAAGGTGGACACCTGGTTCCATGAAATGAACTGACACTGGGGTAGGGCAGCCACGCAGCTGGAATGAATCTAGGCATATTCCTTTTGCATCCTCTGAGGCACAAAATGCCAATAAGAACTGTTCTGTTTGCCAGCAGGAGACAGAGGTTCCAGAGGGCTATGTGGCAGACCCTGGTGGGAAGGCCCTGAACATAGCTGGCAAGTGAGACTGATGGTGGTAGCCCTGGCATGGGGGTGCTAAAAAGGGGTCTTGACCAGAATAGATGCTGTCTCTAGACTGGGTTTTGCTTACCTGGTGGAAGATGCAAATACTCAGAATGCCATAAAAGAAGTGGAATAGAAGATATTGCACCAATTTGGATGGCAGATTCACATTTCTTCAGGCCAAGAAATACGCAATATAGCCTATAATGTCCAACAATGGGCAGAGAGATCTCCTCCTCAGAATAATAGTTTGATAGAAAATTGGAACAGACAACTAAAACATTGGTTGTCTGAAATGGAGGGAGATAAATGCATGAAAGGCTGGCTTGCACATCTTCACAAGTGTATGCTCACACTCAGCAGGAGGAGATGAAGAAGTGCCCCCACTAGATAGACTCCTCTGTTTTCCTGGTGGATCTGGGAAAGAAGAGATGGGGAGAATGCTGGTGTGACTATGCAATTCTTAGTAGGGAAAGAATATGCTGATACTATGACTATTTTTTTATCTTCTTCACACTATATCAACTTTTTTTTTCTTTTTCTTATCTGATGCAGTGGTTATAGAACCAGGGCTGATTCCAACGACAACAAAAATGTGTAAATTCCTAAGGGCCTGATGGGGCAGATTGTGCTCTGATCCCATCTGTAAAAATTGGGGTTCATAGTAAATGCATTTATATTTTACCAGGTGGTAGAAACACCCCACTAGTTCTGCACCTGTGTAACTTTACCCTATCTGAATGGGAGTGGACTAAGTGGGAGGCACTTGCTAGACTAGCATTGCTGCCTGCAATCTGGACCAGCACAGTGGCCAAAACTAATGTACCTTCCGAAAGATGGAAAGTTTAGGCAAAAATGGGGAGAAGGAGGAAGAGTAGCTAAGGGCAAAGGAATGAATAAATGGGTTGTGTGATGACGGAAATCCAATATATATTAACATCTCAAAAGAGGCTCAGAGCAAGTGATGATATTGTCTCTTAGCTCCATTATACAGATGCCTAAAAGGCTAAAGCTGTATGTTTGCAGAGTCCAGTCTTGCTTTTGGAACCCAGCAAGATCTCTCCAACAAGGCTACCAGCCCAAGTGCTCTCTCCCTGGGAGACATTTTCATACAATATAGCGATGAAGTGAGACTAATTATTAATGATGGAATGGGATTCTAGTAATGCACCAGTATTTTTTTGAGTTCTATATTGTATGCTGTAAAGGGTTTCTGGCCAGAGTGACCCAGAGGGATGGGCTGTGACATCATAAGAAACACATATTAGGGCCCTGGCCTCAGCCAGGGACCCCTGCAGTCTGGAACATCCAACAAAAGAAACACAGGCACAGCACCAGTGATAGGAGGGGCTTCCTCCAAGGTCCAGGAGTGTACCTGGTAAGGGGGTTACCTTTCTCCTCCACTGCAATGCAGAGTATGGCTGCAAATGAAAGGAAATACAGAGAAGCCATGCTGCTAAGAGCCTATCTACTGCCCATTACCCTTAAGCCACTCTGTATCTTTTAAGATCTAGTGGATCATAGCCTAAACTATAACATCAAAAATATTTTGATATTATGCCATCCTGTGAAACCAAGGGCAAGAATTTAGCCACAAATAAAGACCCTGAACAGAACCTTGACCTTCTGAAAACACCCAGAAGCCAACTGACAATACTCAACTTACACCACAGTAAAATGAACACAAACCCTCCCAGATGAGAAAGAATCGGTGCAAGAACTCTGGCAACTCAAAAAGCCAGAGTGTCCCCTTACCTCCAAATGAGTCCACTAGATTTCCAGGAATGGCTCTTAACCAGACTGAAATGACAGGCATAGAACTCAGAATGCAGATGGCAAGAAAGCTCATCAAGATTTAGGAGAAAGTTGAAACCTAACCCAAGGAATCCAGTAAAACAATCCAAGACCTGAAAGACAAAATAGCCGTTTTAACAAAGAACCAAACTGAACTTCCAGAGCTAAAAAATTCACTACAATAATTCTATAATATAATTAAAAGTATTATCAACAGAATAGACCAAGATGAGGAAAGAATCTCAGAGCTCAAAGGCCAGTACTTCACATCGACACAGTCAGACGAAAGTTAAAAAAATTTTATTTTCAAGAGAATTAAATCGTTTATTGATTACACGTGATAATGGATGATACACAAGCTTCATTCCCATCTATAATTTTATCTGGTACCATTATTCAATTTAGATATATTGCATAGGATGTGCCAACAATCACTTTTATAACCATTCCATGATTTTGCTTGGGTAATCCCTTTTAATGGTGAACTTCAGGTCACAACAGTAACTATCAGTTCAACTACACCAAGGTTTCCAAAGACAATGGCTTCTCCACCCAAGCAGGTTGTATATAAATTCCAAATAGAACCTGGCATCACCCTGAAGGAATTCTAACTTCACACTGTTGGGGAAATTTACCAAGATGGCTTCAGAGTAGACTAACTTTACACAGCACATTAAAAAAAAAGACATTTATTCAGCATCACGATCAGACTATTACATTTAGCAATCAACAGCATGGGTGCAAAAAAAAAATCTACATTAAAACCCTTTGTTGGAATGCTTTACACTTTCCACAGAACAGAAACTAAAATAACCTGTTATACAATTAGTCACAAATACAGTCCTTGAGTTTTTTGCCCATACACATGAGTATTTGTCTAAAACATGTCTTCTTTGTAGCAGCTAGGCCCTGCCACCACTGTGCTTGGCTGAGTTCACAAATCTGTCGTAACCTGTAGCTTCCCTGTCACTTCTCTGGCTCTCCTCTCCTGCTAAGCTTTGTTTCCTAATTAAAATCTTCAATGAACAAAACTTCCAAGAAGTATGTAAAGAGACCAAATCTGCAATTCATTGGCATTCCTGAGAGAAAAAAAGAGAATAAGCAACCTTGCAAAATATATGTGGGGATATAGTCCATGAAAGTTTCTCTAATCTCACTAGAGAGGTTAACATGCAAATTCGGGAAATACAGAGAACTCGCTAGATGCTATACAACATGACCATCCTCAAGGAACATAGTCATCAGATTCACGAACATCAACCCAAAAGAAAAAATCTTAAAGGCAGCTAGAGAGAAGGGTCAAGTCACATACAGAGAGAACCCCATCAGGCTAGCAGCAGACCTATCAGCAGAAATCTTACACCTCAGAAGATATTGGGGGTCTATTTTTAGTGTCCTTAAAGGAAAGAAATTTCAACCAAGAATTCATATTCCTTCAAACTAAGCTTCATAAGTGAAGTAGAAATAAAATCCTTCTCAGATAAGCAAATGCTGAGGGACATTGTTTCAACTAAACCAGCCTTACAAGAGGTCATTAAGGGAGTGCTAAACATGGAATCAAAAGAGTGATACTTGTTACCACAAAAACACACTAAGAATATAGCCCGCAGGTACTATAAAGCAACTACACAACCAAGTCTACATAACAACAAGCTAGCAACACAGTCACAGGCTCAAAATCTCATATACCTATTCTAACCCTGAATGTAAATGGGCTAAATGCCTCCACTTAAAAGATATAGAGTGGCAAGCCAGATAAAAAGACAAGACCCAACCATCTGCTGTCTTCAAGAGACTCATCTCACATGTAATGACACCCACAGGTTCAAAGTAAAGGGATGGAGAAATATCTACCATGCAAATGGAAAACTAAAAAGAACCAGTCACTATTTTTATGTCAGATAAAATAGATGTTAAACCGATTTCTATTAAGAAGGACAAAGAAGGGTATTACGTTATGCTAAAATGTACACTTCAACAAGAAAAATTAACTATCCTAAATATATACACACCCAACATTGGAGCACCCCAATTCATGAAACAATTCTTCTTGGACTACAAAAAGACTTAGATAACCACACAATAAGAGTGGGAGTCTTCAACATTCCACTGACAGCATTAGACAGATCATTGAGGCAGAAAACAAACGAAGAAACTCTAGACTTAAACTTGACTCTTGGCCAGTTAGACCTAATAGACATCTATAGAACACTCCACCAAACAATGGCAGAACAAATACTCTTCTCACCTGCACACAGAGTTCCGCTGTTGTCGTCCAGGCTGGAGTGCAATGGTGCGATCTTGGCTCACTGCAACCTCCGCTTCCCAGGTTCAAGTGATTCTTCTGCCTCAGCCTCCTGAGTATCTCTGGGATTATGACACCCATCATCACGGCTGGCTAATTTTGTTTTTTTGTTTGTTTGTTTGTTTGTTTGTTGTTGTTGTTGTTTGTATTTTTACTAGAGACCGGGTTTCACCACACTGGCCAGGCTGGTCTCAAACTCCTGACCTCAAAAGATCTGCCTGCCTTGGTCTCCCAAAGTGCTGGGATTACAGGTATGAGCCACCACACCTGACCACACAGAACATATTCTAAGATTAACTACACGCTCAGTCATAAAGCAAGTGTTAAAATTTTTTTTGTAAAGTTGAAATCATACCAAGCACACTCTCGGAACACAGTGCAATAAACATAAAAATATTATCAAGAACATCTCTCAAAACTGCATAAATACATGGAAATTAAACAACTTACTCCTGAATAACTCCTGGGTGAATATCAAATTTAAGGCATAAATCAAAAAATTCTTTGAAATTATTGAAAATAGGGATGCAACTTACCAAAATCTCTGGGATGCAGCTAAAGCAGTGTTAAGAGGAAAGTTTAGAGCATGAAATGCCTTCATCAAGAAGTTAGAAAGATCTCAAATTAACAATGTAAGTTTGCACCTAAAGGAACTAGAAAAAGAGAACAAACCAACCCCAAAGCTAGCAAAAGAAAACTAAAATTAGAGAAGAATTTGACACTGAGTTGCAAAAATCCATACAAATGATCAATAAAACTACAAGTTGGTTATTAGTAAAAATAAACCAGATCAATAGGCCCCTAACTAGATTAACAAAATCAAAGAAGATCCAAATAAGCACAATCAGAAATGACAAAAATGATGTTACACCTGATCCCACAGAAATATAAAAGATCCTCAGATAATATTATGAATAACTCTATGTGCACAAATTAGAAAATCTGGAGAAAATAAATAAATTCCTGGAAATAATCTCCTAAGATTGAATCAGGAAGAGATTGAAATCCTGAAGAGACTAATATGGAACTCTGAAATTGAATCAGTTACAACAACAACAAAAAAACCCTACCAATCAAAAAAAGTCCTGGATCAGATTAATTCACAGCCAAATTCTACCACATGTACAAAGAAGAACTGAGACCAATTCTACTGAAACTATTCCAAGAAAATCCAAGAGGAGGGACTCCTCTCTAACTCATTCTATGAAGCCAGCATCAGCCTAATGCCAAAATCTGGAAGAGTCACAATGAAAAAAAAAAACTTCTGGCTAATATCCCTGATGAACATAGACACAAAAATCCTCAACAAAATACCAGGAAACCAAATGCAGCGGCACATCAAAATGTTAATAAACGATGATCAAGTAGGCTTCATCCCTGAGATGCAATAATTGGTTCAACAAGTACAAATCAATAAATGTGATTCACCACATAAACAGAATTTAAAGCAAAAACAATATGTTCATCTCAATAGACAAAGAAAGAATTTCTTATAAAATCTGACATCCTTTCATGTTAAAAACCCTCAACAGACTCAGCATTAAAGGAGCACATCTCAAAACAATAAAAGCCATCTATGACAAACCCACAGCCAACATCATACTGAATGGGCAAATCTGGAAGCATTCCCCTTGAGATATGGAACAAGACATAAATGCCAACTCTCACCACTCCTATTAAACATAGCCCTGGAAGTCCTAACTAGAGCAATCAGGCAAGAAAAAGAAATAAAAGGCATCTAAACAGGAAAAGAAGAAGTCAAACTATCTTCACTGACAATATAATTCTATACTTAGAGAACCCTAAAGAATCCACCAAAAGGCTACTAGAACTGACAAATTATTTTAGTAAGGTTTCAGGATACAAAGTCAATGTACAAAAATTACTAGCATTTCTATACATCAATAACACTCAGGCTGAGAGTCAAATCAAGAACACAATCCCATTTGCAACAACCACAAATAAATGAAATACCTAGGAATACAGCTGACCAAGGAAGTGAAAGATCTCTGCAAGGAGAACTACAAAACTGCTCAAACAAATCAGAGATGACACAAATAAATGGAAAAACATTCAATGCTCATGGATAGGAAAAATCAATTTCATTAAAATGGCCATGCTTCCTAAAGCAATTTACAGATTCAATGCTATTTCCATCAAACTACCTGCACCAATTCTTCACAGAGTTAGAAAAAACAATTCTAAAATTCATATCCAACCAAAAGAGCCAGAATCATCATAGCAATCCTAAGCAAAAAGAACAAAGCCGGAGGCATCACATTACCCAACTTCAGACTATACTATAAGGCTATAGTAACCAAAATAGCATGGTACTGGTACAAAAATGGACACATAGACCAATGGAACAGAAGAGAAAACTCAGAAATAAAGCCACAAACCTAAAACCATCTGATCTTCGACAAGGTCAACAAAAACAAGCAATGGGGAAAGGACTCCCTATTCAGTAAATGGTGCTGGGATAACTGGCCAGCCATATGCAGAAGAATGAAACAATTGAAACACAGCCATGCCCATTTGGATAGGTATCGTCCATGGCTGTCTTTACTATCACAGCAGTTGCCAAAGAGAACATGGCCTGCAAAGTCCAAAATATTTACTATCTGGCACTTTATAGAAAAAGTTTGCTGATACTCTAATTTGGATCACTGAGTGACCACATGGAAGACAACCACATTGTTGACCTGAACAACAACACTCTACTTCTTTACATAAATGAAAAATAAGCCATTGAAATTCTGGGCCTAATTGCTACCATAGTTTATCCTGGTCTCACTAATAATTCTTCCTCAGCAGTCACAGGGTGATTGACTGATGAATGTACATGGCCCAATCATCAGTTGTTTGAGCCATTGAGGTGGACTAGTTATGCCCATGGGAGTACAGCTCTCTCCTCTACGACCCACCACGAGCCCAAAATTTCCTCCAGATACTCTGACCAGTCAGTCCTAGGACCTGATTGACCCCAGGGAGTCTGACCCCCTAAGTATAACACAGCATCATGGGCAGCATCATGGGCCTGGGAAGGTGTAAACATAATCCAATTTCTGCCCATTGAACTGAATGTTAACAGGAAGACGTTCCCTGAAGCAGAAGGAAATGACCTTGATGACGATGACCCTTGCCAAAGGTAGGTACCCTTGCCTTGTCACCTACCTGGTGGTCATGACGGTGATCAAGGCTGGCCCTGCTTTCATGTAACTAACTGGCCTTCAATGGTTCACTTTTCCCATTGAGTGACTTTTTTCAGTTATACACTTTTGTAAACTAGAAGTGTTTTTACTGGCATTTCTTTATGTACTTTTTTATTTTTACCATCATTTTAATTTAAAAAATGCAGTCACACGTTTTCCATGCATACCTCTAATTTATGGCAGGTTATAGAGGTCTTGCATTTATGGCAATGGTATAAAGTCTCCTTTTTGAGTGAGCATGTTGAAGTAAAAAGAGTGACTTCATTTAAAGAAAACTGCTCATGGAAGTACAGATGATACGCTGATAAGGCAAAAAACCATGATATTAGTATGAGACTAACTGAGGTTCCAGAAACACTGCGTATGCCCAGGCTGCAGTGGAGAATGTCATAGAATCCTGGATTCATAGAGTGTGGAGCCATGGTGAAGGGTGCGTGAGAGGGTCCCTCCCCCAGAGCCACACCCTGTCTTTCCACAAGGAATTCCCAAATGTCACCCAGTGGATTCAGACTTCTGTCTCCCAGTTCAGTGTTCTCCACCACAAAATCTACACCTGATCAATCCCATAGTTCAGAGACAAAGCTGAGTGAGGGGCCCAGAAAGACATGTGTTTGCTGTGCCCAATGCCTGCTCTAACATGTGTTTTCCACATATCTGCTGAGCAAACTGATGGAGGTGGAGAAGCTTGGGAGAGTTCATTTGAAGGCCCCAGATATGCCCACTCTCCCAAGTCCTACCCAACCTCCTATGTAAGCCAGGGGTGGCTTTGGCATGTGTCCATGGGGATGTTCGCCTCAAAGTGATGCAGGAAGGAGTCAAGGCAGTCCCCTGATGGGCTGATCCTTTGCTCTGGAATCCTTAAGATCATTGTAGATCCTTAAGAACATTCCAGAACTCTCACAGCATTCTGGAGTCCATTATTTAACACATGTTTATTGAGCACCTACTGTGGGCCAGGCATGTTCTTGGGTCCTTGGGGTCCATTAGTGAACAAAGCAAAGGTCCCTAGATTCACGGAGCGTGCATTCTAGCAGGGGGAGACAGATAAGAAGAACATGCAAATTACTCCATGGATCATGTGATATGTTAGAACGGGATAAGTGCCTTGGAAACAAAGAAGCAGTTAAGCAGATGAGGGAGATCAGAAGGAAGGATCCCATGAATTCCGCTGTCTTGAATTTTGACATAGTAGGGGAGAGGAGTGGGCCAGGAGGTGTGTGAGTGGCAAGTGTACTGAGGTGTCCAGTCGGCAAGTGCTCAACTCTCAGGTGTGCCCAGCTCCCTAATGCTGAGGAGAAAAATGGCAGGTGTGTCCATTCACCCTGGCCAAGCTGGGAAGAAAAGCCCAAAGGTTCTAATTGGCCTCACCACCTCTCCCCAGGGTACAAAGGACCCTACAGGCATCAGAGAAGACCCCATTCATCTCAGCAGCCAGGCATTTGGAGGGTTTCCAGCAGCCCACCTCTAGCTGCCTTCTTTTCTTTCCTTTTTTAAAAAATAATATTTACTGTTTTTATTTTCTGACTGCAAATGTAATGCATACTTATTACAAAAAAGGTAAAGTATTATGATTTAAATTTTGTTTGTATTCCAGTTTTTCTGCCTGTTGCTATACTTTCTTCCTTTAAAATGGAATGTTAAGTTCAGATAATTTGGATGCTTGCTTTGCTCATTAAGTATATCATGAGCATCATTCTATGCCATTAAATAGCATAGCCTGATATTAGCAGCTGCATCACATTTGGTATTGCACCACAATTAATTTCCCCAAGCTTTTATCTGGGGTCATTAGGTTACATATGAAGTTTTTGATAATATAGAGAGCACTGTGGTGAATATTTTATAGTGAAACCTTTATGCCCATTCATAATTATTTTAGGATAAGTTCCCAGAAATGACATTTCTGAGTCGAAAAGTGTATATCTTTTGTTAAAATTCCTTGCCAAAATATTCCAACTACACTTCTCCCATTGAAGGATGAAAATCTCCATTCATCAGATTTTTTGCTGTGCTTGGGGTTATTAAAATTGTTTTTGGTTATCGGATAGGCAAAATGATAATAATAATAGCAATATTATTTTCCTATTTAGTTTGCATTTAACTGAAGACCAGTGAAGTTGAGTTCTTTTTCCCTTTCTTCACATTGGAATGTTGTTTTTATTATTATTATTATTATAATTATTATTATTGTTATGCCACTTGTACTTGGTGATCTGCAGGAAAACCTCCCAAGATGGAAAGCATGAAATTGTCTTTGCTGGCTCTGATTCTTGACAGCTGTGTCATCCCAGAGCCTGAGTGCCTCAGTTTCCTCATGTACCTAGTGGGGGCCATGAGGCCTGCCTTCTGGTACTTTGAGGTCTGGGACTGTTGCTTATAATATACTTGTGTATAAGCACCACATGGCATGGATCTACCTGGCTATGTAAACTTGGGCAGGTTCTCTAACCTCTCTGGGCTTCAGTTTTCTCATTTGTAAAATGGAAATAATGGAACCTATGTAATCAGAGTAATCTGAGGCTTAAATGAGTTAATACATAAAGGGTACTTGAAACAGTGCCTGGAACACTGGGAGGACGCAATAACTATTACCAATGTTCATCTATGTTGTATCCTTGAGATCTTTCATCAGGGCAACCAACAGCACTTGCCTGGGATAGGCAGATGGTAGAATCTTGGCATGTCAGGGCTGCAAGACTCATGCAGAAATCAATCCTCTCACATAGACCTGGCAGATTGGGACCCAGAATGTGAAAGGAATTCACCCAAGGTCACCCTGTAAATGTGTGGGAGAGACAAAACTAGAGCACAGTTCTGACGTTGTCCCACAAAGATTTTACCCCTAAGATATTGTTGGAAATGTCACCTCCAAGGGAGGATCAGTGTATTGGTGGTCTCCCCTCCTCAATGCTGGGAGTTCCAAAGTTTCCGGGAAGAAAAGAGCTGTGAAGCCCTTCTCACTCTGCTTGGTCTTAGGAGACCTTAGTGAGTCCCAGCGTCCCCACCTGAAGCCCCTGATAGCCTCCTACCCACTACAATGTCGTGAGTCTGTAAATATCAAGTCCATTTTCAGGCTTAAACCTCCCAGTCCAAGGCGCTGCCCTAGAAGACACCTCGCTTAGATCTGGCTGAACTTCAGGGGTTCTTCTTTCCCCCTCCGCAGGTGCACCCAAGATCCCAAGGTAGGGCAGTTTCTCTCAGAACTATTGACCAACCGAAAGGAGAACATTCCTTTCAAGCTTTCTGAAGACTGTCTTTACCTCAATATTTACACTCCTGCTGACTTGACCAAGAAAAACAGGCTGCTGGTAAGTTGTGGGATCCCCTGGTCAAGGCGTGTCAGTGCCAGTACCCCAGATATTCTAGTGTAGATCGGAAGGGGATGAAGGCAGCTTGGGGAGGGAGCTGCACAGGCCAGGATTGTTTCAGGACCCCAGGGCCTCTACAGGAAACACAGGTTTTCCACACGTCAGTTTCCCCTCGTGACATAGGGACTCTGGGGGAGTTTGCTGTGCCTCTTTAATGAACATCTTAATTGTTCCAAGTTCCCTCATGATAATAGAAGGATGAGAATGATTACCTTTAGTTACTAGATTAAAAATCTGATACCCAGATTGGTATCAGAGTGGGTAAGACATGATTTTCAATAATGTTAGCGGTCGAAGGAACTTAGAGAAAAGCCAACACCTCAACTCTTCCTTTTCAGATAGAGAAACCGAGGCCCAGACAGGGAAGGGGAGGTCACCCAGTAGGATAGTTTTGGCTCAAGTCTTCTGATCTTCAAACTAGTGCTTTTGACACAGAGTAGGGCATTGAGATTGTATGTGGCCTTTCTCCAGCACACCAACATCCATCTGGGGTAACTTTCACTGTCCGGGTATGGGTGTTGGGGGCAGAGCCTGGGACAATCCCAGAAGCTCTTCCTTTTGCCTTTGGCCAAATATCTGGGATTTTTTTGTACCTAATTTCCCTCCCTAATTGTGTTGGCAAAGGGTGATGACCCAATGTGTCAGCATTTGCCAAATAAACAAACGGCAGGAGATGGGGCTGGCTGCCAGCTGCAGAGTTGGGAGTGTCTGCTGGCAAAGAAGGCCACCCCAAGGTGAAAGAGGAAGGGGTGTCAGGTCCAGTCAGTCTCCCAGGGGCACCGTAGCATGGTGCCTAGGAGTGGCGGAGCAGGTCTGCGAACATGGGACTAGAAGTTGGCCCTACATGTGCTTCGTGAGACACAGGAAGTGGGAGAAAGGTTTACTCATTAATTCATTCATTCTTCTATTGTGTACTCAGGGCCTCATATACACAGTTAGACCTGGGGCTTCACGGAAAGGAGGAACATGAACGCACTCCACACTGCCCCTGCCTTCAAGGATCTTGCCTTTTGTGGGGTAGAGGCATATCCTCCTTTCAGCATGTTATTGCAGGTCAGCACTCGGGCTCAGTCTTCACACAAAGATGAATGCACACTCAATCCCTCCACAGGAGGCAGGCAGGGATTAGAGGTGTGGGAGAAACAGGAGCTCTGGGAACCTGAAGGCAGGAAAACCTCCAGGAATGGCCACAGGTTCTAGAACTACACGTGCTTAGAACAGCACTTCGTACATAGTTTATGTTATGAGTTCTTTTATATTTCATGAATAATATTATTACAATACTATTATTTTAGCCACTCTCACTTCTTCCCCACTATGTGGACTTTTAAAATGCAAGAACCTTGAGTTAGGAATTGTACCTACTCTCATCCTCGGGTATTAGCAGAGTCCCTGGCACATAGTAAGTTCTCAGACAGTGTTAGTCCATTGATTGAAGGCATCCTGAAGAGGGTGGGTTTTAGGCTGGGCTCTGCAGGGTGGATAGGATTTGGGGATGCAGAGGCATAAAGGAGGCATTTGAGGAAGAGACACCATCACAGGCATGTGTGCTTCTCGAGACAATCATTCATGCACAGAGAAGTTTACTTCACCATGAAAGAGTTAACTGAGATGAAGCTGAGATACAAGGGCTGCCCCATGGGTACGCGGAGTGCTTGAACAGTCCAGGCTTGAGGGTGATGGGAGTGAGGTGGAGAACATGAATCCTTAGCGTTTGCTATGCCCATGATGATGTTCTCAGCGTGAAGAGCCTTGCGAGGAGGAGGCACTGGAGACTGGGTAGAAAGGAAGGGGCAGCCAGGGTATGTGCAGTGGGGTGGTGGCTTGGGCCCCAGTTGGGAGAATTATGGAGGAGAGAGACTGCCTTTTGCAACCTTGCTGGGCACTTGTGAAATTTGGGTAACAACCTCCCTCAGTTGTGACCAACAGGCAGGTCACCAAACAAGATGCCCTCTGAGTGCTCCCTGGCCTTGTGTCCTGTAACGAGTATGTTGCTTCCCCCCTGCCCAGGTGATGGTGTGGATCCACAGAGGGGGGCTGATGGTGGGCACCGCATCAACCTCTGATGGGCGGGTACTCGCAGCCCATGAAAACGTGGTGGTGGTGACCATTCAGCACTGCCTGGGCATCTGGGGATTCTTCAGGTAAGAAATTAGACTCTCCTCACTGCACCTTTGGCCCCCAACATGAGGCTGCTAGGACCAGCTCTGGTCATGTCAGCCCTCAGGAGACCTTAACTGGGTTCCTCATTGTAGCAGACAAGCACCTTCATAATTGGACACTACCTACCCTCTCACTCCCCAGCCACACTAGTCCACTAGCCTCTGAGCTTTTGTATGTGGTGTTCCCTCTGCCTGGAATGCTTAGTCTACCTAAAGAATTCCTCTTCATCCTGCAAGACCCAGCCCCCAGTTAGCTCCACTGAAAGACTCATCTCCTTTTCATCTGTGCTGCTCCCACACATTGCATTTCTCTGTCATGGCAGCTAGCATGCAGCCCAGCTGTTGAAGGTTGACACATCTGACTTCTCATGGAAAGGAGGGAAGGGGCAGAGTCATACAGGGAGTTCAGGGCATATTGTGGGTGAAGGAATGGGCGCTGCAGAAGGTGGGGTGTGGGAGCATCTGACCCCTTCCTGGAGGAGTGTTGGGACCCACTCACCCCATTTTCTGCTTGAAATCTGGCAAGTGTGGGAAGCAAAGATGGAGTCCTCCTCATCAGGTCTCCATGGGGACAGAAGTCCCCATGGCGTGGAGGAATTTGGTAGCTTTGAGAGCTTGTTTGGGGAAAGCATTCAAACTTAAAGGGCTGGTACATTGGAGGAGAGAAAATGGGGATGCCAAGAATTTTTAGAATTTTTGAGAATGTTTTTAGAATTCATTGGTTATAAGCAACAGTTTCCCAGTGACCAGATTTAAGTCAAGACGGACGATTGGCTAGGTGTGGTGGCTCATGCCTGTAATTTCTGAGAGTGATGTGGCCCTCACTCCTGCTCTGGTGGAGAAGGGTGACGTCAAGCCCCTGGCTGAGGTAGGTCTCCCGCTGGATGCCCCCAACCCCTTGGCTCTGTGCTTCTGAATTCTCAGAGGTTATTCTTGCCATGGGTTCTAGCTGATGTTCTCCTAGAATCACTGAAGCGATTGGGAGGTAGAGGCGGAAGCCTTGCTTGAGCCCAGGAGTTAGAGACCAGCCAGGGCAACAAAGTGAGATCCTGTCTCTACAAAAAGCAAAAAATTAAGCTGGGCATGGTGGTGCAAGACTGTGGGCCCATCTACATGGGAGGCTGAAGTGGGAGGATCACCTGAGCCCAGGAGGTCTATGCTGCAGTGAGCTGTGTTTGCACCACTGCACTCCAGCTTGGGAACAAAGCAAGACCTTGTCCCAAAATCTTCTCTTTAAAAGGAGAATTTATTTTTCAAGGAAATAGAGATCTGGGAGGATGGGCTTTGTGCAAAAACAGGAAGCAGAAATTACAAAATGATGGGAATCCTAGACTCTGTTACTCTTGTTCTCTCTCTGTCTCTTTCTCTCTGTCTGTCTGTCTTTCTCTCTCTCTCTCACCCTCTACTTCTCCCTGTCCCTGTTTATTTATTTGAGAAACACTCTGGGCATTGATTCTGTCCGAGATCCTGCACGGGGCTCTGGGGGCATGTGCGCTTGCCCTGACTCCCCGACTGTGGAGCCTGCCTGCTCTCCCTCTGTGCCCTTCTTTCTGGCTGCACTTTGCTTCCAATCTGCATGAGCACCCTATCTGCCCCTGAGCTTAAGGACTCTCCTTGGTTCCAGAAAGTAGTCAGGCTGTCTTTCCTGTTGTGAAAAATGAGTGTTTTTTACATTAGCAGCTCTCCACCCCAATTCCAGGTCACTTAAGAGAGAGGCTCACTGTCCCGTCTTTGCTTCGATGTCCCTGAACTCTTAGAAAAGTAGGAAACCAGAGTATGCTGGGCAAACTGACCCCAATGCCTAGGTCAGGCAGAAGGGACCCTGTCCCTCGGGAGGGCTTTTTAAATTTTTATATTTTTTACATTTTTTTAAAGATGAAAAGAGGTTCTTGGTGTATTAATTATTGTTACTTTGTGGCTTGACTCAGGACAAAGGTGCAGAGACCATCGCCCATGGCCAAATCTGGATCTATGCCTGCATGGCCCTTGAGCTAAGGATGACTTTTTTTAATCATATGAAATTCAAATTTCATTGTCCATAAAGGAAGTTTTCCTCGAACACAGTGACACCCATTCATTTACCTTGTGTCTCTGGCTGTGTTTCATGCCAACAGCAGTCTTGAAGTTGCAGCAGAGACCACATGGCCCACAAAGCCTCAAATATTTACTATTTGGTCTTTGATGGGCACATTGCTGACCTGTGGCCTAAAGAGTCATGTTTGATTACTGCTTGGGACTCTAGTACACAAATGTGCAGGTGGAAACTCCTGGCTGTGCCACAGATGCCTCACTCAGCTGAGAAACCCCATCTATGTCTTGCAAGGGACGAGACCCTGTTTTTCTTTAGAACTCACCATTAAAGCACATTTGCTACTTTCTGAAGTGGTCCTGTGTGAATCATCTTATCTAGGCCTCCTGCAATTCTGCACATCTTTATTGTGTGGAAGACATGGCACTCTCCCACATGTATTAACTCATGAGGTAGGTGCAGTCATTATTACCATCCATGAGTGGAGAAACCAAGGCCCAAACAAATCAGGTGGACTGCCTGTGGCCTAATGGCTGGTAAGTGGAGCAGCCAGGATTTGGAAGCAGACAAGTAAATTCAAGATTCCATCATCTCAACCCCAGCTCCACCTCACCTTTCTTGACACATTCAGCTTGAGATGATTATGTCCATTTCAATAGAGATAAGGTAGCAGAGATAAGAGACTGGGTAATTGGCTCATACTACAATTGTGATTAGTAATAGAGGCAATGCTCTGCGGAATCCAGAACCCACACATGTGGGTCTAGAGTTTCTTCTGCTGCCCCCTGCCACTTGTACAAGTCAGGCTTAGTTAGGATAGAACATCTTTTTCCATATTGATGGAGGGAAGGGACTTCGCTCTTGAACTCTGTTGTTGCTTGTGATCTTTGCAGCAAATTGCTAACACTGTTGGGTGTGAAACCACCAACTCAGCTGTCATGGCTCACTGTCTGCGGCAGAAGATGGAAGAGGAGCTCTTGGAGACGACATTGAAAATGGTAGGTTGCCTGTTCCCATAGCCCAAACCCAGACTTCTTCATTTCAGCTGTCCTCTTGCCCTGGGACAGTTACCTGGGGCAATTTCTCAAGTCTCAGGAGTCTCAGTATCTGAATGGGGAATCTAATTTGTCCTTTTTTTTATTGAAAAATGACACAAATGTAAAAACAAAGTCCAAAAATAACATGATAAAAAAACTGACCAAATTTACTATTTGACCAAATTTTAATATTTTGCCATTCTTGTTTTCAGATGTATTTTTGAGAAACTAAACATTACATATTCCCAGGGGACACCATCATTCTGAATTTTGGGGATGGAGTTATTAAGCTCAAAGATTTTCAGAAAGATGTCACAAGTTATCTTGGTTGACTTAGAAACTGTCTGTATTAGACCTGGTAGTGGTCCAGTTTTCTAGATTTTCTGAGACTCTGACTCAGTTGTCATTCTAGGATAGTCGTTCGTCCACTCAATCATTAATCCATCTACTATGATCTTCTTATGCATCTATGTGTTCACTAATTCATCCCATTCATTGATATATTTTTATCAATCTAATATCAACCTGTTCATAACTTTTTATTTTTCTATTTTCAATCTATCCACTGTTCATGCATCATCCAGCCACCATATATCTTAACTCTGTCACCCCATTCCTCCAAAACCAACAATCCAATTATCACCTATCTGTTAGTTTTCACCCACTATTCATGTATCCATCCAATTCAACTGTACTCCAGCTATTGGTGAAGCCATCCATCCCTCCATTTATCCACCCATCCATCCATGCTAAGTATGTAGGGGTGGGTGTTAGAGGTAGTGAAACAGACATGAAGTGGACATAGTCCCTGCTCACATATACTTTTCAGGTTGAGTATGGTGGCAGCACAGAGGGGAAGCATTCATTGTAGTCATCAGGGGTGCTTCACAGAGAAGGTGGACGAGCCGAATTTGAGACCAGACAGCGGAATTCGGGAATTCATGCCCTTAACCCTGACTCCACCTTATCTTTCTTGAGAAATTCAGCATTGAGATCATTGTGCCCATTTTAATAGAGGTAACAGAGACAGAGAAATTTTGTAATTGGCTCATGTCACAGTTCCAGTTAGTCAGAGGCAACACAGTTCCAGTTAGGACCCAGAACCCACACCTGTGGGTCTAGAATATCTTCTGCCATTCCTGCTGTCCTCACATATTAGGAGTTGGGGACCTTTATGATTGACGGACAGCTGTGGCAGTCTCTCAACACAGGGAAGCCCAGCAGGACAAACACCCAGATGACACAGCACCCAGGGCCATTGGGAACTATTCCCTTTGAGGGAGAAGGGTGTGAATTCCAAGCTCATGAGTAGCCTGATCTCTGGAATCCCTCCTTGGACCTGAGGCTACTCCTGGGTCCCAGGTCCGGCTGCTACCACTGGACTCTGCTTGTGTTTACATGGGTTGAGTCCAATGTGGTCTTGGAGCTTAGGTCTTGGTTCAAGCTCTAAATGACCAAAGTGTTCAAGGAATTAAAACACAACTGCTTTCTAATGCCTGGAAGGAGGCAAACATTCCAGCAATTCTGCATGTGGCATCAGAGGACCCAGCTTAAAAGGAAAAACTTGGTAACTTTGGGAAAATCCAGCCCTAAGATCCTGGGACATCCTTCTGAGATTTTCTGAGATCTTGTGGGAGCGCCTCCATGATTACCCACTGCCTCCAGTACACACACATGCAGACACACAGAGAAACACACACACATAGACACACACACACAGAGAAACACACACACAGACACACAGAGACACACACAAACACACACACAGACACACACACAGAGAAACACACAGACACAGACAGAGACACACACAAACACACACACAAACACACACACAAACACACACACACACACACAGACACTCCTGGCTAGTGGGACTACAATCCTTAATGGAGAGACCTGCACTGGTTACTTCCTGCGAACAGGCCAGACACGTGAGCTACAGTGCAGCGATACAATCACTGCAATCTTCATGAACACACACCAAAGAGAAGCATGGGGTAGGGTAAGTTTCAGTGAGTTGTATGAGTCAGAGCTGTGTAATGGGAGATGAGAAAACTCCCCCAAGGTGCCTTGAATGGAAAAAGGAATGTGTTGGAATAACATCCTTGTGTTAACTGAAAAACTCAGGAGTTGACAGTTTCAGGCATGGCTGGATCCAGATGCCTATTGAATGTTATTGAGAATCTACCATTCTCTATCCTTCAGCTTTGGACAACTCTGTGTTGACTTCACTCTTCAGCAGATACATCTTCTGGGAAGGTTAAAGACAACAGCACTCTAGAGTTATATCCTATCTGCTTCGAAACCCTCTGTCCAAACAATTCCTACAAAAGTTCTGGGGTAAACTCTATTGGATTGACATGGATGTATACCTATCCCTGAACTAATACCCGCAATCAGGGAAATGGAGCGCCCCAGGTCACATATAGATGCCTGAATTCATGGAGTGATAGGGAAAGAAAGAGATCCCTGAAAAAGAATGGGGGTATTCTTCCCTGGGGAACAGGAAGGGGAGAGGGATGGGGGACAGGGAAGGCTCCAAAAGCAGGTGTCCTATCCAGAGCTGTAGCAATGCTGGCTCAGAGTTCCTGGCCCATCCTTCCCGTGCCAGTGCCCACTCTTTCGTTCTATGCCTTCACCCTGTGCTCAGGCCCAGCAGAGCCAGAGTCCGGCCCACTTCCTCTGGGCCCAGCCAGCTCGGCACCAGGAGGGAGAACCTGACACCTCTGCTGCCCCACTCACCCAGCTCAGTGTTCTCCTGGGAAGCCTCTTACCCACATCCTCTGCTTTTGTCTTCACAGAATTTCTGAACTCTAGACTTACATGGAGACCCCAGAGAGGTAAGGACATTTTGTTTCTCGATTGCGGGTTTTGAGTCTTAGCACCTTTAAGCTCCAATTAACTATAAGTGAAAGAATCCTCTCTCGGGTAATTATAGGAACTCCTGTGTGCTTGATGCTGAGGCCCAGAGAGGGGCAGTCACTCACCTGGGTAACACAGCCAGGAAGACTAGTGGCTGGCCTGGAACCCATTTTCCTGACTCCCAGTCCAGTGCTCCCAGGCATCACCTCTGTATGCCCTGGGCTCTGCCCACTCCCCTGCTTTTTTACATTTTCTGCTCCCCAAAATGGCACTATGGGAGGAGGTTGAACCAGAACATTCCACTATCGGGAGGCAGAGATAACAGGGATGATTAGCCACGGAGAGGGGAAGCCTGAATCTCAGTCCAAGGACACTCAACTCCTCCCAGCACACAGGAGTCTCCAACAATATCCTCCTGATCTCCTCACCACCCCCACCTCCCAATGGGTTGACAGTTTCTGGTGACATCACCTCTGACGAATCTTACAATCCTGTCCTCTCTGCTGCCTTCCTGGAGGTCACAGCACTCTCCTAAATGGTCATGGGCGGAGTACATGAGATTCATCCAGCAAAGACTTAATAAACACTTCCTATATGCCAGGACTTGTTTAGGAGCTGGTGATATAGGAGTAAAACAAGAAAGACTCCCTGCCCTCTTGGGACCTTCCATTACAGTGTAGGGAGAGTGCAATAAAAAAGCAAATCTAGTATGTATTCTGTTGGATGGTGTGCAGCATTAGGGGTAGAGTTTGCAGGTGGTTTCAATTTAAGTAGCAGGATCAGGGAATGGCTCAATAAGAAGGTGGCATTTGAGCCAAGCTCTGGAGGAGGCAGGAAGCCAGCTGTCAGGAAACCTGGGGAAGCCTATTCCAGGCAGAGGGAACAGCCACTGCAAAGACCCCGATGGAAGTGGCAGGTCCAGCTGGAGAGGATGGAGTGTGGGGACAGACTGGCTTGAGGCTGAAGAGGTAATGGGAAGTGGGAGAGGGATCATTTAAAGTAGTTGCATTTGGATTCTGAGCAAGATGGGAAGCCTTTGGAGGTTTTGAACAGAGGAGTCACATGATCTTAGATTTCACAAAGGTCTCTGCCCCTGGTGATCAAATAGACTGTAGGAAACGGGCAGAGTGGATGCAGCTGACCAGCTGGCGGGCCACTGCATTGCCATAATCCAGGCAATGGCTCCTGGCTGCTTAAGGCTGTAGTAGTGGGGATGGGAGGAATGGTTGGAGTCTGGATATCTTTGAAGGAATAGCTGAGAGGATTCGCTGATGGACAGGATGCTAGGGGTAAGAAAGGGAGAGGAGTGGAGGATGTCCTGAGTTTTCGGGCAGAAGCAAAGTCATACCCACACAGGGCAGCCACTTGAAAACTCTAAGTGGACAACAATCACTTGTCATTGTTGCTGATGGCAGTCTTCCCACTTGGCTGCCACCCAACCAGGGCAATCCTGTCTCTCTCCTCAACTTTTATCCTTTTCTACTTCATATCCTCTACCCAATTCCGTGTCTCATGGTGCAGCCAGATTGGCCTTCCTTAACAGAGTTAGAGTGCGTCACCCCCACTTCTTAAAAGCCTGACCTTCCTTATGAGACAAATTCCCTTCCCTCCATGGAGTTAGTCCTTCAAAACACACCTGCGTGCGCACTATGTGCCAGACTATACAGAAGGTAGGCTCTGCACCTGTCCCTCCCTCTAAAACCTGCCCCACGATAATTTTCCAAGCCCAGAACTCCTGAGTGTTTCTGGAATTTACCCTGCATAGTGATATCTATGTCCCTTTGCTCACGTGGTTCCCGTTTTTTAGAAATTCTCACTCCTTTCCTCACTTGTCAATACCAGTCACTGCCCAGAGCCCACTGCAGGCAGGCGGCACCTCCTCCACGTAGCCTGCCCTGCATCTTCCTTGCAGAGAAGCTGCTCCTCTTGCTGGCCTCCCACGGCAGCCCTGCCTGAACTGCACAGCCTCTCAAGGAGGCCGGACTTGCACCCCAATCCTGTTCCGTATTGTCAGCCATATTGGATTAGGATCTGCACCTTGTCCAGCTGGTTCTGGTCCACTTCACAGAACATTTCCCCCAGGCAGCCCGAACTAGCTCGTCATTCATTGGCTTTTGTAGAGCAGAACAAAGGTCCTGGAAGCCATAGGGTCTCAAAAAAGCTAGGAATTGTCCAGTTGCATCTGATATCTGGGAGGGAAATACAGCCCATAGGGCATGGAGCTGGGAAGATGGCACAGAGGACTGGGGTCTATGAGAGGGACCCACAGCAACCCTGCTAACAAGTAATACCTAACAGTTATTCAGCCCTTCCAGACACCAGGTGCTGCGCTAAGTATTTTGCATGTGTTCAGCCATTTAATTCCTCACAATAACTCACCTCTTAGATGAGAAAACTGAGGCCCAAACAGGTGAAACTCCCAGCCAGTAAGTAGCAGAGCCAGGCTTCAGATCCAGTTAATCTGGTTTCAAAGTCCATACTCTGTTTTAACTGTACCCAGAACCAGCTGCCCTGATGGCAATGCGTGAATCAGGCTCTCGCTAATCTGTGACCATACAAAAATTATTCATCAAAGGTAAAACCTAAAATTAGGACATGGATCAATATACTGTGAGTTCATCACTGATTCTTTTATTCATGATTTTCTCTCTAATAGGGAATCACGTCCTAGTCTAGGCTCCTTGAGTGATGAGGGTTCCGTACCTCCTCAAAGCCACCCATGGATCAATAACAGCTCTCATTTAAATAGAGATAGATAGCACAATCTCTCCTCATTAATCATGGATTCTGCGTTTATAAATTCACCTGCTTCCTAAAATGTCCTTATAACCCCCAAATCGATACTGGTGGCACTTTCATGGTCACACACAGGCAGGTACAGAGTAGGGGAATCTGGATTTGCATGATGGGCACGTTCCATCTGAGATCCGGCAAGGCAACCTCTGTCTTCTTGTTTCATCTCTCAAGCTAACAAGTGTCCTCTTCGTGGTCAATTTAGTGCCATGTGTTCTGCATTTTTGTGCTTTTTCTGGTGATGTCACTGTTCAGAGTTGCCCGCAAGAGTAGCGCTGCTGTCTAGTGTTCCTGAGCTAAGCAGGCTGTGCTGTGCCTTACCGGGAAGGCGCCTGTGTGAGATAAGCTTGGGCAGTGCTGCTGGCCATGCGTTCGTTGTTGAAAAATCCACAAAACTGCACATACAGGAAAAGGAGGAGGAAATTGGCCAGTTCATACATGAGGCTGTGATGGGAAGTGCTAAAGTAACACCTACTGTGTGTGATGCAGCTGTGGAAAGATGGAAAAGAAACTGCATTGGGAGATTCATGAGATGATGAAGGAATTTTTAAAAAGCAGGATGGACAGCACTGTTGTGAGGTTGAAAACAGGAAATTTACACTCATCTTACCCAGGGTCAAAAAATGGGAAGGGCTTTTCAGCTGGTGTTTTATTAAAAGTAATCCTACTTATAATTAACTCTTTGTAAGACTTATGTATTATATAAAGTGTCTTTCAACAGAAACCCACACATAAAAGAAGGTTGATGAAAATGTTGTGGCCAGAGGTTTGCAAGAACCTAACCCAGTATTTCCCCTTTGAGTGATGACCCTGTATTCTCTAATTCAGCACTCGTGGGAGCTTTGTCGGAAGCAACTGCTGGGACTACCGAAAACAACTGTGGACACAGAGAGGGAAATGCATGTACTTCAAATTGAAGTATATAGACATGTAATTTTATATAGATAATACATGTATTTCAGTCTGAGTGAAGATTTCTTCCTCTCCTCGTCACCTGACCAGTGTCAGCCTCTGCCTGAAGTTCTGCCCCTGAGTCACACATCTATCCTCCTTAGTTAGGACCCTGTGTGTGCATACCCATGGCCCAAAGTCACGCCGGTCTAGGGTGCTGGTCTCACCCTCAGACAGGCAGAGTTGGGGACACGGTTGTGACCTAGGGTGGGAATCACAGGCGCTGTGTTGCTCTCTCCCCCAGAGTTACCCCCACACACCCACGGTGATTGATGGAGTGGTGCTGCCAAAAACACCCGAGGAGCTTCAAGCTGAAAGGAAGTTCCACACTGTCCCCTACATTGTCGGATTTAACAGGAAGGAATTTGGCTGGTTTCTTCCAACAGTGAGAAGGCGCAGGCCTCTTGGAGGGACTCACCCACCCCCATCAGCCCTCCCACCTCTGATCCCAGGAGTGCTTCCCTCTCCAAGCACTGCTCTGAGTCCTGGGCAGCTGTTCCCTTCAGCAGGAGTTAACATTTCCATGGAAACCTTCTCCAGGAGGGCACAGTTGTCACCGGGATATCAGGGCCCTGGGATCCCCTCTCCCCAGACTCTCTGATTGTCTTCCTATTGAAGAATCCTGAAGTGTCTGTGCTGGGAGGACCAGTAGATAAAATAACTGTGCAGATGGGAAAACTGAGGGGGCCTAGGAGGGGAAAGGAGTTGAGGAGCCCGGAGAGGCAGTCGGGGGCTTCCTGGCTTCCCACTTTGGGCTGGGTATGCATAGTTCCCCCATAAATCACTCATGCTCTTCATCACCTCATTGAAAAGATCCAAAAAAGTGGCTTCTTTTGATTTCCCATTGACTTCTAGGGAACAGTAGACACCAGGGTCTACTTGAGGGATGACGGTCAGAGGAGGGTGAGGATGGACAAGTTACCTAATCGGGTGCTGTGCTCAATACCTGGTGACAAAATAATCCATACAGCAAACTCCAGAGACACAATTTACCCATGTAACAAACCTGCACCTGTACCCCCAACCCTAAAATAAAAATTGGGAATAAAAAGTGGAAGAAAGAAAGATTGACTTCTAAAATTGAAAAAGCGTTCTCCTTCCAGTCGAGGACACACAAAGCTGACCATGATTAAAGCAGTAGGACAGAATTTATTCAGTAACACAACTGCACAGAGGAAAGAAGAGTCCAGTATGGATTGGACTCAAATCCCCAAAACTAACTCCTGGCACTGTTTTAAAGGCTGAGTGTGCAAAAGGATAGGCACTGTGTGCTGTGGAGAGGGACTTGGTCCATGTGACTAGACCGCCTGGATGTCTTCATCCTGGCTCACCTGGGGCAGAAACAAACTCCTCTTATCGTCAGGACAGGAAGCCATGCATTAGACTGCAGGAAGAACCCACTGAAGTCAGGCTCTACTCTTTCCACAGGGACTGGGAAGATCAGGAGTCAGCTCCCTGAATGTTTGCATTGCAAAGAGAAGGCTCTAAGGCCCTCAAGGAAATGGGGTTGGGTGGTAAATTCCATCCCAAAGGGCAGAGAAAGTGTTCATCATTGCAGGCTTCTAAACTAACTGCTCTAGTTGGGTTCAGGGGCCTGTCTGCTTCTCTCCAGGTTTTGGCTGGAGCAGAGTAAATTGTTCTGGCAGAGTTGAGCGTTCCCAGGCAAGCATGTTAAGGATACTGGAGTCATTCTAGGGACACAGCCTTAAGCTGCTAGAAGCGATGCTAGAGTTTGGTCGAGTCTCTGAGTGCAGAGGTTTGGGCAGAGTTGTTTTGTGTGAAGAGATATGAAGTTTGCCCCTCAGAAGGATTTCAGAGGTTATACCAAAGACCAAAGCCATGAAGGCAGGCTCTAAGGCTTTCAGTGTCATCTGTGACAGGTGGGGGTACTAGGGAGGTCTGCATCCTCTTCCCCAGAACCCTCTATTCCACACTGGCTTGGCAGACACCTTCCCTCGCCATGTCACTGGCCACTGTAGGTATCCCAGCCTGACACACACACAAAACACACACACACACACACACACACACTGCAAAACACTGCCACAGCTTCTCCACATTTTTTTTTTTTTTTGTAATCTTTGCAATGCTTGAGTTTCTGGATATAAGCCCATTTGATTCATTGATTTTGCCCATTTCAGTAAAAACCCATGCCTTTAAAAGCCCAAAATATTGGAGGACTTTCAGTCTGCATTGATTTGGTTGGTTCGTCAGTTTGTTTCTTCTCGTTAATTCCCAATGATTCATAAATGCTTAACTTTTTTTTTTTTTTTAACAGTTGATGAGCTATCTACTCTCCGAAGGGAAACTGGACCAGAAGACAGCCATGTCACTCTTCTGGAAGTCCTATCCCTTTGTTGTAAGAGTCTAGGAATCACGGGAATTGGCTAGGACCCACAGAGCGACAAGGATTGCCCAAATTATAGAGCAATTAAATGGCCGAATGAAGACTGGGGCCTCAGGGTTTCTCCCATCTTTCCACCTTTCCCACTTCACTTTCCACCCTAGCGGGGAGTTGCACAGGGCTTGTGGGATTCACCATTGAGGCAGCCCTTCCTGGTGGGCTGGAGAAGCTACATCGCTCACCAGGGGGTGGTTGTCACTTTATTGATCTATTTTAGCGCATTCCTAAGGAATTGATTCCAGAAGCCATTGAGAAGTACTTAGGAGGAACAGATGACCCTGTCAAGAAGAAAGACCTGTTCCTGGACTTAATGGGGGACGTACTGTTCGGTGTCCCATCTGTGACTGTGGCCCGGAACCACAGAGGTGAGTCCTAGAGGTCGAACAGGGGAGGGATATGGACCCCACCAGCTTCTGTATCTGACTCACCTACCTCCCAGCATAGACAGATGTGGAAACAGCCGAGGGTCAGGCCTCAAAGGCTGATTCCATATGGCATGGGATGAGGTGCTGTCTTATTTTGGTTTATGCCAGTAGCAGCCTGTGAAAAAAAAAACCAGAGGCAAGCGGTTTTTTTAAGGTGGTGATCCCAGATATCAGCAGTAGGGCGGTGGGGAAGTGAGAGAGGAAAGAGATGGAATCCAATCCAAGGTGCCTTGACAAGGGAGTATCCTCTGTGGACAACTGGAGCTGGGAAACTCAAGGAAACACTGAGAATACAGCACTCAGGGGCATCCCATCTGAGCACCAAGGGAGCTGGGGTATTTACCCACCAGCTCCCACTTGTCATTGTTTGAAGGCTCTTGCAAGGAGTTGTTTATTCCCTGTGACTTTGACCTGCTGCACACAAGGGCAGAGTAGTCTCTTGTGACCAGACAAAGGCCTCAGGCCGGGAGCTGCAGATGCTGGAGGTAGAAGTCAGGCTGGCATGCCCAGGAAGAGGGGATATGGGTGAGACACTGACAGCATCTGCTGCAAGGGCTCCATGCCTGGAGTTATCGTGGGACATAGGGCTGCTGTAGGACAAATATTGAAAGATGAGTCTTGGAAGGTTTTTAAGGTCCAAGTTGGCTGCAAACAAGCTTGTTAAGCATTGGAGCTGGAAGAACAATGGGAGTCCTGCACAGGATCCAGAGGATTGTCCAGGACCAAGAAGGCCAAAAGTAAGAGCTATGGTGGGTGTGGGGGAGGTGGTCGGAAGAATGGCAATGTCTGAGGCTGGCTTTTGTCTATCTCGGTGTGTGCAGGAACATGCAAGCACAGTGCCAGGACAGGGTCTATGCAGGACCTTCTACCACTGACCCAAGGCTGTGTGGGTGGGGCATGAGGTTAGGGATGCGTGGGCTCACCTCTAGAGAAGTGTCTTCTCCTGGGTGCCAACTAGAGGAGGCTCACAGGACTCCTCTTTTTCTTCCAGCTCTCATTCGCCTAGTCTGCAAGCCAGGAAATGTCCTCTCTCTAACCATGCTGGAAGGGTTTTTAAATTTGGAACTTCATAAGCTAAAGCTAAAGCTATAGCTAAAGCTGATGTCGCAGGTGCCCAGACACACCTTTGCACAGGAAGGGGCAGGTGCTCATAACTCTCACTTCTTCACAAAGTCCTGATAAAACCCTATAACCAGGACCACTGGAGTTGAATCATTTCTGTCTTAAACTTGGCTTTGCCCCATGTTCTGCATCTGATCTATATATAGTGTTCCCATCTCCATCTTCCAATGGTTTGAGCAATACTGAACCTCTGTTTTTCATCTGATTTCCCATAACTTTGAGTTCAGAGTTTTTTGTTGTTGTTGTTGTTGTTGTTTGCCAGGACTACACCGATCTTATCAACTTTCACTTATTGTTGTGTCTCACTCTTTTTGATAAAAACAACATTTCTGAACATAAAGTTAATATGTTAAAGTTAATATGAAGAAAGTTTCAAAAATATGGAAACACGTAAAGAAGAAACTACATATCACTCCTAATTCCCCCACCTGGAGGCAAGTGGTATAAATTTTTTTGTACTTTCTTCTAAAGATTTTTCATGTCCTATATACTTTAAAAATCAATTTTATATTTCGCTTTTGTTCATAGAACACTATGTTGTGAGGATTTTCTCAATATTCATATAAACTCATCAAAACATTCCTTATTCCATGAAATGGCTGTGTTAAATAGACTTTAATATTCCTATCCTATTAGATGTTTAGCCTGGCTGCTCACATTCTGATACTACAATAACACTGAGTTCAGCCTAATGTTTATAAGTCTCTAACCACATGTCTAATAATTTTCTTGGGATTCTTTTTAGAAGTGAATAACTAGGCTGGACCAAAGAAATATTTTTGAACTCTTGGCAAATAATGCAAATTTGCATTCCCGTGCATAAGAACGTGGATTTCTTAATTTACTTTCTCATTTGGGATACCAAGGTTAAAAGTTAATGCTGCCAATTTGCCCCACCAAAAAGAAGCACATCACCCTGTATTCTTTTGCATGTCTTTCATGACATGTCTTTCATTGTCTCTGCTTCTCTTCTTGTGCCTATTTGTCATTGCCCAAAACTGTGCCCTACTTTCCTCTGAAGACTTGTGTTGTGACTGTAGGAATTCTATGAATATCAATCACTTTAGCCAAAAAGGTTTGACAAAGTACATTTTGGGCAGCATGCTGCCTATAATAATTTCTATCATTCACAAAAGCTCTTTCCTCTATAGTTGGCTCTGAGTTCCTTTGGAAAATGTTTGAATGGCAAAGGCAAGGTCAAACCCCCCTTTTAGCAAGTTTTGCTTGACCTTGAAGCAGCCATTTAACAGGTGGATTACAGAGCCACAGAAGGATGGCATCTTCCCAAGTGCGCTTCCTGCTGAGCCAAGGGTGCAGTGCAGGAGGCTGACAAAGATGAGTGAATAGATTATTCTTCATTCTTACATTGAAATGACATGTGCGGGTGGGGCGTGAGGTTAGGGATGCGTGAGCTCCTGTTGTTAAATCCTTTTGTGGCTGAATATTTAAGAATGTTAAGAAATGATGGCTGGAGGTGGTGGCTCATACCTATACTCTCAGCCCTTTGGGAGACTGAAGTGGGAGGATTGTGAGAGCCTAGGATTTCAAGATCAGCCTGGGCAACATAGTGAGATCCTGTCTCTACAACAAAATTGTTTTCAAAAAGTGATGATACTATATTACAAAATAACATATATAATATCATCCCAAGTTTATATACATAAAAGAGAGATATGTTAAAATAAAAAAGAAGCGTTCTCTGTGGTAGAGTTACCAGTGATGTTTTAAATTTGATTTTTAAAATGGTTTTTCAAAATGATTTTTAAATTATATAGGAGGTGGAAAATTCAAAGTGCTGAGGCACAGGACCAGGTGGCCCATGATGTAGCCCAGAAGGGGCAGTGATTTGTGGCTCCAATGAGCCAATCATTGGGAAACTGGCATCTTCTTCGGGCTGGAACAGGAGAGCTTTGTTGGTGGGAGAGGAGGGCAGGCAGAAGGAGAGAGGGCAGGGGAGAGGCAAGGTCACCCTTGCTCAGCCCCTTCTTTGCTCTGCCATGACTTTACTGCCTTAACACCCTAACACTCCCAGGCCAGGCAGGCAGCAAGACACATGGAGACAGTGAGATATAAAGCAGTGAGTGCCGCAGATTCCTGAGACACAAGAGGCAGATTGTTCCCTCTCTGCATATGTTTGTATTTAAGTAGCCTCATGTTCAGACAAGCAACTTGGATTTGCTTCAGTCTTCTCAGGATGGGTGAGAAAAACACTGGAAGTGCTCAAAATGAGGGAGAACAGAAGACACCTGTCAGAGTGGAGATGGCGTCCAAGTGAACGAAGTCTGTTATCAATGAATTACATCCAGTGTAACCAGATGTAGAGAGATTGTCTTGTGTGAGAATGTACCAGCAGGCAAAGGGGTTTACGAGGCAGAGTCAGTGTCCCTGCACTGGCAGTTATTTTGAATGAATTGACCCAGGGTTTCCACATTCATTCATTAAACATTTGTTCATTGAACAAATATCTGGCTCTAATTCCAGTTCCACCTCAACCAGCTATGCAGCCCGGAGCATGTCGCTGAGCTTTCCTGTGACTCTGTTTCTCTACTGTGCTGACAGCCAGAGGTTTCCTGCAGAGTTGGAGACCTTGGTAGCCTCCAGGTGTGTGTCTGGCAACATGAACTGTGCATGAATCCTTGTCTTCTCAGATGCTGGAGCACCCACCTACATGTATGAGTTTCAGTACCGTCCAAGCTTCTCATCAGACATGAAACCCAAGACGGTGATAGGAGACCACGGGGATGAGCTCTTCTCCGTCCTTGGGGCCCCATCTTTAAAAGGTAATGGCTCCTTGCTCTCCGTGAGCTTGGAGTTAGGAGATCTGGGTTCCTGTCTTGGTGTGGTGGCTTTCAGCAAGTTTCTTCTCTCCTGGTCTTAGTTTACTGATTCTCTATAACAGGGTTGAATGTCACTGGGTTGTCCCCCAGCTTCCTCCCACTCTAACATATGTGAGGCGGGATGTGTATTCATGTGCCCTTTGCACAGCCACTCAGAATCCTGCTCTGTGACATCAACAAGACGGGTGTGTGTGGGGGAGTCTTCTGAAGGATTCACTATACAGGGTTGAATGTCATTAGGTTGTCCCCCAGCTTCCTCCTGCTCTAATACACATGACGGGGGATGTGTATCCATGTACCCTCTGCACAGAAACTCAGAATCCTGGCCTGTGACATCAACAAGACAGGCGGGAGGGTGTCTTCTGCAGGATTCAGTATGACAGAGTTGAATGTCATCGGGTTGTCCCCCCACCTCCTCCCGCTCTAACATACCTGAGGGAGGATGTGTATTCATGTGCCCTCTGCACAGGCGTTCAGAATCCTGTTCTGTGACATCAACAAGACAAGTGTTTGGGGGGTCTCCTGCAGGATTCACTATGACAGGGTTGAATGTCATTGGGTTGTCCCCCAGCTTCTTCCTGCTCTAATACACATTAGGGAGGATGTGCATCCATGTACCCTCTGCCACAGACACTCAGAATCCTGGGCTATGTCATCAACAAGACAGGTGGTGGGACACATGCAGGGGTGCTCTAGGTTGAGAAGCCACCAATCAATTTCCCTCTCCCAGGAGCGCTGAGAATGTGAGTGAGGGTGAGATTAGAGTTGGTGTTAACCCTGAGTCAGGTCTAATGTGTGTCGGTTTGTCTTTCTGTCTGTCTCTAACAAAAACTCATAAACCTTTACATTTAATACATTTAATAATTGTTAGTTTAGAAATCACAGGATTATGAATTATGGTTTATAGTCAGCAGGATTCACTGTGATAGGATTGAATGTCATTGGCTTGTCCCCCAGTTTCCTCCTGCTCTAACACACATGAGGGAGGATGTATATCATGTGCCCTCTGCCACCGACACTCAGAATCCTGGGCCGTGTCATCAACAAGATAGGCGGAGGGACACATGCAGGGCCCTGCTCTAGGTTGAGAAACCACCAACCAATTTCCCTCTCCCAGAAGTGCTGAGAATATGAGTGAGGGTGAGATTAGAATTGGTGTTAACCCTGAGTCAGGTCTAATGTGTGTCGGTTTGTGTTTCTGCCTTTATGTCTCTAACAAAACCTCATAAACCTTTAAATTTAATATAATTAATAATTGTTAATTTAGAAATCACAGGATGTATGAATTTGGAATGGGAGAGGAGACTTTATTTTTGATGTGGTTTATAGTCAGCAAAGTTGCTATCCCTCAAGCTGGGAAGGTGCCTCTGGCCAAGCCCAGAAACAGGCTCATCGAACGAGGAGGGGTTGGGTAGAAGCTTTATATGAACAGATTGGCTAAACATACATGTTCAACACGTTACAGGGGGAGCAATGGATATTCATGAAGACAGTCCTGACACATGTGTATTAAACAAACATGCATGTAACATTGCCCATGTTCACCTGGTGGTGGAGACCTAATATTTAAATGTATTACAATTAGGGCTTATAAATCCAAGGGTCTTCTCAGGACACAAAGCCCAGCAAGTGAGCAGCCTCTGTACACCGGCCAGGTCCAGTCCATGGCTGGTGATATTCTTATCTGGAGAAAATAACTGAAATCAGTCTCTTATGCAATCAAAGCCGTAGTTAAGGCTGGTGGGCAGTGTTCTGTTCTTCCGAGTATCCAAGCTGCAGCCATTTTAATTGTTTTCATTTTGCTTAACTCCAGGCCAGTACTGGTTTAGCTGTAGACAAAAAGAAGCACCTTGCAGCAGGGAGAACAGAGTGGATTCTTTAAGGGTAGAGATGCAGGCCTGAACCCTTGCCCGGCATGGCCTTCGATCTTTTTTTAATTTGGTGTCTTATTGCCACAAGGAGTGTGTTCTGTCAGAATGATCACCTTTATTTTATTGCTGATACTCGTCCGGTGGTGTCTAAACCACAAAAAAGGGGGAGTATGATGAGGCGTGTCTGACCTCCTGTCTGTTTCCAGGCAGGAACTCAGTTTAGGGTTTTTCTGGGGTCCCCTTAGCCCAGAGAGGGTCTGTTCAGTGAGTTGGGGGTGTTAGGATTTTATTTTTAGTTTACATTATACAATATTTTTAAAAATCCTTTCATGATGTCTTCTAAGCCTTAACTCTCAGCTGTTACAGATCACATGGGACTCACCCCATGGCTGCTCAGGACGCACCATCGCCACTGGGCATGTCCCAATTATGCACCCTTAGGAGGCTTGAGTTCTGTTATATTTCAGAATGTGAATTGTGGGTGTGTGCAAGAGAGAGCAACCCTGGGAGGTGGGGCAAGCACATGGAATGATGCATGCCCATTGCTGAGCCCTAGGTCAGCCATGCTTAAAGGTAAAGTACACACAAATCCACCAGGATCTTCTAAATGTGCAGACCTCAGCTCAGTGGGTGTGGAGCATGCGCCAAGACTATGTTTCTAGCAGGTTTGCACGTGAAGTTGACAATGCAGGTCCGCGGACCACACTTTGAGTAACAAAGGCTTTTTTTCTTCTTCCCCACAGAGGGTGCCTCAGAAGAGGAGATCAGACTTAGCAAGATGGTGATGAAATTCTGGGCCAACTTTGCTCGCAATGGGTGAGGCTCTTGGCAAAGACACAGCACAGCTGGTGAGGGTGGGGGGCGGGGCATGCCTATTGGGAAGGGGCAGCTTCTAAGGTTCTAGCGATCAAACTTCTGACCCTGTGACCATAGCACTCTGACAATGAGAGCTCTCTACAAATGGAGAGGCCGCCCCTGGAGATAGTGAACTCCCCGTCTCTGGAGATATACAAGCCTCTTGACGGAGATAACTTGGGCGTCCTCACACATCTCTGAAGATTGTTGGGGACACACAGCAGCTTTGGGGCAATTCTATTTGATTTTGTTTCCAGAAACCCCAATGGAGAAGGGCTGCCGCACTGGCCAGAGTACAACCAGGAGGAAGGGTACCTGCAGATTGGTGCTAACACCCAGGCAGCCCAGAAGCTGAAGGACAAGGAAGTAGCTTTCTGGACCAAACTCTTCGCCAAGAAGGCAGTGGAGAAGCCACCCCAGATAGAACACATTGCGCTGTGAACGGAAGGTCCATCCAGCCTCAGGAACCTGGAGGAGCAAAGACTGGGGTCTTTTGCCAAAGGGATTGCAGGTTCAGAAGGCATCTTACCATGGCTGGGGAATTGTCTGGTGGTGGGGGGTAGGGGGCAGAGGTCATGAAGGAGCAAGTTTTTTATTTGTGACCTCAGCTTTGGCAATAAAAGATCTTTTGAAAGCCAAATCACTGCTTGTGTCTTGTATTAGAGATTAATCCATCCTCCTCAGAGACAGAACGATGATGAAAGAGGCAATGTGAGAAGGAAGCTGGCTTTGCTGGGGATGGCCTGGCCTCAGGACGAGTACAGTCCAGAGGGCTGGGTCATGGACAGTGCTCAGGGGAGCTCTGGGCCTACTGCATGTTTCTGAGCCCCCAAGAATTTCCAACAATAGGATTTAGGATTGCCAGAGTGCAGCATCCCTATCCTCCATTTGGATCTGCCTATGGAAATGGAAATGGCCCAGGCTGAGAATTTGCCTGGATCAGGGAAGAGAGAGAGGTGCCGAGGTGATCCCGTGGCACTGTTGGATGGCCTTTATTGACTCTTGCACAGGTCTGCCACACCTTCCTCAGTATGTACACTAGCCTCCTAGACCCCTCCCTGAGGCTGTCTCTTTCAACAGCTGGTCTAAACTCCCTCTGTAACCTGGACCACTTCTGTTGCGGGCACTGACCACCTTAGAGCAAGTCTCCAGAGGGTCATCCTAATACTGTGTCTTTCAGAATCTCAGGGGTGATTTCTGGATTCTGCTAGAATGTGGAAAACTCTAAAGAGTGTCACTCCTGCCTTATCAGCAAGAGAAAAAGCTGGATTGTCCTCAAAATCATAACTTTTCCTATTGCCCAGGAGAAAGATTGGGGTAGATAGTCAGACTAGAGAGGGCCAGGCATGGTGGCTCAAGCCTGTAATCCAGCACTTTGGGAGGCCGAGGCAGGCAGATGATAAGGTGAGAAGATCGAGACCATCATGGCTAACACAATGAAACCCCGTCTCTACTAAAAATACAAAAAATTAGCTGGGTGTGGTGGTGGGCGCCTGTAGTCCCAGCTACTCGGGAGGCTGAGGCAAGAGAATTGCATGAACCCGGGAGGCAGTGCTTGCAGTGAGCCGAGATCATGCCACTGCACTCCAGCCTAGGTGACAGAGCAAGACTCCACCTAAAAAAAAAAAAAAAATTCGCCCTGGGCAGAGCTGCAGGGGAGGGTGGGAAGCCGACTCAGGCCCTGCACCTGGGTAGCTGCCCCACCTGGTGCTGCCCCAGGTAACGCATGTACAGGATGAGCCTCCCTTCCCCCAGCAGGGACAGATCCCACTCAGTCCTGCCCCGCATGCTCTCCTAAAAGTTTGTATCAAGACTGTGCCTCATTATTCCCTGCGATGGGAAGGGCTGGGGAGAAAAAAACCTACCTTACCACTTGATTGTGTCAAAATACAAGGGAATTCATTGCAAAGAGCTTGCTGTGCTCCATGAACGGGGTGGAGCTCAAGTCTGAAATTAAAGGATGGGTAGGAAGGGGGATGGCCAGCCACAACGTGGTGGAAGTGTGACCCTGAGCAGTGGGGGCAAGGGGGCCAGCCCACGGGCAGCAGGGCTGGTGTTGGCAAGGTTGCTGGAGCACACCGTGGGTGCCTGGAGGACAGCTTTTCTACCTTGACATGTAGGAAACAGACTTCTCTCTTTATAGGAAGATAATGCCATAAAATGTCTGTCTACCTATCTGTCTATCTATTATCTATCTACCATCTATCAATTATCTATCTATCATCTATTACCTATCTAATCTATTTATTTCATTAATTACATTTATTTATGTAATTGTATTTCAAGCTCTATTTACCTCCTGAACTTTTCATGTGAGAGACTACATTTTATTCAATATATGCTTTAGGTAAGTTTCAGTTGGATTTCTCTTAGTACATATGACAGAGTCCTGATTAAAATCATTGCTGCATTTGATCATTTATATTCTATCCTGTAACTATAATTTATGTGATCACCAGTAATTTTATCTGTATCAATCTTGTCTCCTGTATTAGATAACAGGTTCTTAAGGTCTGGTACAAACATTTCAGTTTTTTATTGAACATAACATACATATAAGAAATATATATATATACACATACACACATACACACAAACACACACATGCTATGTATATATTATGACTTGATAACTTCACTAACTGATCACACTGTGTAATTAGGACCCAGATCAAGACACAATATTACCAGCATCCCAGAAGCCACATGGAGCTCAATTCCAGGCCCTGCTCACTTCCCCCTCCTTGCCTATCTACCCAAAATGGTCACCACAGTCCTGATGTCTAGCAGCAATATTTCTTTTTCCAGGTTTTGTGCTTTATATGAACAGAATCACATACTCTTGCATCTGGTTTCTTTCCCTCAATATTATGTTTATGAGATTCACGTGTATTGTTGTATATGGCTGTAGTTTGTCATCATTGCTGTATAGTCATTCATTGTATGGATATGTCATAATTTACTGGTGTAGGGCACTTGGAGAATGTATTAGTCTGCTCGGGCTTCTGTAACAAAATACCACAGACTGGGTGGCTTAATTAACTGAAATTCGCATTTGCATAGTTCTCAAGGCTAGAAGTTCCAGAACAGGACACAGTGAGAAGGCAGCAGTCTGCAAACAAGGAGGAGAGCCCTCACCAGGAAATGAGTCAGCTTAATCAACTAAAATTTGCGTTTGCATAGTTCTCTAGGCTATAAGTTCCAGAACAGGACACAGTGAGAAGGCAGCAGTCTGCAAACAAGGAAGAGAGGCCTCACCAGGAAATGAGTCAGCTTAATCAACTGAAATTTGCATTTGCAAAAAAGGAAGAGAGCCCTCACCAGGAAATGAGTCAGCTTAATCAACTAAAATTTGCGTTTGCATAGTTCTCTAGACTAGAAGTTCCAGAACAGGACACAGTGAGGAGGCAGCAGTCTGCAAACAAGGAAGAGAGTCCTCACCAGGAAATGAGTCAGCTTAATCAACTAAAATTTGCGTTTGCATAGTTCTCTAGGCTATAAGTTCCAGAACAGGACACAGTGAGGAGGCAGCAGTCTGCAAACAAGGAAGAGAGGCCTCACCAGGAAATGAGTCAGCTTAATCAACTGAAATTTGCATTTGCATAGTTCTCTAGGTTAGAAGTTCCAGACCAGGACACAGTGAGGAGGCAGCAGTCTGCAAACAAGGAAGAGAGCCCTCACCAGGAAATGAGTCAGCTTAATCAACTGAAATTCGCATTTGCATAGTTCTCGAGGCTAGAAGTTCCAGACCAGGACACAGTGAGGAGGCAGCAGTCTGCAACCAAGGAAGAGAGCCCCCACCAGGAAATGAGTCAGTTTAATCAACTAAAATTTGCATTTGCATAGTTCTCTAGGCTATAAGTTCCAGAACAGGACACAGTGAGAAGGCAGCAGCCTACAAACAAGGAAGAGAACCCTCACCAGGAAATGAGTCAGCTTAATCAACTGAAATTCGCATTTGCATAGTTCTCGAGGCTAGAAGTTCCAGACCAGGACACAGTGAGGAGGCAGCAGTCTGCAAACAAGGAAGAGAGCCCTCACCAGGAAATCAGTCAGCTGTTCTCATTTAATGTTCTCACTTTAGAAGATCATGCAAGGGACAAAATCTCCAGAATCTTTCCTGGGTGGGGTCACAGCTGGGGTGGGAAAGTTGTAGCCCCTCTGAAACTTCCCGCATAGCTGTCCTTCTATGGAGGCCAGGAGCGCATCGGGGAAGGTACAGTCCACAGTCCCCCTCCATCCCACCAGTCAGGCTCCAAGGGGTCTTCACATCCACAAAACACCATTTTCATAGATCAATAGCACACACACCAAGATGCGCAAATTCAAACCAGATACCCAAATGGCACTCACTTATTGAATTTGCAAGGATTTTTACCACTAGTCTTTTGGTGGTAGTGCCTAGTGGCAAGAATATAGAAAACCAGGAAGTATTCAGCACTGATGTGACAGATCAGTAGCTCCTGGGATTTGGGCAGAATTTTGTGCAGTCCAGCTTTTTGGAGAAGCTTATGTCATTTATGCTTGCTGAGTCCTGTGTAAGCCCCAAAGCCAAGCTTTCACAAGCTAGGACTTAGGCAGCTTTGAAAAGGAGAAGTTTATCTTCTACCCTCTCAAAGAGGGTGTAGGAGGTTCCCCTTGAGAGTAACCACTGGTCCCTCCAGATGGCTTGGCTGCTTCTGCCAGGCTCTACTTTCAGAAATGCCCTTCATTGTGCAATTATCAGAATTAAAGCCTTTCAGTGTCTCCTCATTGTCCAGGGATGAAGTCTGTTCTCCTTGGCTTGGCATTGAAGCTCTCTGTCTTCCATTCCCCCTTCCATTGCAACTGGCCTCCCCAAGAAGCCCCTGAATCTGCCTTGTTCCAATGCTAATTTCTTCTCTGCCTCTCCAAATTTTGCCCATCTCTCAATACCTGGTACCATCAAGAGTCATCACAGCTTTGGGCATTAACATATATGAATATTGATAGTTCTCAGGGCAAGAAAACACACAGAACATGCATCTCTATGGAGGCCACTCTATTCACCTGGATGCTTATAATGTAATCTGTAGTTTGAGTTTCCAGGGCTCTTTCCAGATTATAATTCAATCTTCACTTTTCTGTGTCTAAATTTTTACATTGCTTTCTGAATCATCTTTTTTCCCATTTTATTCTTAACAGGCTAAAGGAAGGCTTAATAGAGTAGCCCTAATGAATAGGATCTGGGTTTATAATCGGGCTTTTGTGATTTGAATCAAAGAAATGCAAAAACTTAGTGTTTATCAGAGTGTGCTGCACTTATTCCTGGAGTTATGCAAGATCATTTTAGATGGCACACAAACTAAAAACCACTTATAGAATGGCTGTTTATTTATTTTGCTGTGTATTAGGGAAAAAACCCTTACTATCAAGTCCATGGTTTAATGGATATTACCTGTGACAAGGATTGCTGGCAGTCTGTTAAAATCTGTCCCACCTTCCTTGGTACACAGCCAGATTACATTTTCCAGCCTTCATTGCAATTAGATTGAACACGTGAATAAGTTCTCACCAATGTCCTCTGAGTGGGAGTGGAGAGTGCCACAGCCAGGCCTGGCCCATACAAATGCTCCATGGTCACACTTCTGCTCCTGCCTCTTCCAGGTGACAGGCAATTGACACCTATGGCAACTTTAGAAACCATGAGTGAAGGAAGGCAAAGCCACCATAGCCTAGATCAGGACTGAGTAAACTACAGCCTGAGGGCCAAATCTGGCCTACTGTCTTTTTAAAAATAAAGTTTTATTGAAGCACAGTCATGCCCATTGGCGTAGGTATTGTTTATGGGCCGCCTTACTACCACAGCAGTCGCCACAGACAGCCCATGGCCTGCAAAGTCCAAAGTCCTTACTCTCTGGCCCTTTATAGAGAAAGTTTGCTGATATCCTAATTTTGATCTCTGAATGACCATATGGACAACAGCCACCTTGTTGACCTGAACAACGTTCTAGTCCTTTACCTATGCAAAAAATAAGCCGTTGAAATTCTGGGCCTATTTGCTACCATAGTTTACCCTACTCTCACTAATAATTCTTGCTCAGCAGTCACAGGGTGATTGACTGATGAATGTACATGGCCCGATTTCCGGTTGTTTGCGCCATTGAGGGTGACTAGTTATGCCCATGGGAGTACAGCTCTCTCCTCTAAGACCCACCACCAGGCCAAAATTTCTTCCAGATGCTCTGACCAGTTAGTCCTAGGACCTGATTGACCCCAGGTAGTCTGACCCCCTAAATATAACATAGCATCATGGGCCTGGGAAGGTGTAAACATAATACAATTTCTGCCCATTGAACTGAATGTTAACAGGAAGACATTCCCTGAAGCAGAAGAAAATGACCTTGGTGATGATGACCCTTGCCAAAGGTAGGTGACCCTTGCCAAAGGTAGTTAACCCTTGCCTTGTCACCTACCTGGTGGTCCTGATGGTGATCAGTTCTTTCATGTAACTAACTGGCCTTCAATGGTTCACTTTTCCCATTGAGTGACTTTTTTCAATTATACGCTTTTGTAAATTAGAAGTGTTTTTACTGGCATTTCTTTATGCACGTTTTTATTTTTACCATCATTTTAATTTAAAAAATGCAGTTACACATTTTCCATGCATACCTCTAATTTATGGCAGGTTATACAGGTCTTGCAGTTATGGAAATGGTATAAAGTCTCCTTTTTGAGTGAGCATGTTAAAGTAAAAAGAGTGCTTCATTTAAAGAAAACTGTTCATAGAAGTACAGACGATATGCTGATGAGGCAAAAAACCATGATATTAGTGTGAGAATAAGTGAGGTTCCAGAAACACTGCATATGTCCAGGCTGCAGTGGAGAATGTCGTAGAATCCTGGATTCATAGAGTGTGGAGCCACGGTGAAGGGTGCGTGAGAGAGCCCCTCCCCCATAGCCACCCCCTGCCTTTCCACAAGGAATTCCCAAATGTCACCCAGTGGATTCTCAGACTTCTGTCTCCCATTTCCGTGTTCTCCACCACAAAATCTACACCTGATCGATCCCACAGTTCAGAGACAAAGCTGAGTGAGGGGCTCAGCAGGACATGGGCTTGCTGTGCCCAATGCCTGCTCTAATATTAGCTTTCCATATATCTGCTGAGTAAACTGATGGAGGTGGAGAGGTTTGGGGGAGTTCATTTGAAGCCCCCAGATATGCCCCCTCTCCCAAGTCCTACCCCCTGCTTAGAAGTTAAGGCCAGTTCCTCAGATTTTACTTTCCACGTCATATAGTTCCACATGGGAAACCAGAGGGATTCCCCAGGGAAAAGCAATGACCTAAATCAACTGCCGCTTAAACAAGAGACGTACTGCTTACAGCTGAAGTGATGCAGGGGAGTTATATGTATTAAGCAAAAATGAGATCTACTGGAAGGCTTGGTAGGCTCCAGCTTCACCCATCACAATCTGCAGAATCATCATGAACCAGAAATGGGCAGTCCCAGGAGTGGCCAAAAAATTCTCTGTTTGCACAATTGGCTGGTGTCACAAGCAGGAGTGTGATTGCGCAGTGGTTCAGGAGAAGAACTAATCCTTACATCTTATATTTTGTGAATACAGCACCACAAAATCTTCATAGGCAAAGAGCCAGGACTGTTTCTCAGGTTGCAAAGGTCAGCTGACTAAGGCAACAGGGCAGGATGGTTAACAGGCACGTGCATGTGTGCACATGTGTGTGCGTGTGTGTGTTGTGCTGAGTGAGTGGGACTAGCTTTGCTTTCTACTTAGGAGGACCACCCAGATTGTCCCTTGTGGATAGAGATAGGGATGCTTTTTATTAGCATGCAGTTTATCAACCAGGTTTCTGTCCTGGATAAAAGTAAGGGAGGAACCCTAAGCTCAGGTCAACTTTTGTAGAGTCGGTTAGTTCTGGGGACTGATTCTCATGCTGTCAGAGCATCCTCATTCCCATCACAGAATGCCCCTCACCAGCCTGCACGTGGCTAGAATGAGTGCTAATGAGCATCCCTTTTTGAATTTGGGTCTCCAGAAGCTTCATTTCAGATACAACTCACGGCCTTGGGCAAGAATCCATTAGCAGGTCTGGGACTGTCATGTGCTTTATGGCTGCTCGTTGCCCAATCTTTCCTGATGTCAATCGTGGTCTGGACTGGACAAGGGCAGGCTTGCCAAGTGACATTGGGAAAGTAGAACATGGCTCCCCAAGTACCTGGTACCTGGCTCTCATCTTCCTCTCTTTTTCTTTCTTTTCTTTTCTTTTCTTTCTTTCTTTTTCTTTCTTTCCCTTTCTCCTCTTCCTCCTCTTCCTCCTCCTCCTTCTTAGTCTTCTTCTTCCTTCTTTCTTCTTCTTTCTTCCGTCTTTCTTTCTTTCCTCTTCTTCTTCTTTCTTCCTCCTTCTCCTCCTCTTCTTCCTCTTTTTCTTCTTCCTCTTTTTCTTCTTCTCCTTCCTCTTTTTCTTCTTCTTCCTTTCTCCTTATTCTTGTAGAGATAGGGTCTTACTATGTTTCCCAGGTTGGTCTTGAACTCCTCTCTCAAGCAATCCCCCCACCTTGGCCTCCCAAAGTGCTAGGATTACCAAGCAGGAAGGGTTGCCACAGTGCCCAGCCTCCCCTGGCTATTTCTATCCCTTCAGCCCTACCATGCTCAGCCTGGGTCAATGAGCTGACAAGGCAATTTGCCTTAGATAAGGCTACTGATTAGAATATCTTCCTGATGTATAAAAGCAAGAGAAATGGCTGCCAGCCACACTGTGCTGGAAGGCAGAAACCTCAAGTACTGGTTCTGACTTTGCCACTGAGTTGCTGTGTGGCCTTAGGCAAACCCTCCCCATCTCTGGGCCTTAGTTTCTTTTGGGAATAAATAACGGAATTGAGTTGAGCCTATGTATTAGTCTACTTAGGCTGCCAGAAGAAAATATCACAGACTGGGTGGCTTAAACAACAGAAATCAATTTAAGATTGTGAGACAGCATTAATCTCATGGGGTTATTTTGAGAACTGAGACTGAGTTCCTGCATACAAAACTCTCGGCATAGTGTTTGCCACACAGTAAGCTCTCAGTAAATATTTGTCAATGAATGTATGAAGAAATAAAAGTGGAAAATGCAAATAAGTAAAAACACTGACAAGATTACAGCCAGGAAATGGCTGTTGTAATTCTAATTAGCTATATAGCCTTCCAATATTTTCCCATGCAAATAAAGACATATGTTACTACCAAAACGGGACCATATTATACCTATCTAGATTTTCAAAAATATTTCATTATTTTATTGAAATATAAGTCACATGTCATAAAGTTTACCTTTTTAAAGTGTACAATCTAGTGGTGTTTAGTATATTCCCAAAGTTGCACTAACATCATCACTATTTAATCCCAGGACATTTTTACCACCCCCAAGATAAAACTCATGCCCATTAGCAGTTATTCCTCATCCCCGTCTCTTTCCCCTTCCCCAGACCCTGTCAAACACTTTCTGTCTCCGTAGATTTGACTATTCTGGAAATTACACATAAAAAGCATCATATGACATGTGGCCTTTTGTGGCTGGCTTCTTTCCTTTACCATAATGATTTCCAGCTTCATCTACATTGTAGCATGTTCTTCTTATGGCTGGATGATATGCCTCTGCACGAATACACCACACTTTATTTACACATTCATCAGGTCATGGACATGTGGGTTGTGCCCACTTTTTGACTAGGATGAATGACACTGCTCTTTGTGTACAAGTTTTTTATGGACATGCTTTCAGTTCTGTTCGGTAGACACCTAGGAGGGGAATTGCTGGGTCATATGGAAACTCTATGTTGAATTTTTGGAGGAACTGCCTACACCGCACAACAGTTTATAACCTGTTATTTTTTCCTTTCACAACGCATCCTGTCTTCATTGTTAATAAGTAGCTGTGCACATCACTATTTTGAGTGAATACATCATATTTCCTTAGCCAGCGGTATCACAGTGTGTTTAGTGAATTCCCTATTGTTGGACATTTAATAATCCCATGAAAGAGGTTTGAGTGACTTCCTTGTGTCCCCAGCAGCTTGTAAATGACAGTTTTCCAGGTGTGCCCAGAGCACTCTGTATCCCCTTAATTTGGTGATTTCACATTGCCTTGACATCACACCTACTGCTCCTCCACCCTATATGTGTTGTCTACAATGGTGAACCCCTTGAGAAGCTGAACCATGTCTTGAATTGACCTTTGTATCCATTATACATGGCCAGGTGCCTGGCATTTTGGTAAATGTTCACAGAATGGATGGGTACATGAATGGATGGATGATTAAAGCCAGGAGCTATTGAGAGATGGAATCATTTTTACATTCTGTCCAAAAATTCCTGCTTTGGAAGGTAGTGATTTACCTGAGATTGGAAGTGTGTGAGAAGGCTTGGCTAGTTGGCAGGATACTGTGAAGCTAATTCAGGCATCAGAAAGTGGACTGGATAAAATTTAGGATCGCTTCCAAGCTTGAAATCCTGGAACGCTATGAAACACAAGCCCTGGGAGCTGAGATATGTCCTAACTTACCCAGCTGAGCTGTGAGGTGTGAGTGGCTCTAACATTTTCCAGTTGTTTCTGAGGACCTCAGATCAAAGCTTCCCTTTGCCTAAAAGCATCTGCCTGCTGGTGCGGGCCTTTGGGGGCCCTCAGAGAGCACTAAGGTTAGAGTCCTGCAAGGGTGACACCGTTATGCCACAAGCAGTTGGGCGAGTTTACAGCTCTCTGTAATCTGAGAGTAGAGTCCAGATTGGTTTGATGAAAGAGGGTAAACTGTGAGTGGGCGTGGCTTGAGGCCCCACTGGAAGCCCAGGGAGATCTGGGGAAAGGGAGGGCTTTTCTGATCTCTCCCAATTAGAGGATTAGGCAATTGGCAGTGCAGGGCGGTAACTGGGGGCCAGGGTGGCGCCAGGGCTGGACAGCACAGTCCCTCTGAGCTGCACGGAGACCTCGCAGGCCCCCGGAACTGTCGCCCTTCCAGGATGTGGCTCCCTGCTCTTGTCCTGGCCACTCTCGCTGCTTCCGCGGCTTGGGGTGAGTCCTTCTGAAGTCAAATATGCGGGGCACTTTTTGAAATCCTTGTTCTGGGCCGAACTGGGCGCAGATGCGTAGAAAGGCAAAGACACAAAAGGTCCGGCTCCGTGGCGGGGCGCGACCTCCGTACTTGGAATTGGACTTGGAGCAGCTGAGCCCAGCCAGCCTGGCCCGCGCGGAGACACAGGGAGGGTGAACATGCTGAGACCGCCCTGCACTGCTTGCCCCAAGAAGGCCGGCAGCCGGCCCACCTCACTCCGCACACAAGAGAAATTTAGGCAGCTCAGTTTATTGTCCCATAATTCGTCCCGTTATGGCTCGATAACGGATAGCGGCTCAGGAGAATATTAAGAGCATCGACTCTGGAGCCAGAGTGCCTGGGTTCGAGTCCCCGCTGGGCGCTTCCTCGCTGTGTGTACTTAGGCAAGAGACTGAGCTATTCTGTGCTTGGGTTACCCCCTCTCTGAAACAGAGGTGGCAGTGCTACCTACCTCACTGGGCTTTGGTGAGGAGGAAATGGGTGGTTGTTTCTAAAGCACTCTTGGAAGCGCCTGGTATGTAGAAAGCATGAAAAAGGGGTGGATAAATTTAAAGGCGCTGTTTAAAAATGTAGTGTATGAATAGAAAATTCGAGCTGTGGTCAGGCCACTATATCAGGACCTCTTGCCATTAAAAAGACAGTTTCTTACTCATGTTCTCAACAGGAGGGGGACACCAGTGCGCGGGGCACAAGGGGAAGCAGCAGAGCCTGGGGAGGGGACAGGGCGGATCTGAGGCCAAGGGGCTTTTACTGTGGCTTCCAAGGATAGAAGAGGAAAGGCAGGGCAGGCAGGCTGAGGACTGGCAAGTTGGGATACTTCAGGGGCTCTGGGGCACAGGGGCTGTTCCTAATTGTTTTGTACCTAGCCCTGGCATGATTAGGGCAGGTGGGTAGTGGCCAGGGCATGGCAACCCGATCAAAGAGGCGGTTGGAGTGTGGGCTCCAGGTTGGCTGGACCCTGAGAGGGAGTTTCTCCAAGGTCAACAAGGCCTCAGATGCCAGAGCATCAGAATACAGAAAACAAAACACATGGTACATAGAGGGGTGCAGCGAGGGGCCTCGAAATACCCCCATGCCATTTTATAGACATAGAAACTGAAACTCACACAGGGAAATGTACTTGCCCAGGGTCAACCCGAAAATCACGCCTAGGTCTGTCTCTGGGTCCTGAATCCTGACAGCCCAGCCCCGTCTGCATCCTGTCTTCCTTCTGGCAGCCTGACACTGCGAGAGCTCTGGAACTGTGGGGAAGGGCAGAGGAAGAGAGGAAGCCTATTTGGAACTGAATGTTCCTTTACCTCTGGTTACTCCTGGCAATGCCATCCATTTCCTTCCTTAGGAAGACCATACAGGCTGCCTCCACTTCCTCAGTTTCCTCCTCTGTAAAATGGGCATGTTGATGCCTACCCAGCAAGGCTTATTTGAAGATTAATTTAAAAAACTGGAATGCATGCCTGGCACATAGTAGGTGCCCACCATGTTCGTGCTTCATATAACATCAGCAGCAACTGGTCTTGTTCTCACACTTGTTTCTGCCTCCCCCCATTCACCCACTTTTTCACCCTTGGCAATCTGGCTGCCATCCACCTCATCCTGTTGAAGGGAATCCCTGAGCTGAGCATGACCAGCCCAGTGGTTTCTTCTCTGACTTGACTCTCCTCCACCTCCCTGAAGTCCTCAGCAATCTTAGTTGGTTCCTTGCCCTCTTCCTCCCTGGGCTTCCAGGACGTGGGAACGTTCTCTCCCTGCTACTCTGATGGATCTTTCGTCTTGGCTGTAGTGGTCCCTGTGTTTGATCTTTGTTTTTTTCTCTTCCCTCTCACACTGGCATCTTCAATGAAGCCATACAAATCCATGGTGTGTATGCTCACTGTCTAGGAGAACATTCTGCCCTGCTCCCCCACCAGGCTTCCTTCCAGCCTTGAAGTGCACTCGTCCTGTGGCGTCATCTTGCCATGATATCCCACTGACATCTCCACCGAGCCTATGTAAACAGGGATCCAACATCACAAGCCAGGTCTTTGATCTTCTTTCCCTTCCATTTCCCCCCACGTCTAGTCAGGGACAGAGTCTTTTTCTTTTCTTTTCTTTTCTTTCCCTTCCTCCCTCGCTCCTGCTTGCATGCCTGCCTGCCTGCCTTCCTTCCATCCTTCCTTCCTTCCTTCCTTCCTTCCTTCCTTCCTTCCTTCCTTCCTTCCTTCCTTCCTTCTTTCCTTTCCTTCTTTCCTTCTTCTCTGTCTCCAGAGGAGCCAGGATTACAGGCTCATGCTACCACGCCCAGCTAATTTTTGTATTTTCAGTAGAGAGGGGTTTTTACCATGTTGGCCAGGCTGGTCTTGAACTCCTAACCTCAAATGATCTGCCTGCCTTGGCCTTCCAAAGTGCTGGGATTACAGGTGAGCCACTGTGCCTGGTCTCCAAGTCTTTCAAAATACCTTTTAGACATCATCATATTTCTACATATTTTTTTCTTTTTTTATTTAAAATTTTAAAATAGTTAAGATCGGTTGGGAAGATTTCAGGTGAAGACCAGAAATCCCATACAGTGCTGAAAAGGTGGAAATCACCAAGAAAACAGGCCACATGTAATGCCACCACCCATTGCTATGTCGATAAACATGCTTCCAAGGAAGTTCATCTCAGTATTGTTTGTAATTAGCAACAACAAAAGAAAAGAAGCTAAATATTGACATTGCAGTGTTGGCTATTAATAAGATGAGACATGGATGCTGTTGTGTAACTGGGCTTTGCATAAGGAGTTTCCATTGTGATTGGATATTCCCCTCTAAGACCAAATCTGAATTGTTCTGTTCTGTTCTAGCCCCACACTTTGAGGGAGGTGTTAACATCTTGTCTTTATCCAAAGCAGAGCAGCTGGGAGGACAAGAGGCTGGAAATCATTTCCTAGGAGGGAAGCTCAGACAAACTGAGGTGACTGGAGCCAGATAGGACCTGAGGGGTGGGCAGCAAGATCAAGTGTCTGAAAGGCCACAGGCTGCAGATCAGATCAGGCCAGTATAGTCCCATGACAGGTAGAACCAGAACTGATGCGGAGGCTGTGGGAAATGAATTTCAGCTCAGTGAGGAAACATTGTCTGTGCTGAAAGAATGGAGCAGACCTGCCCAGGGCCACCAGAAGAATCTTCCTTGACCTGATCACATCCTTTATCTGGAACGGTTCCTGCTGCTTATTTGTCTGTAAAGAAAACTCAAGCGCTTAGCCTGGCATTCTAAGCCCTCCCTGACATGCGCGGTCTCATTCCAGGAATATTTTCCACTCCCCCCAGACTCCACCTGGTGCATGTGGGCCATGCCCCCTTCCCCAGGCAGGCTCTGCATTCTGCTGCTCTGAGCCTCAGCAAATTCCCTTCTCTCTGCTGTGTACCACTCTCTGCTTCTCATCTCCCCTCATTCAATCCTCCTCTACTGCAAGTCCCAGCTCCTCCATGATGCCCGCAATCAGAAGGCCTTGCCCCCTCTTCTAATTCCTAGACTGCGTTATGGGTACCTCTCCCAGGACACGGCCACTTCCTTCCCAGCTGTAGCCCCAGGTGTATATGTGACCCTTCCCTATGATGGTCAGTGCTTGTGAGAATATGGGTCACCCCTTGTTCATCCTCTCATCCAGCATGCGGCTCAGTGCCAGGATTCTAATGGATAAATGTTTCCAGAGACTTCTAAGGGGGAAGCTAAATGTCTTGTTCTTTCCTAGTAGCTATCCTTCTTGCATTTATTTTTGGCTGGATGTTTTTTTGCCTCCAATTCTAATTTGCTCCTTAAACCAGCTTGATGAGTTAGGAAGGACATTGATCCCTCATCCCTATTGTACATCAAGAGAAACTGAGGCCTAGAGGGTTTAGGTGACTTATTTAAGGTCACTCACTTAGAGAGTGGGAAACCCCACCTGGAATCTGGGTCCAGCCTTTTGCCTCTGATGCATCCTGATTTCTTCTCCATATCCAGCAGGGCATCTGTCCTCGCCACCTTTGGTGGACACCCTGCATGGCAAAGTGTTGGGGAAGTTCGTCAGCTTAGAAGGATTTGCACAGCCTGTGGCCGTTTTCCTGGGAATCCCTTTTGCCAAGCCGCCTCTTGGACCCCTGAGGTTTACTCTACCACAGCCTGCAGAGCCATGGAACTTTGTGAAGAATGCCACCTCGTACCCTCCTATGTAAGCCAGGGGTGGCTGTGGCATGTGTCCTTGGGGATGTTCGCCTCACAGTGATGCAGGAAGGAGTCAAGGCAGTCCCCTGATGGGCTGATCCTTTGCTCTGGAATCCTTAAGATCATTGTAGATCCTTAAGAACATTCCAGAACTCTCACAGCATTCTGGAGTCCATTATTTAACACGTTTATTGAGCACCTACTGTGTGCCAGGCATGTTCTGGGTTCTTGGGATCCATTAGTGAACAAAGCGAAGATCCCTAGGTTCATGGAGCGTGCATTCTAGCAGCTGGACAGATAAAAACAGCATGCAAATTACTCCATGCGTCATGTGATATGTTAGAACGGAATAAGTGCCTTGGAAACAAAGAAGCAGTTGAGCAGGTGAGGGAGTTCAAAAGGAAGGATCTCATGCATTCCTCTGTCTTGAACTTTCACATAGTTGGGGAGAGGGCTGGGCCAGGAAGTACTGAGGGGTCCACTTGGCAAGTGCTCAACTCTCAGGTGTGCCAATTCCTGAGGAGAAAAATGGCAGGTGTGCCCATTCACCCTGGCCAATCTGGGAAGAAAAGCCCAAAGGTTCTAATTGGCCTCATCACCACTCCCTAGGGTACCAAGGTCCCTACAGGCATCAGAGCAGACCCTGCTCATCTTGGCAGCCAGGTGTTCGGAGGCTTTCCAGCAGCCCGCATCTGGCTGCCTTCTTTTCTTTGCTATTTTTTAAAAAATAATGTTTACTGTTTTTATTTTCTGATTGCAAATGTAATATATACTTATTACAGAAAATTCAGGAAATACAGAGAAGGAAAAGTAAGAAAATTAAAATCACATACAATATCCCACCACCCAAAGAGAACAACTATCAATATTTTAGATAGCAAAGTTTTATGATATAATATTTTGTTTGTATTCCAGTTTTTTTGCCTGTTGCTATACTCTCTTCCTTTAAAAGGGAATGCTATATTGAGATAATTTGGATGCCTGCTTTGTTCATTATAAGTAATCATGAGCATCATTCCATGCCATTAAATAGCACAGATTGGCATTAACAGCTGCTTTACATTGTATTGAACCATAATTAATCTCCACAAGCTTTTACTTGGGGTCATTAAGTGACATATGATGTTTTCAATAATATAACATCATGAATGTGAAGCCTTATGCACATATATGAATATTTTAGGATAGCTGCTCAGAAACGACATTTCTGAGTCAAAGAGTATATACCTCTTGTTTGATTTCCCTCCCAAAATATTCCAACTACACTCCTCCCATTGATGTATGAACATCTCCATTTGGCAGACTCTTGGCAATGCTTGGGATTATTAAAAAATGTTTTTGGCTATTGGATAGGCAAAATAATAATAACAATAACAGCAATATTATTTTCCTCTTTAATTTGCATTTATCTGAAGACTAGTGAAGTTGAGTTCTTTTCCCTTTCTTCACATTGGAATGTCTTTTTTTTTATTATTATTGTTGTTATGCCTCTTGCACTTGGTGATCTGTAGGAAAATTTCCCAGGTTGGAAATCAAGAAGTCATCTTTGCTGGCTCTGATTCTGTCACTTGACAGCTGTGTCATCCCAGAGTCTGAGTGCCTCAGTTTCCTCATGTACCTAGTGGGGGCGGTGATGACTGCCTTTTGGTACATTGAGGTCTGGGACTGTTGCTTATAATATACTTGTGTATAAGCACCACATGGCATGGATCTTCTTGGCTATGTGATGTTGGTCAGGTTCTCTAACCTCTCTAGGCTTCAGTTTTCTCATCTGTAAAATGGAAATAATAGAACCTACCTAATGGGACTGTTCTGAGGCTTAAATGAGTTAATATACAAAAGGTACTTAAAACAGTGCCTGGAACACTGGGAGAACTCAATAACTGTTACCAATGTTCATCTATGTTGTATCCTCAAGATCTTTCATCAGGGCAACCACAGCAGCACTTGCCTGGGATAGGCGGATGGTAGAATCTTGGCATGTCAGGGCTGCAAGACCCATGTAGAAATCACTGCTCTCACTTAGACCTGGCAGATTTGGGACCCAGAATGTGAAAGGAATTCACCCAAGGTCATCCCGTAAATGTGTGGGAGAGACAAAACTAGAGCACAGTTCTCCTGATGTTGTCCCAAAAAGATTTTACCCCTAAGACATTGCAAGAAATGTCACCTCCCAGGGAAGATCGTTGTATTGGTTTTCTTCCCTCCTTGATGCTGGGAGTCCCGAAGGCTCCAGGAAGGGAAGAGGTGTGAAGCCCTTCTCACTCTGCTTGGTCTTAGGAGACCTTAGTGAGTCCCAGCACCCCCACCTGAAGCCACTGATAGCCTCCTACCCACTACAATGTCGTGAGTCTGTAAATATCAAGTCCATTTCCAGGCTTGAACCTCCCAGCCCAAGGCACTGCCCTAGAACACACCTCGCTTAGATCTGGCTGAACTTCAGGGGTTCTTCTTTCCCCCTCCCCAGGTTCACCCAAGATCCCAAGGCGGGGCAGTTAATCTCAGAGCTATTTACAAACTGAAAAGAGAACATTCCTCTCAAGCTTTCTGAAGACTGTCTTTACCTCAATATTTACACTCCTGCTGACTTGACCAAGAAAAACAGGCTGCCGGTAAGCCATGGGATCCCCTGGTCAAGGCGTGTCAGCGCCAGTACCCTGCATCTTCTGGGGCAGAATGGAAGGGAGTGAAGGCAGCTTGGGGAGGGAGCTGCACAGGCCAGGATTGTTTCAGAGACCCCAGGGCCTCCACAGGAAACACTGGTTTTCCACACCTCAGTTTCCCCTCATGACACAGGGACTCTGGGGGAGTTTGCTGTGCATCTTTAATGAACATCTTAATTGTTCCAAGTTCCCTCATGCTAATAGAAGGATGATAATGATTACTTTTAGTTACTAGATTAAAAATCTGATATCCACAGTGGGTAAGACATGATTTTCAATAATGTTAGTGGTGGAAGGAACTTAGAGAAAAGCCAACACCCCAACTCTTCTTTTTCAAATAGAGAAACTGAGGCCCAGACAGGGAAGGAGAGGTCACACAATAGGGTAGTTTTGGCTCAAGTCTTCTGATCTTCAAATCAGTGCTTTCGACAGGGATTAGGGCATTGAGCTTTTATGTGGCCTTCTCCAGTACATCAACATTCATCTGGGGTAACTTTCACTGTCCAGGTACAGGTGTTGAGGGAAGAACATGGGACAATCCCAGAAGCATTTCCTTTTGCCTTTGGCCAAATATCTGGGATTTTTTTTACCTAATTTCCCTCCTTAATTGTCTTGGCAACGGCTGATGACCCAGTGAGTTAGCATTTCCCAAATAAATGAAGGGCGGGAGATGGGGCAGGCTGCCAGCTGCAGGTTGGAGGGTGGGGAGGGTCTGCTGTCAAAGGAGGCCACTCCAGGGTGTAAAAAGAAGGGGTGTTGTGTCCAGCCAGTCTCCCAGGGGCACCGTGGCATGGTGCCTAGGAGTGGGGGAGCAGGTCTGCAAACATGGGACTAGAAGTTGGCCCTACGTGTACTTTGTAAGACAAAGGAAGTGGGAGAAACGTTTACTCATTCATTCATTCATTCATTCATTCATTCTTCTATTGTGTACTCAGTGCCCCATATACACAGTTAGACCCAGGGCTTCAGGGAAAGGAGGAACATGAATCCACTCCACGCAGCCCCTGCCTTCAAAGATCTTGCCATCTGGGCTGTAGAGACATATTCTCTCTTCAGCAGGTTATTGCAGGCCAGCCCTTGGGCTCAGCCTTCACACAAAGATGAATGCACACTCAGTCCTTCCCCAGGAGGCAGCCATGGATTAGATGTGTGGGAGAAACAGGGGCTCTGGGAACCTGGAGGCAGGAGAACCTCTAGGAATGGCCACAGGTTCTAGAACTACACAGTCTAGGTTTAAATCCTGGTTCTGCCTTTGAGTAGCTGGGCATTTCTTAACTTTTCTAAGCCTCTGTTTCCTCAAAATGAGAGTCACCACATATGGTCAGTCAAGGGTGACCACTAAGCTTGATCTCGGACCCTGGTTAAGTAGGCAGAGGCAGGCTCATACCCCTGCCCTAACAGTGGACTCACTGCACTGTGGCCGGCGCCTGCAGTATGCTGGGCAGCTCAACATGTGAACTCTGGAGCCAGACCGCCTGGGTTAAAGTCCTGCTGCTACCACTTTTGAGTTGTAGGACCTTGGGCAGGTTAAGTGCCTCCATTTTCCCACCTGGAGAATGCCACAGTATTAGTATCTACCCAATGGATAGTTTATTTTACTGTGCTTAGAACAGCACTTGGGACATAGTTTATGTTACGAGTTCTTTTATATTTCATGAATAATATTATTACAATATCATTATTTTAGCCACTCTCACTTCTTCCCCACTATGTGGACTTTTAAAATGCAAGAATCATGCATGAGGAATTGTATCCACTCTCATCCTCCAGTATTAGCAGAGTCCCTGGCACTTGCTAAGTTCTCGACAGTGTTAGTCCATTGACTGAAGGCATCCTGAAGTGGGTGGGTTTTAGGCTGGGTTCTGCAGGGTGGATAGGATTTGGGGATGCAGAGGCATAAGGAGGCATTTGAGGAAGAGACACCATCACAGGCACGTGTGCTTCTCGAGACAATCATTCATGCACAGAGAAGTTTACTTCACCAAGAGATAGTTAACTGAGATGAAGCTGAGATACAAGGGCTGCCCCATGGGTACGCTGAGTGCATGAATAGTCCAGGCTTGAGGGTGATGGGAGTGAGGGGGAGAAGAGGACATCCTTAGCCTTTGCTATGCCCATGATGATGTTCTCAGCATCAAGAGCCTTTCGGGGAGGAGGCACTGGAGGCTGGGTAGAAAGGAAGGGACAGCCAGGGTATGTGCAGTAGGGTGGTGGCTTGGGTCCCAGTTGGGAGAATTATGCAGGAGAGAGATTGCCTTTTGCAAAGTTGCTGGGAGCTGGTGAACTTTGGGTAGCATCCTCCTTCAGTTGTAACCAACAGGTAGGTCACCAAACAAGACATCTTCTGAGTGCTCCCTGGCTCTGTGTCCTGTAACTGGTATGTTGCTTCCTCTCTGCCCAGGTGATGGTGTGGATCCACGGAGGGGGGCTGATGGTGGGTGCGGCATCAACCTACGATGGGCTGGCCCTTGCTGCCCATGAAAACGTGGTGGTGGTGACCATTCAATATCGCCTGGGCATCTGGGGATTCTTCAGGTAAGAAATTGGACTCTCCTCACTGCACTTTGGCCCCCAGAACGAGGATGCTAGGACCCAGCTCTTGTCATGCCAGCCCTCAGGGGAGCTTAGCTAGGTTCCACAGTAAGGCATCCAAGCCCCTTCATAATTGGACACTACCTACCCTCTCACTACCCAGCCACTCATCCACTTGCCTCTGAGCTTTTGCATGTGCTGTTCCCTCTGCCTGGAATGCTTGTTCTATCCGAAGAACACCTCTTCATCCTGCAAGACCCAGCCCCCAGTTACCTCCACTGAAAGACTCATCTCCTCTTCACCTATGTTTCTCCAGCACATTGCTTTTCTCTGTCATGACACTTAGCAGGCAGCCCAGCAGGTGAAGGTTGACACATCTGACTTCTCATGGAAAGGAGGGAAGGGGCAGAGTCACAGAGGGAGCTCAGGGCATGTTGTGGGTGAAGGAATGGGGCCTGCAGATGGTGGGGTGTGGGAGCATCTGACCCCTTCCTGTAGGAGTGTTGGGACCCACTCACCCCATTTTCTGCTCGAAATTTGGCAAGCGCGGGAAGCAAGGATGGAGTCTTCCCCATCAGGTCTCCATGGGGACAGGAGTCAGATCTCCTTCAAGGTGCAATTACTATGAACCTTTTCTAAGTGTTAACATCCCAGCACCTCAATCCCGAGTGAGTGATGCGAGGGTTGTGGGAGGGATTCCACTCACTGATGAGAAAGCCTAGGGAGATGGAGGTTGAGTTCTGGTCTACCCATCAGCAAGGCATCCCAGGCCAGTCTTGGTGGTATCACCTTCATCCCTGTCAGCCACAGCCTGTGTCTCTGCTCCCCATTACAATAAAGCTGCTTCATGATCTCTCTCCACTTCCTCTCCTCCGTGTGTCTCCTCCACCCATGCCAGTCAGGTTTCTTCCTGAACACACCACTAGGCTGCTCTCATTGTGGTCACCAATGACCTCCCCCTGTGCTCCACCCAACCTCACAGGACTTCCCAGCAGCAGCAGATGGCCGCTCAGCCTCTGTGACATGCTTCCTTCCCAGCCCCTTTCCTGGTCCCCCCTCCTCCCTGTCCACAGGCCTCTCTTGTCTCCCTCTCCCTCCCTACTAATTCCCAGTGATCCCACGGAGCAGCCCAGAGCCCCTGTTTCCAGTCCACCTCACCTTTGAAGCCCACAGGTGTCACTCACTGCCTCTTCCCTGCCCCTGGCTGTTTAAAGGGTGCCCCACTCTTCCCATGGACAAGCTGAATCCTTGACTCCCACTGCCCCTCCCCAACAGAGACCCCCTCCTCCTCTCACCACACCTCCACTCAGCTGCTGCTGCCACACCCTCCCTTGGGCTCAGGAGAAGGCCTTGTGGGCAGCCTGGACTCTCTCTTTTCTCACAACCCTCTTGGCTCCACCTTCAGAATCCACTTAGAATCCACTACTTTGCACCTCTTCCCTGGCTCCTACCCTAGCCAAAGCCTTCTGTCTGTCACCTTGATTATGATCTTAAGACTTACTTTCAGATCTCTGCCACTTTCTTACTGAGGCTGAGTCGCACAGTACCGAGAGTGATCACGTAACATGTGCGTTGAATCATGTGATGCCTCTGCACAAAACCCTGCAGGGACTTCCCATGTTCCTTACCATGGCAGCCGAAGTTCTTGCCAGGGCCCCAGGGCTCTCTCTAGCTGCACCTCCTGACCTACACTTTCTTTCACTGGGCCCCAGGCCCATTGCACTTGCTTTTTCTTCTGCCTGGAATTCCTTTCTTTGGATATTTACAAGGTTCATGTGCTCGTTGTGCTTGTTTTATGAAGGTCTTTGCCTCCAAAACCTCAAATGCCACTGCCTCCAAAAGGCCTTCCCTGATTGGGATCTGAAATGGCACCCCCTGTCCCACCCCTGTTTTTACCCTTGTTCCATTTTATTTACCTCAATGCACTTTGACTACCTGACATCATTATATTCTCTCTATATATCTGTTTATCTGCTTGTGATCTGTAGTGGGAGCTCAGTGTCATCACAGGTTTTGCCTGTTTTGCTCTCAGGTGTGCTCTAGCTCATAGGACAGTGTCTGGCATATAGTAGATGCTCAGTAAATAGTTGCCAGTTGAGTGAATGTAGAACCATACATCACCACAATGCTGTACTAATGAAAGCAGGGTCTCAGAGATGCTGAAGCCCAGCCTTATTCTTAAAGGCTTATTGATAGCCCCCAGCCGCATCTGTAGTCCTGAAAGTCCTGCCATGATATCTCTGCTCCCCACCCTCAACCTGTTCTCTTCCTTACAGCACAGGGGATGAACACAGCCCGGGGAACTGGGGTCACCTGGACCAGCTGGCTGCCCTGCACTGGGTCCAGGACAACATTGCCAGCTTTGGAGGGAACCCAGGCTCTGTGACCATCTTTGGAGGGTCAGTGGGAGGAGAAAGTGTCTCTGTTCTTGTGAGTATTCCTGGCACCGGGCCCAACCCCAGGCTTGATGTGATGCTGATGAGATCTCTTGGACACCTGTCAATCCAGCTATGCACACTTCTGATTACAGTCTCAGGACTGGCCCTACTCACTGCCCAATCAGGGGGTGGAAAGCTAAAGACCAAGCTCTCCTTGGCCCACAGGAAGCTCAGAGCTCAGCTTAGTGTCCGGGGGCCATATGAATCTCTAGTTGCAGCCTGCAACGGTGGCATTCTCCTCTTCTAGCTTGATTGAGCTCTCTCTCTCTCTCTCTTTCTCTCTCTCCTTCCCACTCATTTTAACATAAGGACTCACTTCCCTTCTCTTGGGAAGTAGGGATAGGCATAAATTATGAGTAAGGGCAGGCGAAGACAAGAGGTGGACAGAGGTCATTGTTTAGCTTAAACCAGAACTATGAGTGGAGGGGACATGGACACTGAGCAGGCTGGGAATTCCTCTGGGGTGGTCTCATGGCTGGTCCATGCCCAAGAAGGAGGCAACAGTTTCTGTGACTGTGGGACCCGGTCGGCTAGGGGAGGCGGGTGAGAGGAAGGAGGGATGGAGCTGGGGATGGGGAGGGATGGGGCAGGGGTTGTGGGTCATAGACACAACCCGGGGTGTGAGGGGTCCTCCTGGGGTTGGGGATTGGGTGCGGGAGACACTGGGGGATCTGGGATGAAAACCCAGATGAGAGGTGCCGGGAGCTGTAGGAAGACTTCTGCCTGCCTCGAGGTGGGCAGAGGGTCAGCCCACTACTGGATTCCTCAATCCTGTGTTGGTTTTATAGTGGGGTAGATCTAGCCTGGAAGAGCAAGTGAGTCACTGACCCCACTCCTGAGCATGAACTCTCCTCCCCTCCACTCTGCTGTCAGGTTTTGTCTCCATTGGCCAAGAACCTCTTCCACCGGGCCATTTCTGAGAGTGGCGTGGCCCTCACTTCTGTTCTGGTGAAGAAAGGTGATGTCAAGCCCTTGGCTGAGGTAGGTCTCCGGCTGGTACGTCTCCGGCTGGACACCCCCACCTCCTTGGCTCTATGCTCCTGAATCCTCAGGGATCTCTCTTGTGGTCGGTTGTAGCTAATGTTCTCCTAGAATCACTGAGGCACCAATGGCTGAGCAGGAAGGGCGAGGAGACACCTTGATCAGCGTCCCAGTTTCACAGCCAGGCAAACCGACACAGGGCTTGGAAGGGATTTGCCAAGGGCAGCAGGTGATCAGGGCAGAGCTGGGACTCCAGCTCATGGCCCTAGCAGCCAGTACAGTGCCCTGTCTGTGACCACACTCCACCTATGTGCCAGGGCCTGGTGCCATATTGGGCAGTGATGGTGTCTTGTGTCTCTCAGGGTCTGAGTTCTGTGGACCCACTTGTGGGCTGTGGGCCTGAAGCAGTTCCACAATGAGCGCCTGATAACCAGGGTTGGTTCCTGGAGAATTCACTCATTGATTCATTTGTTCACACAACAAAACTAGGTGACTAAGTGAAGGCAAAAACAAGAAATGGGCAGACGTCATCCTTTGGCTCAAAGCCAGATGTCCGTGTGGAGGGGACATAGACACTGCATGGCCCTATGTGGCTCTGCATTCTAGTCAGACACCTAACACCTCCCCAAGCTTCTGCTATAATGTAGGGAATAGATGAATAGCTACAGAATCACACAACTAGAAAGTGTCACCTATGACAAGAGCAGTGAAGGTGAGGTACTTGCTGCCACAGCAGAATCTAAAGAAAGCATTGAGTCCTGGGGCTGGAAGAGGTTACCAGGGAAGGCTTGCTGGAAAAGTGACTAATGAGTCAGGAGCAAGGAACGTCCAGGGAGTGGGAGCAGCACATGCGCGTGCTGTGGCAGGAGGACGCATCCCAATCGGGAGGGAGAGACAGAGACAGAGCCGATGGGGCCAGAGCAGGCAGAACAGGCGGAGCGCGGCGAGTACTGACAGAGGGGACGTTGGGAGGGGCCACCCTGCACAGGACCCTGGCAAGGATTTTGTCATCATCTGGAGAGTGGTTGAAAGCCAAAGGAAGAGGTGATCGATAGGAATCCAGACCTAGGCTGAGGATCGCCCACTGGAGCCAGTGGCATGGAGGATTTC